>NC_000004.12:186800168-187103199 GCF_000001405.40 Homo sapiens | reverse complement strand
GTGTAAGATCACTTTCAGTCTGTGTTTTCAAGGTGTATTTAAGACTTAAATCAATATCATGTTTGGACTTGGATCCAATCCCCTAGATATCTTATTATGTATATGCAAAATGTTCCAAAATAAAAAAATCCAAAACACTTCTGATTCCAAACATTTCAAAGGATACTCACTCTGTACATATAACTAATACCAAGAAAACAGAAAAATGTTAACCAATTATGAGCAAATTTTAAAATATTGGTTTAACACTGCCACTTACTAGCTGTAAGACCCTGAGTAAATTTCTTAACTGTGCTATACCATATTTTTCTCATTTGAAAAACTTCGATAATCGTTAACTACCCAGCCTAGAATGTATTTCACAATGAGTAAAGAGTAGCTGCTGTTGTTACTGTCATCATCATTATCATGTTGGCAATGTAGATATTTAACTATGGCAAGGCATCATCTAGATTGTTAGAATGATGTGAATGCAGACACAAATGGTAGCTACAGTTTTAACTTAAATTTCAGGTGTTCTACTTGTTCTGAAAAATGCTAATCGACTTTGATATAAAAAATCGTTTTGGTTTCCATAGAATCGGCAAAGTCTAGAGGAAATAAAGGCATGCAAGTTTGCATATCTCCAATCTTCCATGCCAAGGTAAAACTCAGAAAACTGTTAGGCATCATATGACAAGCAGTAACTGAGCAGCAGCACTGATGAGATGCCAAAGCTAAACCAACTCAGGATAAGTACAGTAATGTTACCTTTTCACAGCGAATGTGGGCTCTAGAGCCAGACCAACCACACTGTGGGCTTCAAAACAAAACTAAGTTTGAATCTCAGTTTCTCCACCTAGATAACAGGATGTTGAGGAAGAAGCTTCAACAAGCCAGTTTTCTTCTTGCAAACCACATCCCTTCATTGCCACCCTTGAAGGGTTACCCGGAGGAACAAATGAAATGACATCAGTGAAGGGGCTGGCAGAAGGCTCAACACACTCTGGAGCTGTTTAATGTTGGTTAGTGTTTAACTTTTTACCATAGAAATGTTTGTGAACGACTTGCAAGTTCATAAGAATGCATTTCCAAAAAGTGAGGTGAAAATCTAGAGAGTAAAAGTAAGCAATTGGGCCTCAGGGACATGCCCATTTAGCAAAAGACTCTTTGATAATTAGGGAGGAAATTAAAATTCCATATTTAGCTAACAGACAGTAAAGGAAGATAAAGGTATTGAGCAGCCCTCAGAATGTGTTGTATCTTCCTCATTTCCTACCAAATTAATTACTAAGGACAACAGAACCATTTTGTTAACTCGCACTAATGATGAAAGGCCCCACTGCAAATTACTGAATATCCCAGATTAGTCACTACATAAATAAGTACCATAAAACAGAAACAACTGTGCTGAGATATAGGAGGCAACGTGTTTGTTCTGTAATTGCAGCTGCATTTTTGTTATTTGGGGCAATTCTTTGTTCCATATGTGTGGATGCTTTTCCACATTGGAGGTAATGTCAGATGCCTCAACATTTCCATATCTGACGGAGTCACTACCTAAATAGGGAACAAGTCAACTAAGGAATTTGAATAGCAGCTGATTTATATTAGCATTTACCAATTCATATTTTAACCATTATCTTCTCATTTTTCTTTTAAGTTTTGATGATTTCTCAAGCACCATCGTGCCACAGTTACCACTAAGGTCAAGTGAGTTCACCAAGCAATCTAGTAGCCGTGACATTGTTAATCAGTTCTCATAGACTGTATGTTCAATCAGTAATAATCCCAATAGCTGAGGAAACCATGTGAAAACCTGCCATGTCTGTTAAAATGGCTGTAATAAGTAGTTCTGCTGTCTTCAGTCTGTTCCATTTTATGTGGAAAGACATTCACTATCCAGCAGACCAAGGGTGTTCAAATGAGATAGTCATAAATGAAAGCCAAGTGTACACAGAAAAGCAAACCATTATTCTAGAACTCAGAGCACCCTCACACACCTAACGAGGTTATAAGAGAAACAACTTATCCACGTCCGATCCACTAATGTTATCCTATTTGATAACAAATAACTTATTCTTGAAGAGAGAGCCCCAAATTCAATTTATATCTCACAGTCCAAGTAAATAAGAAAAGGCTGACAAATCGCTCTCCACAAATCCCCACAATTTCGTGCTCCCTTTGGTCATATCAGGGAAAAGTCAGGGCAGAAAACGAGGTTTTGTGCTCCTGATAGGCTGTGTAAACAGAAAGTTTGTTTCTGAACTACTCCAGGAGATCAGCTATGTCAATGAGACAGGTATGACAGAAAAAAATCACATTTGCAGAAAATTTAAGGGATTTAAAAGGAAAAGAGAGATTTCATAACACTTTTTAATTGAACAGTTATTACCTTGTCATTAGCAGCACGTGAAATAAACGTTCCTGTTTCAAGGTCATTTGGGTTGGAAGAAGTAAAAATTGTCCTGAGGGCACATGTGCTTCAGGTAGGTAAAAAAAAAAATAACCTAATACTATTCATTTCTGAACATCTTATAGTCATTTTCCAGTTTGGGATACAATGAGCAGTTGCAAGGAGAGAACTCACTACAACTGAAACCACAGACTCCACACCTTCACTAGAGGTCTGTGGGCCTGCCTGTAGTTCAATGACAGACAGGACATCACTAGTTGTTGACATTGGCTGGAGCCCTGGGCTGGAGAATGGGGATGCTCACCTCTTCCCCACTTTCTAAAATTACTTCCTGATGTGGCATCTTGTCTAGATCGGTGTGCGAGCTGAGCATCTAATATTGTACCTAATTTAATAAAATGATTTTGATTTTAAAATTTATGGAGCTCTTTTCAAATTGCAACACAAAATATCTTTACTTCTGAGTTTTGCCTTTGGTTACAGCCTTGAAGTTTATACTCACCAATTCTTATTAAGAATAGGGTTAGAATTCATCCATTCATCCATATGCCTCTCTGCATATTCTAAATTTTACCTTAAAGTCAAGCTTGACCATTAGAATGATGTGTGTTTATAGTTTTTGTAGCCTATTGTAAAAACACTCAAGCTTTATTCTGGCAATGACTAATACTGAGAGATGTTATCCATTGAGAGTGAGCCCTGGATATGCATTTATTCATTCTTGTGGTGGTGTTAGACATCACCTAATCCATCACCTGGGATCACTTTAAGAAAACTAATGGGAAACATCTCTTCCAGCTCCAAAATGGAGAAAAGCCCTGATTCTCCTCAACAGTTCAGTTGCATCTATCTTATGGACACTGTTTCTTGGGCATGGCAGTGTCTCTCTTTGCTTAGCTCTTTAGAGAAAGCCAGACCTAGAGGTGAGATTTGGACTTGCTTCTAGCAATTGTGTACCCACCACACAATACCAATATAAGTTTGATGTGCTAATTTTATTCCTGACAGTATTCGTTGTCTATTGCAGCATAACAAATTACTCAAAACATGAGGGCTTCAAAGTAACCACCATTTATTATCTCACAGTTTCTGTGGGGGCAGCTTAGCCCGGGGCCTCTGCCCAAGGTATGTCACAAGATCACAGTCAAATTTCGGTCAGGTCCGTGTTCTCAACTGAAGCCTTGACAAAGGGAGGATTCATTTCCAAGCTCATTCATGGGGTCATTGGCAGGATTCAGTGTTTCTCAAGCTATTAGGCTGGGATCTCGAGTTTCTGATTTTTGGACAAGGGTCTCCCTCAGGTCCTTGCCTAATGGGCCTTTCCCTGGGGCAGCTCTCAACATGGCAGACCGAACAGGCAAGTGAAAAGCACTGCAGAGTGGGCTGGGTGCAAATCCCTGCCTTTGTGCAGCCTGATCTCAGCGTGACATTCCAACATCCCATCCCATCGCTAAAAAGGAGTCTTCCTTTTATTCGGATTCAGGGGGTACATGTGTCGGTTTTTCATGTGCATATAGTGCTTGATACTGAGGTTCGGGCTTCAGCTGAGGCTGTCGCCCAAACAGTGAACACAGGACCCAAGGGGTAGTTTTTCCAGCCTTGCCCCTCTGTCTCTCTGCCGCTTCGTGGAACCCCCAGTATTTATCGTTCTCGTCTTGTGTCCGTGTGTACCAAGTGTTCATTTAGCTCCCACTTAGAAAAGAGAACATGTGGTATTGGGTTTTCTGTTTCTGCATTAATTAACACAGGATAAGGCCTCCAGTTGCATCCATATTGTTGCAAAAGCCACAATTTTGTTCTTCTTTATTGCTCTGTAGTATTCCATGGTGTATATGTACTGCATTTATTTATCCAATTTATATATATATACCCAAAGGAATATAAATCATTCTATTATAAAGATACATGCACATGCATGTTCATTGCAGCACTATTCACAACAGCAAAGACATGGAATCAACCCAGATGCCCTTCAATGATATACTACATAAAGAAAATGTGGTACATATACACCATGGAATACTATGCAGTCATAAAAAGGAATGAGATCATGTCCTTTACAGAGACATGGATGGAGATAGGAGCCATTATCCTCAGTAAACTATTGCGGGAACAGAAAAACAAATGCCACATGTTCTCTCTTACAAGTGGGAGCTGAACAATGAGAACTCATGGACATATGGGGGGAACACGTGTCCACATTCTGGGGCCTGTTGGTGCATGTGAGAAGGGAGAGCATCAGGAAGAACAGCTAATGGATACTTGGCTTAATACCTAGATGATGGATTGATCTGTCTAGCAAAACACTGTGGCACACATTTAGCTATGTAACAAACCTGAACATCCTGCATATGTGCCCTGGAACTTAAAATAAAAGTTGAAGACAAAAAAAAAGACATAAAAAAAGAAATGCTACTATTTTTGTACATTGATTTTGTGTCCTGAAACTTTACTGAAGTCATTTATCAGGTCAAGGCGTCTTTGGGTATAATCTTTAGGGTTTTCTAAATATAGAATCATATCATCAGCAGAAAGAGACAATTTGACTTTGTTTTTACCTCTTTGGATGCCTTTTATTTCTTTCTCCTGCCTGATTGCTCTGGCCAGCTCTTCCAGTACCATGTTGAATAGGAGTGGTGAGAGGGCGCATCCTAGTCTTGTTCTGGTTCTCCAGAGGAATGCTTCCAGCTTTTGTCCATTCAGTATGATGTTCGCTGTGGGTTCGTCATAGATGGTCCTTATTATTTTGAGTTATGTTTCTTTAATGCTTAGTTTAAGGCTTTTTATCATGAAAGGGTGTTGCATTTTATCAAATTCTTTTTTCTACATCTATTGAGATGATCATATGGCTTTTGTTTTTAATTCTGTTTATGTGGTGAATCCCATTTATTGATTTACTTATTCTATTCTTTAGAAGAAAGTCCATTGGTTCAGCTTACGTACAAGGGGAGGAAATTTCACAATGGCATGAATACCAAGAGGTAAGATCATTGAAGCCACTTTAGAAGCTGTCTGTTTTATTTCCTTATAAACACTTCCTATTTTCCTATGTCCTCAATTATTTTTATCGTTTGCATTATCCCTATATTCATGATTTTATCTAAAATGCATATACACATCATATGGTAACACATGGTATGTGTTTATTAAATGTCCTTTGTGTTAGATTGAACAGCCTTTGTTATTCACTTATTGACTGCATTAATACTTTATTAATTCATTCACTATGGATGTAGATCTGTTTTGAGCCCTAGGGGCACCACAGTTGAAAAAATCATAAAAAGAGTTCTTTCCTCAAAAGTGAGTGTGGGAAGTCAGTATAGAATGTAAAATTCTAACGATCATCCCCTCAATCCTTTAAGAATCACTTATTCAGTGTCCACTATTTGTTAGGAACTTTTCTAGCTGTAAGGCATTTTGATCCTGAGGGGATAGAGCATGGCTCAGAAGAGTTTAGAGCTCAGGATGCAGGTTCGAAGGAGGCTGTATGTTACATACAGAAATCGGTGATACTTATGAATGAAAGGGCTGATGGTGTGTTATGTTTTATCACGAAATTAGTGTGCATTTCAAAATGTGTACTGCATTGAAAAAGCACTGTCCTAATGACCCTAGTGTCAAAACCTGCATGTGAAGGTAGACACAGCAGAATGACCTTGCCAGAGTGTTGCCTGCTCAGAATGGACTGCCTTCCAGGTCCTCTTGGACTCCGGATCATGGCTGGTAGAGGCTTAAAAGTGTTGAAACTATATTTTGTTAGACAACTGATGCCACACAAATTTATCAAAATGGTAGAAGATCTCTCGTTTGGCAGATTTATTATAGTACAAAAACACAAAACCATGCATATAAGTATAAAAAATTATATTTCTCTAACCTAGAAAAACTCAAAACTCTGAGGAGGGAAAAGCAATTATACAGATTGTATGACCACACTTCTTCATTTTGAATTTTAGAAAGCTAGAATACAGATAAGTAGAAAGGTCACTTAGCTTATTAGTGGCAGCATGAAGGCTACAAATCGTAGCTCATGGACCCTGTCTCAGGGTGACTTCCAGTATACCGCAGCACACTATTCTAAAAGAGAAATTAAATATGTAGAATCAATCTTGAGAGACTCATACATTGTTTGTTGCCCCTTTCAAATACTTAAGAGCAAATATGTTTTTAAGTTATTCTTAGGATAAGTTTTAATGAGTTCAGTATGCAAGTAAGTCTTGGAAAAATCCAAGATGAGCAGATTTCAATAGGTTTTGTATTGCAAGTTTTCTCTGAGCTTCTACTATGCTATTTTCAATGTGAATTTTATTCACTGTCTAAATATTTATTAGTATGAACTACATTTATTTTTTAATATCAAATCATCTTTGCATACCTAAGATAAATCCAACTTTGTCTTGGTGTATTCTCTTATTTTAACACACATTGCATTTGATTTTCTTCAATGATTTTTGCATGAGTGAAATTGACCTGCAATTTTTATTTCTTTTATGTGTCTTCTTTGGATTTTTATATTGGGGTTTCTGCTTCTCTTGTAGAACAGGCCAGACACTCTCTCTGCTCTAACCATTAAAAGAGTTTGTAAAAAGCAAAAAAAGAGTACTCTTTATTTTGAACACTTGAGAGAACTCATCTATATAGCCATCTGGTTCTGCTGTTTTATTTGAAGGAAGATTTGAAGCACTAATTTAATTTCTTTAATAGTTATAGAACAATTTGAGCTTTTTATTTCTCTTTAAATCATTTCTACAAGCAATATTTTCCCTACAATTTGTTTATTTCAATAACATAGTTCTTGGTATAGTTTTCATCATCTTTTTTACTTCTGTGTTTAGTGTGGGCCCCTTTTCATTCACAATATTATGTATTCGTGTCTTCCTTCTTCTCTTGATCACAATCGTCAGGATTCATTTGTTTTCTGAGACTTTTATTTTTATGGATTCCAGCGCTGGATCCTCAGACCCCTCATCTGACCCCTGAGTATCTACAACATGTTCCTTTTGTTTGGTGAGTTCCAGCCTCTCTCTGGCTTGGGAACCCTGGCAACCTGTGCACCCTGCAGCCTCACCTTCTCCCTGATTTTTGATTTCCCTTATTAGTCTCCAAACCGCTGCTTCCCACTACTGTAGTGTCATGCCCTACATATACTCCTAATGTCCTCTTGTACTGAGGAGAAGAATTGGATGGTGTGTGACTAAACATAGCAAAATGTTCAGTCCACCCTAGTTCTGACCCTTTAAACCAATCTCATCTCAATTAGAAAACATACTCAGGGTGGAAAGAAAAGCAAGTTGCTGAGTCCCAGATGCAGTGTCCTGTCTCTTCCTGACTCCTCTGCACCTCAGCCCCTAGCTCTGCCTCTGAGCCCAAATTCTGTGAGATGCCATCACCGACCTGACCAGGGTTCAGCGCCTTCCCTGTCCTCCCTTGGCTCACATTCAGGCCTGGTGGCCCTGGCACCATCCGCCTTGAAACTAACCATCATGTTTGCTGCTTCTGTTTTGCTCTCCAAACCAGTTGTCTCTTCAAGGGGTATGAGCCACTGAGAGAGGGAGAAGACAGGTCCAGGGAGAATGTGGAAAACGGATAGACATTGAAAATGGATGCCTGGAAAGAGTTCCAAATGAAGACGGAAAGTCTGAAGCTTGGGGATTGACTGCACTTTATCCTGACTGTCAATTATCCTTTGGAAAATTTAACAGCTCTCAGATCTGCACCTAAAATTAGATTGAATAATTTCAAGACAAAAATATATATTGCTTAAATGAAACATCTTTTCCATTTGTATTAAATATATTTTAAGCTTCTGTATTTTTCTGCATCATGCACATTCTACGTCATCTGTGACATGGTTCTCACTTAACATCTTAGAAATATGTGAAACTCCACAGTCTCGGAAGTGGGTAAACGGCTCTGTGTCTCTGTTAGCCTGACATTCCCTTATGGTTTTCTACAGCCTGCACTTCCTCTCAATATGGCTTAGTACCCGTGTGACAACAAAAGTCAGGCTGTTGGTTTTCTTTCCCTTGAGAATATTTTGTTAAGACCTGATAGCCAACCCAAATAGGAAAATTCCATAACTAAAGTGACTGTGAGAGCTCATTCTATAATTTTTCCACTTTTCCTCTTTTATTAATTGGCAAAGAATCTCTTCAGTCAAAGCCTAGGAAAGAAAACTCTCTAATTCTTTTAAACTGTTTAACAAAGGTTCTGTCATTTTTAATCTTTCACGTGGGGAGCCGCACTAAAAGGAATAAACAGATACTCTCCCTAGAGGAAACTGATATCAAATGAACCTCAAAAGTCATCTTTGATTTGGTATCAATCATTTGCTTAATTATCCCCATCTTCAGCCTCTTTGAATTTTCCTGAGACAAGATCACAATGGCAAAGAGTACAGGAGGCATTCTTTGTTCCTTGAATGAAGGGCTTCTCCACTGCCTCTGCCGCTCCCTCTCATTTGTTCTGTCTAACAATCTGAAAGTGAATATGCTTAATAGGCTTTGTCTGCAAAGAGCTTCATTTCTTTTTTGTGAGGGAAGTTATAGCCTTGGAATTGTCTCTTCATGCACTCCACCGTTTGGCAGCAGTGAGCCTTTATTTATGAAAGAAGTTTAATTAATGCCCTTGGATCAACTGTTAACGTTTGAAATGGTTTCCTGATGCATGGAGGCACTTTCTCTTCTGCCAGGAATTGATTTTGGAAATGGCCCTGCCTCCTCGTAACTTATGATTCAGGGAGAGGAAGAGACCATGCAAACCAGAGTATGGACAAGAGCGCTGTGAAGTGTATTGATGAAGGGTTTGCATCAGTACCTGGGAAATCCAGATCAATGAAAATGTGTGGAATCAACTTGAAAGAGAAGATGATGCTTGTACAAAGAGATTATGGTCTCCTATCATTGAAACAGAAGCAGAACACTGCAAATATAAGGCTGGTTTCAAATAAACTAAAGCAAGGCTCTCAAATTTCTAGTAAGAAAGTAAAGACGAAAAAGAAGCATCGCATAGACAATGGATACACAGAGAAGGGAAGAAAGGACACAACTTTTGGGCTAGTAAATTTTATTATATTTTCCTGGCATGGTTCCCAGAGACCTTGTCAAAGAAAAGAATGCCAAAGAGTTGTTCTTCAGGGCCTTAACTCTTATTAATGCAGATATTGTTCAGTGTAAAGTTGTTTACTGGGACAGATTTTTTAAATTAAATGTCATTTTGGAAAAGTGATTTTTCCAAAGTAGAAGCAACGTCTTGGGGCCAAGTGTGTGTGGGATGTGTAGCAGAGGTTTCACGTTGTGTTGACCTGTTCCAACAGTAACTCCTGGTAATGTTAAATCATCGTGGTCCCAATCTGTTACTATGGCAGTGCCATGAATGGAGACCCCATGATTCTGTCATTTCAAGTATGTCCCTCAGAGCAAGAACATATTGGTTTGCTTGTACAGAAAACAGAATCTGACATGGAGAAAAATAAACAAAACTATATTTTTAGTTCTGTTATTAACACTTCAGATTTTAGATCTTCACTTATAGAATCTATTTGTCTTCAGTACGAGAGATACAGGTTGCTTATTAAATTAAGAAAGGCCAAGCAATAAAGATCTGAGTAGAATAACAATTTGGAGCCTACTGGCCTATAAAATAGCTCCATTTTTCTCAATCAAATTATGAATGTTAAGCTGCCTTTCGCCTAATGGGAAATATCACAGCATTTCCCCCAGACAGCCCTGGGGTTTTCAAATTAGTGCCAGGTGGTTGTGCTTGAGGCTGTGTTGTCTGCCCCCCCATACTTTTAGCCATCATGACACAGCTGGGTGACAAGCTTGCCCTGCAGAGGATGCTGAGAATTGGCTGGAAGAGAGAGACTATTGTTTTGTCCGGACTAGTGCTTCCAGACACATCCCTTCTTCCTAATAGGGCACCACAACACAGCCATCCTAGGATCGGGTCACTCCTCCAAAAGAGAAGCTCCACCCAGTAGGACGGCTTCCCTGGTCTCCATTTTCTTGGCAAGGTCTGATGAAATGCAGCCCAAGAGCAGTGACTGACCAGAGACGGTAGAACAGGGAGGAAAAGACAGGGCCAGTCTTTGTTGCCTTGAGGTCATCCAAAGGAAGACAGGAGGGAGAATGTTGCAGGCTCTGGCATTTCTAACACTTGGTAGAACCAATTTCTGGAGGCATCACTGTACTTTAAGCTTGTTTCTGCATTTCATCACTAATGTTCAGAAGCCTAGGAGGCCAGCTGATCACACACTCTAATCCCTGTTTTACTGATAAGAAAATTGAGGAGCAGAGAGCACCAGTTATTTTCCCAGTGGCACACAGCTTAAGAAATAGCCCCGCCTCTTTAGTAGAGATGGGGTTTCACCATGCTGACCAGGCTGGTCTCGAATTCCTGACCTCAAGTGACCCGCCCTCCTCAGCATCCAATGTGCTGGGATTACAGGCGTGATCCACCATGCCTGGCCAAAAGTGCATCAGATTTCTGACCCCCTGTCCCAGAGTTTCTGATTCAGTAGTAGGTCATGGGTAGAGCCCAAGAATTTATTTCTAACAACTTCCCATATGATGCTGAGCCTGCTCACCAGGGCTCTACAACCGGCAGCCATCCCACTAAAGAAACATGGACCACAGTTTATTATAAAAATATTAGGAATTAAATGTTACATATAGTCTATAAATCATTGAAGAAACCATTAAATTAGTAATATTTTATTATTAAAAAGAGGGAAACTGGACTTGATTTTAGTGGAAAAGAGCTTTTATTTGTAGTGTTTGAATTTGGTCAAAATTGAATATATTTATTTTATTATTCTAATTGATGTTTTTCATGAAAATCATCCATTTTATCAACTTTTACGTTTGCGTTAGTTCACCCAAAGCTACTCCAATAATTATTTTATTTTCTCTATGTTTCTTACTATTTTTTTCATTGTCATTCATACAAATAATAAGAATTCAGGTAATGTTTTTCTTTTGGTTATAGATTGTTTTCATCATGTTTAGAGGAGTAGTGTATGCTATTTCTGTTTCAGAAAACATTGAAGTTTTGTCTGTGTTCCTGAGTATGGAAACATTATATAAATATCTTATGGTTACTTGAAAAGCCATGCGATTTATAGGGCTCGATGTTATGTATTTGAATTGTTCCGTTAAGGGAGCATAAAAATTCCCTATAAGTCCCACAAAACTTTTCACATCCTAAGTGATGATCTGTAATGAGTTAAAATGTGTATTAAAGTCTCCTAACCAAATAAATAATGGATAAATTTGCTTCTTGTTAAAAAACAAACTCTACTCTCTCACACAAATCTCTTCTATCTTCAAATGTTTTTAAATGAAAATAATAAAATGTAAAAGTTGTTAACACCTAGAGCAAAGACAACGAGAAAAGAGAAAAGTGCAGATAGAAAACCCAAATATTTGGAGGACAAAGAGCAGCTGAAGCAGAGCAGGGTCATTTACACCCCATGACCTGAGTCGGCAAATCCAGTGAAGCAGGAGCTGGGTGCCCCGAGAACCCCAAGATGCTCCGGAGCTGGAGGTGTCCCTGGAACCCCAAGATGCTCCGGAGCTGGAGGTGCCCCTAGAACCCCAAGATGCTCCGGAGCTGGAGGTGCCCCTAGAACCCCAAGATGCTCCGGAGCTGGAGGTGCCCCTAGAACCCCAAGATGCTCCGGAGCTGGAGGTGCCCCTAGAACCCCAAGATGCTCCAGAGCTGGAGGTGCTGGGTCTGGCAGGAGGCAGGCTTCAGGTGCCGGACTTTATCCACAGGACTCGCTTGAATGCCTGTGATTAGAGTGGTCAACTCCTGCCCCTCACCAGCAAAACCGATGACCTTCTCAACCACACCCCTCACCACCTCAGGATGCTGGAAGCTGTTTTGTGGATGAACAGATGCTGTAGACTTGGGGACACAGTACATAGTGGAGAGCTGGGGTGAGCAATAGGTAGAAAATGGGGGATTCAGTGAAATACGGAAACAGAACTGTGAGATCCTCAACTTTCTCTTGTTGAGACCTCCAGACACTGACATTTGGAGGTGCCCAGGGGAAAAGCTAAATTAAACCCAACTGTGCTGTCGCAACTCCACCAAATAACAAGGGTGCTCGTAACAACTCGAGCTCCTCCACGGTATCTCATGCCTTGTTCTTGAAAGGAAGTTTATAGTGAAAGAGTGAATCATTGAAAGAAAATCTGGAATGCAGAAAGAGACGCAAAAGCGAAACAGAACACAATAAGCATACAATAAGAGACACAGGTCTCGCCTGGGCTCAGTGGCTCACGCCTGTAATCCCAGAACTTTTGGAGTCTGAGGTGGGCGGACCACTTGAGATCAGGAGTTCAAGACCAGCCTGGCCAACATGGCGAAACCCCGTCCTACTAAAAATATAAAAATTAGCTGGGTGTTGTGGTGGGCACCTGTAATCCCAGCTACTCGGGAGGCTGAGGCAGGAGAATCACTTGAACCCACGAGCGGAGGTTGTAGTGAGCCGAGATCGCACCATTGCACTCCAGCCTGGGCGACAGAGTGAGACTCCATCTCAAAAAAAAAAAAAAAAAAGAGACCCAGATCTCCACACTGAGTGAGAACAAACCCCACCACTAGAGAAATTAGAGATAGGCCTTGCAGAGACAGAAGAGGGAAGAAATTTACATATTTAAAAAATACAAGAGTGTGTGCCTTTCTAGAATACTATGAACTATATTGTACTATGTTGACATTGTCAAAACTGTGAGATAATTATATTCATATTATACTTTAAAATAAAGATAAAAATAATGTCAGCAATTAAAAAGTCAGACAATAGACTAATGAGCATATTATTTAGCAATATGGAGGCTTACTACCAGTGGAATGAGCTAAAGGAATTGAATGTGTTTGACTTTGGACAGAAAACCAGAGAGTAGGGGGAGGCAGAACACAGGGAAGGTAGGCATTTCCCATTTTACGTCCTTTGTTTTTTATTGTTGAAGTATTTACTATATGTATGCATTACTTAAGTGAAAATAAAAAAATTATTTAAAAAAATAATAAAAATTAGATGACACTTTTGAGAAACACAAACAATATCTGACTAATATTTGGGTATTCGAAATTAATAACAGACTATATTGACCGGCTGCGTCTCTCACGTCCATCCTTTCCCACAGAATCAATGACTGCGTTGCTTCCAGCCCTTCTTCCCACACTTAGGCAATACAATTTACAGAATACATTGGTCATTTTTATTATATCAAAAATCCGTTTTAGAGAATGATTTAAATCCTAAACCTGCAGACATTCATATGGAAAGTATTTAACCAATTCTGTATCATGTTACTTAGCAGACAGGGTTGCAAATGAGAGAGATCACAGTTCTGAAGTTGGACAAATCTGGTTTTAAACCCTGTTGCTACCAATGACCAGCGATGAGATCTTGGAAGTGTTCTTTAACCCCTCACCTATAAAATGAGGATGATAACAATGGCCAGCTGATAGCGTTGTTGAGTGCCCTCCATGCGATAATGCCTGTGAAACACTTAGCTCAGTGCTTGGGTCTATATGGGAAGTGATAAGTCACAGAATTAACAGCAATGGCCATAGTAATAACCATTACTAAAGAAAGAAGGCTGGTCATCATGTGAAGAAACTGTATAAGTGAAATAGTCTCCAAATCAAATTGTAGTTCTCATGACAGTTTTTGCCTCCCTAAAAAATGTTTGATTTTTGAGTGATAATTAGGATGGACTGATTTGGTGTTAACATCTGTATTTTTAGCACTGCCATTCCCTAATTAGAGTGGCAACACTAGATGGAAACAAGAGAAAGAACAAAATGACCAGACATTTTCAAAAATTCAATACTCCAATTAAGCAGGAGGCTTGCGTCTCATCTTGTTCTGTATGAACAAACAGCAACAGAAGAAAGACTCATTTCTTGAGTTGTTCGCAGGCAGTGAAGACTATGGCTGTGAGAACATCTGGGAGCCAGTGACTTACTTCCAATCTCCTGTGGCTCTGGATGGCTTATTGAATAATAAGACAGGTATTATGGATAAAACTTCTGGCTCTCAGCAAAATTAAGATTTTATTCTTCCCTAAAGGCTCCCAGGTGTTATTTCTACTAAGGACTAGAGAATGACTGTTTCAAATGGGTAGATTGAAACTCTGGGACTTTGTCCTTTCAGACTGAGTCAGCAAATCCTCTGCGTACTGACTTTTAGGGGACAGTGTAAGTAAGGCTCATCCAGTTAAGAAAGGGGAGCGCTGGTGACCGGGGACAGAACTGTCCCTCGGCTCTCTGCAGAGCCAGGGGAATGTTTCATTGTGACGGGATCATTTATTAATAATACAGGTTTGCTTCAATATGAACAAAGAGTTCGTTATAGAAATTGAAAAATAAACGACTTACAAGAAACTGGGGATAAAAATATTATGCTCTTTCCACTGACAGTGAAATGAAGCACAGAAAGATGAAGCTCAGCCCTGCAGGCCCCGCGGTGAGCGGCAGAAACAGGCTTTAGAAGCTGAGGTCCCCAGGCTCCCATCAGCATTCACCCTCCACACGGAGCCCCAGGCTTCTGGGACGTGGCTTCAGTGCTGAGCAAATCTGCCCCTTCTGAGAAGGAATTTCCGTAAAGGTGGGAGAATTAGTGTGTCCTCAGAGGATGTTCTCTTTCAGAAGTCATTTCATTCAAAAATAAGAGAAGCTGATATGAGAGCCCAAAAGAAAATGAAGCATGATTAATTGAGCTGGTAAACTAACCAAAGAGATGTATGGCGATGTTAATACTGTAATAACCATCATTGTCAATGTGTGAAACTTCAGAATTTACATCACAGAATTACAAACGAGACAAGAAGTACCTCTTTTGAAGTGGTTATGGTGTTTTAAAGGCAAGTAAATTCCAAATATCCTAGAACATAATTTACATTTTTAGCTAACATCTCACATATTCAGAAGGCCTAAAATTTTTTTTTTAAAAAAAGGAATTAAATAGACATGGAAAATGAACATTTTTCTCTAGAAGGAATTAATGTTTATACGTTCCAAAGATATTTCCAGATGGTCTCACTATTAGAACAGTGTTCCAATAGCAAGCTTATTTGTGTATATACGCTACAGATTCTCTGTCTAAATTTACTGAAATTAGAGACAGAACTGGATCTCTACATAAATTAGCCACTTTTCTATATAAAGCTGGCATATCTCTAAGGGTAGTGTTCTATTTGCAACATATTTGATGCCATCTAACAGAATTCTACCTGTAGAATTATCCTGGAATACCCAAACTCCCAACCCACTATGACCTACAGTAAAAGCCTTTACCTCTACAATGATTTCCACATTTCATTCTTATAGCTTTTTACCCAAATATTACCTAGAATAAGGAACTGCTGACAAGAGGCTTAAAGAAAATATTTTAGGTTCAGATAAGTAGAGGTATGAAATTGATATGATACACTTTGTCTAAAAGTATTAGGAACTGTTCCATAGAGTGTATTCAACTTTAGATTAATAAATTATATGA
The DNA here is from genome assembly GCF_000001405.40 of Homo sapiens. Taxonomy (NCBI): domain Eukaryota; kingdom Metazoa; phylum Chordata; class Mammalia; order Primates; family Hominidae; genus Homo; species Homo sapiens. The sequence goes on along the minus strand of NC_000004.12, from coordinate 187,087,288 downwards.
GGAAATATCTTGTAAAGAAAGGTTGAAGGAAGATCAGAACAATGGGCTGTCACATAGCATCATACTTTCCTGTCATTGGGAAAGTGACAACAATGACTGAGAGATGCATAGATAGCCAACCAGCTGGCGATTGTAGAAACCTCTGCCCAAGAATGAAAAGTCACAAAAAAAGCTACACATAGAACATCCCTCAAAATATTTGCCTTAATGCTTCTGAGAAGCAAATTATAGTCATATTCAAAAAATGCCATGGAGCTCCTAAAAATTAGAACTCGAAAACGAGTGTGAAATGTGATGTGTAAAAGGAGTGTAATTCCACCTTCCCATCGTCTCTATGGGTTCCTCGGACTCTCACCGGGACTCTTACACCCAGTCGGACACTCCACTGCCTTCTCTGCCTGTGACCTCACCTCCACGCAGACACACACGTGTCTTAAGATTCCCTGATTCTATCTTGTTTACCTGGAGGGAAGAAAGAAATAGAAAACGGAAGGTGAGACGAAGATATGGCAATATGTAGTAGAGTAGCCATGCCTAATTTAATGTTATTTATATTGAAATGCTGGCTCACACACACAACTGCAAATTTCTGATTTACTTATGCTCTCTGGATAGGAAATCATTCTGGCCTTCAAAAGCCTATGGGTCGGTTGATTTCAATCGCTGTGGGCTCATCCAATCAAAACTCTCTTAATTTTACTCCTGAAACTGATGACATGTATTATTGTCTTTTATATAATGTTGATGCTTACATGAAGCCAAGTTCTGTGGATATTTTATGTTCTTAAATTTCCTGGCCCCATAACAGATAAGTTTCTATTTTCCTGAGTGCTTCGGCTTTGAGAGTGTGGACTCCCTTCACTACATACGTGTCTTCTATCGTGGCTGGCTGACATAGTCTCTTTTCCTGAAATATGTGTTTGATGTGTGTGATTCTCAGAATCCTAGCTCCGAGTGGTGAGCAAAGGGAATTTTGTCTGAATATGCACTTCAAAACCAGGCACTGTACTATTGCAGTCTCTCCTGAGAATTACTTCTGCATCATCATTAACAATCAAGTAAGGTCAGGAAGAGAGGACAGATTGTTGGAAGAAGAAAAGATTTATTATTTCGTTAGTTTGGCTTTAGCTGTATATATATATAAATGTGCAAATAACATTACTCTTGTGATTTTAAAAACTAACAAGTAGTAAATAATATATTAGAAGTATTTGAGAAATTAACAAGATTCAAGTAGATAATAATTCTGAGAGTTTCAACTTAATGCCTCTAGAGCATTTACTGTTGGATTAATCAGATGATTTTAATCAGTATTTTAATACATGTTGTTTATTAACGCATCTTTCCTGAAGCTTCACATCTTCACTTCACAGTCCACATGTGTACCATCAGCATTTACAATCCTTCTAACACCCCACCATCATTTTTATGCATACCTCTTATCATAGCCTCTTGTCTCATGTCCAAGTGCTCTCTCTGTTATTAATAGAAATTGGATATAGATTAGAAACTAGGAAGAGATAAGTAACAATCTGTCCATGTTTGCCACAGACCTTACACATTTTACTGAAGTTATAAATGTATACACTATGCATTATAAAAGTGTAAATTAAAAATTTACATCTCTCTTTCCTTACAACATGTTGGATGACAAGCTCCTCAGAGGCAGTACTATTTTTTAGCTAACACAAAAACTAGTACTGTATCTGGTCTGTCGTAAGAAAGCAATAGTATTTTTGCTGAACTGGCTTAAATTGATAGAGGTTAGCTATCAATATTCTGAAGTAAAAGTGGTTGAATATGTAATAAACACTGTTCAACCAAATTGTTTTTTAATAATGGCTAAATTGCATAAACTAAAACATTGAAATTGCATAAACTAAAACATTTATCTTACACGTAAGAACTAAAACACGCATTTCAAATATCAGTGTAAAGAACATCAATAGAATGAAGCTTCTGGAATTGAAACTGAGTGACAGCAACAATGTTATGAGTACAAAACAGACATGATCCTTTTCAAGTTTTTAATAAGCAAATACGTAGCAGCAGAATTGTAAGTTTTCTATATTTTATAAATGTATCATTTTAACTGTCAATCAATCATATTTTAATGTTTAAATAAAAAATGCTTTCACTTTCCTTCTACTAAATGATCACATTTTCCTACTTTAAAATTTGGATTCCATTAGTTTTACATTTGTTCTGCCACACATAAATGAAGATAAAGTAATTTTCTGGCAAATTTTTCAGACAGACGGCTATACACTAGAGTTCAGAGCTTTCATGTGGTCGTAGAGCATTCCACATGAACATTTTCCCACAAGTCAGAGCTCTTCCTTCCATTTCTGTGCTAATAGGACCTGCAAGGCAGGCTGTGTATGAGTATTTGCGGGGAGCAGGAGAGGTGGGGGAAGGAAAGTGATCAAAGGAAATCACCCACCCAGAACCTGCTTGTATTGCATGTAACACAAATTGCGCTAATTCATCCCTGCTGAGGAACCCATAAAAAACTGCCACCAGGGTCCAAATATCTTCTCAATGGTCTTGCCTATGAAAGAGCAAGAAAATGGCACATGTTTATGTAATAAACCCTGCAGAAACAATTTTAAGCAGAAACTTGTAGCAAAACATATTCAAAAGTAAATTAGGAAAACTACAGTTTGGTTATACACATAATTGAAGAAAAGCAGTATTTTATTTTATTTTGTAAATTACATTTTTATTTAAGAAGTATGTATATATAGAAAATTGACAAAATAACTTTCAGAGTTTGACCTAGTGTTTGGATAGGGAGTGCCAATTACTATGCCAATTAGTGCATAGTAAAGAGAAAGGATTTTGAAACATTTTTAGGATGTTTTCCTGCTTTTAGAATTTTTATTTCAATAGCATTTGGAGGAGAGGTGGTGTTGGTTACATGGAAAAGTTCTTTAGTGGTGATTTCTGAGATTTTGGTGTACCCATCACCCAAGCAGTGTACACCTTGCACAATGTTTAGTCTCTTATTTCTAGCCCACTCCCACCCTTCCCTCCAAGTCCCTGAAGCCCATTACATCATTCTTATGCCTTTGCATCCTCATAGCTTAGCTCCCACTTATAAGTGAGAACACACTATATTTGGTTTTCTATTCCTGAGTTACTTCACTTAGAATAATGGCCTCCAGCTCCATCCAAGTTACTGCGAATGCCATTATTTCATTTCTTTTTATGGCTGAGTAGTATTCCGTGATGTATAAATGCCACATTTTCTTTATCCACTTGTTGGTTGGTGGACATTTAGGTTGGTTCCATATTTTTGCAATGGCAAATTGTGCTGGAAGAGCAGTATTTTTAAAGTGGAACTTTGTAAAAGTTCTGCAATTTACTTAGAAATCATGATACAAGAATCTGACGATTTAAGTGAAGACCAGCATAGGACATAGACAACCTCACTATAATCTACAGAGAGAACCAGAATCACATTTCCTGTAGTTCCACCAGCCTAGCTTCCATGAAAACTTGAGAGAGGTGATAGAGAAATGAATAGATTGTGTGAGTTACTCACTCCGTCGTCTACCGTCTATCCATCTGTGTGTGAACATGATCTTCAGGACGTTGAACACACACTCCCTGCTATAACATGCTGTGAATCTGGGGATGTTTCTACATATTTTTTCCCATAGGCAAACATCCAGTACCTAGAACAGTGCCTGGCACACAGTGAGTCTTCAATAAGTGCACGCTAATATGAATGAATGAATGATATAAGCACTTCTATTTTTGCTTCCCACTGTCCCATGAAACCCATTCAATACTTGCGGTCCAGTCCCTGCCCTTAAGTGCCAATGCAGACAATTGCCACTACTTTTTGGATCACTCTTAGATAATAGAAAGGCCCATGAAACCTTCAAGTAGCAAATACGATCTCCAGTAATGTAAAATTTCCTTTTCCAGATGATGTTAGAAAGCGCTAACTTGATTTGAAGTTAAATCTTAGTCCCTGCCCTCAGCCTATACTTAGGAGGGCTAGGGGGAAGTGTCCTTCCTGCTTCCATCAGCTGAGGTTGGGGAAGGTTGGATATCAAAGTGGCCAGATGACTGTTTGTGCTTCTTACATGATCGTGACGGTCACAAGTAGATGCCCTGCTTTCCAGACCTGGCAGAGGTTTGCGAGCTGACTTTCTTGCACAGACGCTTTGTGAGTTATTTAAAGGCGCCTCTACTAAGCCTCACAATTGCAACTCCTGTGCCACGGGCAGTGCCTTTCCTTGAGCCTGAAGCTTCCAATCCTATTCCAGCTTCTGTTCATGATGATCCTGCCAGCCTGTGATCACAGGGGTTCCCTTACCCTGGAAGCAAAACCCCTTAGGCAAGATTCATTTTTACTAGTTTGATTTAGTTAGTTTTTAGAGATACACTCTCACTCTGTCATTCAGGTTGGAGTTCAGAGGCATGATCCTGGCTCTCCGTAGCCTTGCTCTCCTGGGCTCCAGTGATCCTCCTGCCTCAGCCTCCCAAGTAGCTGAGACTACAGGTGCACGCCACCATCCTGGGCTTGTTTTTATATTTTTTCAAGAAATGGAGTCTTGCTATGTTGCCCAGGCTGGTCTTAAACTCCTGGCCTCAAGCACTCATCCCACTTGTGCCTCCCAAAGTGTTGGGATTAGAGGCATGGGCCACTGCACCTGGCCACAATTCATTTTTAAGTGGAACCAGTATGATTATCTCTGAGCTGAGTAGTCACACTCCTATTAACTTGCATGGGTACAGAGCTCTCTTCCGCATAAGCCCCTGCGGCTTTCTCAGGCATGATTGTGGCATCAGTGCCCTGTGGCCCTTTACCTGCAAATTTGCCAAGGCATCCTTGAAAGCCCCCCTCAGTGGCCTCGGGTGGAGGTGCTATGACTCCCTAAGCGGAACATCACCCTTCATTCCTCTCCACATCCTCTCTGCATTCCTCACAACTTCCTTTCCAGTCTTCCTCCACCTTTTGCATTTTGATCTTTGGTGAAGGAATCCTGCAAAGAGACCCAAAAGTCATGCAACCAGTTTTGAAGTTAAAAGTTCAGATTTGTAATAATCTTCTTTTTGTGGTCTGTGTCAAACTTTACTTTGATTATTGTTATCAATTGTGCCTGGGTGTCTAGGTTGAAACACCTAATTTATTAGCCACTACGTATACATGTAAATATACACCCAGGGAAGGCAAATTATTTTAATTCCCAGGCCAGTTTTGTTCATTCTTGGACCTGTCAAAGAGCACAACATTTGAGGAGACCCAAGCTCTGGGGCAAGGATATCTCCACTGATGAATGATGCCTCCCAAGGGAGCAGGAACTGGAGTCAGCAACACCCCTCTCACTGAACAGGACCTTTGAGGGCAGACGCCTTGTCTGTTTCATTCATGTCATATTCCCTGTCCCAGCAATGTGCCTGGAGTCAAGTAGGTGCTCAATAAATATGTATTGGATATGTGAACAAGAGCTAGAATATGTAGATGAATGGCTACAGACACAGATAGTTGAATTAACCTCATACATAATTCTACATTCATTTTATATGCACAAATTAACTATCTGATAAGCTAGATATTGTTTAGTATGCCATAGTATAGGCTCAGTTATTTTCAGCTAATTTCTTCTTATCTTTATAAGAGTAATTTATAAAACCCTAAGGCAATATAATTCCTTGAGGCATTATTAAGGACATAAACTTGAATTCAATTCACATGACAATTATGACCATTTTAACATACTTTCAAAGAGATGCCTGAACAGGGCCAATTGCCGGCTGTGTTGTCACACAAAATATGGTTTTAAATAAAGCTAACCTGAGTTTTCAGAATATTTGAGTATGTTAATATAATGTCTCCAAAGGAAAATGACAGATAAACAGAGATCTATAAATTGATGATTCTGTGGCCCTAGGTACATATTAATTGATAATGCTTGATAATTATATCTCTTCTATTTGTTGGTATTAAATTAATAGTGAGCTTAATGGTCAGTAAGTAATTGACGATATAGATCTGAAGATAGCATTGAGAACACTATGCCCCTATACATGTTAATGTAGTTACATTGTAAGAGATGAGGTCATGAGAAAGAAGACCAGTTTTAATCAATTTTATTTAATAAAAATGTTGATTAAATCAGTATTTCTGGAGTGGTGGCATTAATCTTTCAGTTTCTTATATGGACGAATATGGGAAGTGTCTACGTCAAAGTTACCTTCATGTGAGGATTAAACATTGTAAACATTTATCTGGAGAATTTCTCCACAGAATGCCACAAATGTGGAAATTAAGAAGACATCTGCTATTTGGCTACTTTTAAAAAATATTTCCTTTCAGTATTTAATTTCATTGGGACTTATCTTGTTGCAGAGTATTTCAGATAGTTAGGTTGCTGTTATATAAATTGACAGTGGACTTAGATAACTAAACGGTCAAAAAGGGGGAAAAGTACACAGTAGGGATCATGCAAATCTATTTGTTTCAGATATACATATTATCTATAATACATTTTATAGGAAAAATATATGTATTTTGTCAAATATATATAGTTTTCCTTTGGAGACATTATGTTAGCATACTCAAATATTCTGAAAACTCAGGTTAGCTTTATTTAAGCCATATTTTGTGTGACAACACAGCCGGCAATTGGCCCTGTTCAGGCATCTCTTCGAAAGGTATTTTAAAATGGTCATCATTGTCATGTGAATTGAATTCAAGTTTATATCATTAATAATGCCTCAAGGAATTATATTGCCTTAAGGTTTCATAAATTATATTGCCTTAGGGTTTATAAATTATTCTACACCTGTAGAGTAATATTTATTTTATATATTTATAATATATTTCTAATATTTACAATATAATATAAATTATATTATACTTATTAAGTTATTATATTTATCTTAAATTATACTTATAAAGAGTAAGTTATATGTTGTCAAAAAATATTTTATCCATGGTTTGCAAATCCGAGGTAGATGATACAAAAGGTGAAAAAAGCTAGTCTGAAAAATAGAATCTCAAGACCCACACAATAGCAACTGTTTGACCTCAGGCAAAGTTACTCCAGTTCTCTGAATTTTGGTTTTCAAATATGCGATAAGAGTGGGTTAAACTTCACAATTACTAAGAAATTTTTAGAAAGTGCAAATTTTGCAAATGAAATCCTAGTTAACAGAACCCTTATGCAAGAAGAAACATGGAATGCCATGGAAGATACATATTCTTGGTTATAATGAATTGTGAATTGTTGTATGTGGGCAAGTGGAAAGAAACATAGTATCCCTTAATGACACAATTCATCACTATCTGTAAGCACAGGCAGCATTCACAAGGCAGAGGAGTTGAGGGAACATGAGTTACGTGGGACAAATCTTCCTATTAATGTTCAAGGAGCATGTCTTCCAATCGTTTTCAGTAGCATCATTTGTATACATCAAAAATATCTCATTTCAATAATAAGAGCAGGGTCTAACTCTGAATGTGTTGGATATTGTTTCCATAATGCTAATATTTCAGTGTGGCAAACTTCACCACAATTTTATTCTTGATAACCAATCTACAGGTGTAGAGAAATGTGTATGGGGTTTAATTCAATTTTAAAGTAAATTAATGTTATTATTTGAGTGCATTCAGTGGAACACTAAAAGAAAATATTTTCAAAGACCATTCTCAAAACTAGGAGAAGAAATAAGGTATTGAGTTTGAGTAGATCCTATAACCATCCTAAACAGGCAATATGGGCATTCTAGACATGGATTTGCACTATTTACTTAGGTATACTTAGGGAAACGTGCTGTCCGATGCACTGATGTCAACTCAGTACCCATTTGGAGCATCCACTTTGTGCTAATGCTGTGTGAGGCTCTGGGGGCTGAGACAGAAATAGGTAATTCACTGACCCTTGAAATCTTACCGTGTATCAGCTCCTGCCTGCTGCTGCTGTGCCTGGTACCCAGCGTCCTCAACCTGAAAATCTAGTCTAACCAAAGCCCTGATCCAGTCCCAGCTGACAGTGCATCCCAGGACTACCGCGGAGGACAAGGGGATTTATTTCCTGTCCTGAACCCAGTATCTACAATCCAGTGTCCGCTTATGCGTAAAGCAAAGCCCGGTCATACCCTTTTTGTCCTGAGGACTGGCCTTTTCCTTGTATTCCCAAGAGAACCTATTTCTGCCACTGGGACTGGGATTTTACCCTGAAATGTAGCCTGTTTATCTTGACCCCAAATCCAGTAAGCATTTACAAACCTCCAGCCTCAAGGGCTGGAAATATTCCCTCCACCCTCCCGCGGCCAGCTGGGGCCTCACTTCATGGCAGATCTCCCCGCAATTAAGAAGATAACATTCTCTAACCACATCTTTACGCCTGTCTAGTGACTTTCTGCTTCCGTGTCCTACTCAACAGGTTAACCTCTGGGACAGCAACACTACCACGGTTGTATCCAGGGTTTCCACTGCTCCCGGACACTGTTGTACAAAACATCAGCCTTTCCCAGGTACAGACGGCACTCCTCAAGGAGAATCCCATTAGCCCCGATTCCATCTGTACCCGTTTTTCCTTTACCTGTCTGTGGAGGCCCTAACACGCCTCACAACTGAGAAGTAACGATTAGAAAGTGAGGCCGGGCGCAGTAGCTCATGCCTGTAATTCCAGCACTTTGGGAGGCCGAGGCATGTAGACACCTGAGGTCAGGAGTTCAAGACCAGCCTGGGCAACATGGTGAAACCCCGTCTGTACTAAAAATACAAAAAAATTAGCCAGGCATGGTGGCAGGTACCTGTAATCCCAGCTACTTGGGAGGCTGAGGCAGGAAAATCACTTGAACCCGGGAGACAGAGGCTGCAGTGAGCTGAGACCGCGCCACTGCACTCCAGCCTGGGCAACAAGAACAAAAACTCCGTCTCAAAACACACACACACACACACACACAATTAGAAAGTGAAGCAAACATTATAAATATCAAAATGAACATATCAAATAGAAATAGTTAATTGCACACTCTTCGCTACACTAATCCCTTCAAGATTTTTGATTGGGACAATGCACAGTGGCCTCTGGCAGGGCACGTGTAAAATAATATTGCTTCTGAGAAGGAGCTTCTTTGGATTACCATTTAAATAATCGAGATGCAGAACTGGACATTTTTCACATGATAATTTTTCCTCTCAAATGCAAAAGACTTTTTAAAGCTTCATGATGAACATAATAAAACTTAAAAAAAAAGTAGCATTATTCAAGACTCCGAGTGTAAGTTATTTGTGAAATGTTCTGAATGGCTCATGCGCATTCTCTGCTGCCACTTGCCTGAGACGAATGAGAGCAGAGGGCAGCCTGAGCTCACAGAGTCGTTGCTATTATTCAACTGCTATTGACAGCCCCCCAGAAGGCCGGATTAACAGAGCACAACCTGTCAGGTTCTGCTTTGAAGGCTGAATCTTCACAGTGAGAAGAGGTAAATATCAGAGGAAAAACGCAAGACTGGTTTACCCGAAATGGCAGAATCCAGAAGAGCACCATTACTTCACGTGGAGAGCCCAGCTTCTCTCCACCTATGCAGTTTCCTCTTTCTTCTAATAACAAAACACTCACATTTTACAGTATTTTTATAAAGGTACTTCAGTTTTCACCATTTTCTTCCCAAAATATTTTTGTCTAACTCAGTGACTGTCCCTTATCTTTCTTAGAAAGATAATATTTATGATTTTATTTTTGAATATCTTCTAAAACACATATATTGCCCTAATCTCAAAAGGAACTGTCTCGTCATGCCTCAGGTGGATCTGCTGTCTTTCTTGTGATGTTGTTCCCGTGAGAAAAGCCACTTGGAGGAGGACTTGGAGAAAGTGTGCTCAACACCATTTTTTTCATTTTTTAATCTCAGACCTACTAATTATGCATGAATGGGTTTTGTTTCTTTTAAGATGTATGTTTTATGTGTTCTAAAACTTAAAATTTGTTTAACCATCCAAGTTGCAGCATAATAGATCTGATTGCTCTGAGAGTCTTCAAAATCATTGACCAGACAAAGCGTTTATAATCATTACGGAGTACAAATCACAATAATTATGGCAGCAGAAGTAATCAGATCAGCAAAGTTTCAATTTGGCTATTTCACTACTAATTATCCAAATATATTTGGGTTTCTTTGGACATTTTTATTCCAAATGAAACTTTAAAAATAGAAAAAAATCAAAACAATCTAACATGAAACATTCAAACTGAGTTCAACACATCATTATTCAGGACGCGTAGAGGAGCAGTTAAACAGAGAAAGTGCACTGGGAAAAGTGTGATTTTCCACTCCTTGGCTCTGCTACTCGCTGTGTGACTCTGGACAAGTTACCTAACCACTCTGTGCCTCAGAATAATCTTCCCTCTTTCTCCCGTGGGTTGCAAGGGGCTAATGAACTGAATCTGGTCTGGGCCACCTCTTATGTCTCCTGTGGAGGTGTGTGGCCAGTGCCGTTCTTCAGAATCTGTGGGCGCTTGGCACCAATACAGCTTATATGTGGGGCCTCAGACATATAAAATTAGATACATTATCTTGAATATAATTACCTTGCATTCTTGTAGCACTGTATATACACTACTATCCCACTTACTATGTTTTCTAACTATTTTAATTTGAAAAGTTTCAAACCTTCAGAAAAACTGTAAAAATCATAAAAGAATACCCATATTCTACTTCCATTAATTGTTAACTTTTTTTACATTTGCTATATATATATATATATATATATATATATATATATATATGTATGTATGTATAGGCTGAGTCATTTGAGAGTAATGACCCCAAATATTTTAGCATATTTTTCTAAGAGAAGAATATTGCCCTAAATAAGCACAATACAATGATCATATTTGGTAAATTTGGCATGAAGACAGTACAGTTTTTCCAACCATGTTCTTTTTTTTTTTTTTTTTTTTTTTTTTTTTTTTTTTTTTTTTTAATTTCTGAGACGGTGTTTTGCTCTTGTTGCCCAGGCTGGAATGCAATAGTGAGATCTCGGCTCACTGCAAACTCCACCTCTCAGGTTCAAGGGATTCTCCTTCCTCAGCCTCCCGAGTAGCTGGGATTACAGGCATGCGCCACCAAGCCCGGCCAATTTTGTGTTTTTAGTAGAGACGGGGTTTCGCCATGTTGTTCAGGTAGGTCTTGAACTTTTGGCCTCAGGTGATCCACCTGCCTCAGCCTCCCAAAGTGCTGGATTACAGGCATGAGCCACCGTGCCCAGCCCCAATCATGTTCTTTATAGCAAAATTTTCTCTGATTCATCATCAAATCTAGGATCTTGCATTACATTGAGTTGTATTATGGCACTTATGTTAACCTTGCTTTGGTATTTTATCTTAGTCTCCCAGGATTAGGCTAGATTATAAATGCCCGATGACACATGCAGTATTAATTAATTAACTAACCTCCATGGAACATTAAGAGATGAAGAAATGGAGACATAAAGAGATGGAGTGATTTGTCGTCCTTCAAATAACCAGCTCACAGCAGAGCCAGCTCTAGAAAACAGATGTTTTGGATTCCTGATGTTTTTTCTTTTCTCTCTTGAAATGGTTTCAAACTTTCACTAACAGTTTTGCTGTTCCATTGCATCATTACCCATAAATATTTTAGAATGCATCTCCTACAAAAAAAATTCCTCTAAAGCCCCAGTACAATAATCAAACTAGACAACTTAGTATTAATGTATTACTACCCTCTGATTCACTTACACCACTCGCGTTTCACCAATGGGTCAAGATTATGCATTTCAGCAAAGGGTGTAATCCAGGACTCTACTAGGTGACTCTGTCTCTTTAATCTTCCATTTCCAGCAATGACTCCTTGATTGCTGGTTTCCTTGGCATTGCTGGTTTCCTTGGCTTCCATGACATTGACACTTTGGAGAATTACAGGCCAGTTACTTTAAAGAATTTCCTTCACTCTGGCTTGTCTGATGTTTTCTCATGATTGCATTCAGGTTATGCATTTGGGGCAGAAATATTACAAATATGATGTTGTGTTTTCATGGTACCCAAACAGGTGTTAGATAGTTTTGATTTGTCCTATTTGGTAATTTTCACCTTGATCATTTGATTAAGTTAATGTCTGTCGGTTTCTTAGATGTAAAGTTACTCTTTATCCCTTTGTAGAGATACTTTCAGACAGTATCCCATTCCTCACCAAACTTCCTGCCACTAGTTTTAGCATTCATTGATGTTTCTTGCCTGATTATTATTGTGATGGCTGACAAATGATTTTCTCCTTCCTTATACATTAGTCAGCTAGTCTTCTACAGTAAGGAAAAGGTTTCTTCTCATTTGTATTGATGCTAAAATTGTCCCCAGTTTGGCTACCTGGTTTCCATATCCTTTTGAAATGTCCTCATCATTCTTTGAGTACCTCCTTATTTTTAGCACAATAAGATACCTCGTGTTTCTTTTGTAAGGTCCCTGATCCATCCCTAGAATAACGATTTCTCCTAGGGGTCTTGGTTCTTAGACTGATGCCTGGATTTTGGATACCAATATGTGGATGCTAAATAGACTAAGTGTGAGTGCCTGTGTCACCGCTCTCAGACCCTCTCATCGGACAGAGCTGGTGAATCTCTGCATGTAAATGCATGCACACACTCCACATATATATGTACCCACACATGCATCTTCAGCAATAGTTATTTCCATAGGTACCTGTCTATAGTTCTACACTGAAAACCATGAGTTTAAACCAACACCTGCAATTCCCATCTAATACCACAGGGCTCACTCCAGTTTTTTCCCTTTTCCTATTTCCAACAGTGAGAAACCCGGCTCTCTTTATCTTCACTGCCCCAGTGCGTAATGCGTCCCCACCCCCAGTCTTCACTGGGATGCTCTCTTCACCCTTTCTGGCCTCTCCACTGTGCTCCCAGGGCCAGTGCCTCCTCCCATTGCTTGCACTCCAATGTCCATGCAGGGCTGCCATGCCATCATCTTTGTTCCACCCAAGATGCCCTCCTCACCCCATTCTCAGGTTCATACCCCGTGGAGGGTCACTCCACCAACACCCTTACTCAAACAACCTTGTTCTCTCTCTTAGGTTCCAGTACCCCTTTCCAGGCCAGGTCACAGTCATCCCTCCCCAACCTATGGACTTCCCCTCTTCCAGTCAGCCTTCCACGCCCATCACTGTACCCCGACCCCTGCCTCCTGCAAGGAGGGCCCTTCACCTGCTCCGACTCAACACCCATCCATGGAACATCCATAGGCATCCCGCCAGCCTCTCTCTGTGCAAAAACCCTGCTTGCCCCCAGGGCTTCAACAGCCCCGCAGCCTGCACAGAGGCCATCTGGGTCTGTTCAGGCAGCTGCACCTGCACTGTGCCACTGGTCCCACCTCGCAGATGCCTGGCTCAGCCCACCTAGTGGCTTTCAGTGGTTTTCAGGTTGAGGACGAGGGAGGAAGAGAAAGAGTCTGAACTTACAGAGAGACTTCATGTTCTACCTAGTTAGTGTCTAAATCTTCAAGTAGCATTATTAATATGTCTCTTAAAAATCTAAGACAGACAAATAGTCTATCTATTTACAGGATCATATATATTCCTATAAAAAACTAATACACAGAACAAATAATGCATCTTCTGGGCTACTCAACAACTACTCGTTGGCTGAAAAAAGTCTATTTCTGTTGCCACTTACGTGGCACTTCCACTGAAATTGAACTTCACATAGTATTTTGTGAGGGGCATAAACTGTATTGTGATTTATAATTAATGTATTAGATCCATATAAACAACTGAATGAATAAATTCTATCCAGCTGTATTTTGGCAATCGTTCACACTTTTTTATATTCTAGCAATGAGTGCCAAAAAGTTCTTTTCTCTTAGTAGATCTTTATAATAAAAAATCTATAGTAATGCCTTATTTTGAACTAAATCATTTCAATAGGCAAGGTGACAGAATTGTGGCTGAAATCTATACCATCAAATTGACAATAAAATGTCTATTTTCTGACTAATTTGATTTGAAACAGCCATAACCTTCTGTCATAATACTGGCCCCAAAGTGAATGTCTCATTACATCTCATCATTTGCAAAACTGAAGGAAAATCTATTCTTACAATAAACCCATACTGAAGAAATAAAAATGTAAAATAGTCAATGCCAAATGCTAGAAACCTAAGTCAATATAAGCTACTGTTTTTATTTAATTCAGAATTTGTGTCTTCCGAAAACTTTGGTTTCTGTTTTAATAGCAAATTTTGTTATGTTTCTATTGGTTTATGAATATCTAAGTATTATAACAGTCTTATAAACAATGCACTGTATATACACACAGAAAATGACAAAGACAGACTACCTGTTTTAACATTCAGACTTTGGGGCAAATGGAAATTTTACAAACCGGGAAATGAGAGAAGGCTGGGAACTGGTGGGAGTAAAATAGACAGTTTCCACGTAACCACACTCAAGCTAAAATCAGTTCTATGATAACTTAGACCAAGGAACTGAGCATTGGAAAGGATTTATGCAATAATTTAAAGATGTGATTTGTATTGCATTGAATTTAATAAGACAGCATTTCTCTCATACAGCAGACACTTGAATATCCTGTGTCTCACTGTCTTAAATGAACACTGCTTTCATTGTATGGGTCAGGAAAGAGAAAGTACAAACATCTTAGAATCTTTCTAATCTGTCGATTTTCCATATGTTTGAAATTTTGAGAGGCTGAAACTCAGCTGGTAAAGTCTTCCTCTGCTGAGGAAAGCAATGAAGTTGGATTCAGCTCCTTTCACTGTGAATGGTCGGAAAGCCCTTCCTCCTAGGAACATGGCTCTTTCAACGATGCCCCGTGATTTTCATGGCGTTTATCACACATAATCCTCCCCAAGCAATTTGGCAATCCCGCAGCAGCTCCAAGTTTTTGTGCCATCTGCAACCATCCTCTTCTTTAAAACAGGACTCTGCCTCTTCCTGGCCTTAGTCTGTGATTCTCTAATATCAAGTTGCCTATAACCACGCACACTGTGATTCTAATCAGATTAGCATGCTTTAATCACTATCTTTATTTCTGTGGCTTATTTTACACTAATTAAAGCCAGTAAAATTTCCACTGCTAATTTAATTAACGAAGCCACTCATCCTTGTCAGGCAGCAGCTTTCTTGCTTCATCCACAAATGAAACAGAACCCGAAGCCTGCATGTGCCTCACTTAAAACACCATTCCAGAAGGCAGCTGCTGCGCCTGTCTCTGACCAAGGACATTTCTCAGAAGCTCCTTTATATACTGGCAGCTGCAAGGACCAGGCGCAGTGGCTCACGCCTGTAATCTCAACACTTTGGAAGGCTGATGTGGGAGGATCACCAGATCCCAGGAGTTCAAGATCAGCCTGGGGCAATATAGAGAGACCCAGCCTCTATCAAAAAAAATAAATAAAAAATAAAAATTAGCCGGGTGCAGTGGCACACACCTATAGTCCTAGCTATTCGGGAGCCTGAGGTGGGAGTGTCGCTTGAGCTCAGGAGTTCAAGGCTGCAGTGAGCTACGATAATACCACTGTACTCCAGCCTGGGAGACAGAGGGAGACCTTGTCCCCCGCCCCCAAAAAGATGAGAAATCACTTAATGGGTACAATGTCTACTATTCAGGTGGTGGTTACATTAAAAGCCAAGACTTTACCACTGTGTAATATATCCATGGAACAAAATTGCACTTGTATACCTTAAATTTATATAAGAGGAAGGAAGGAAGGAAGGAAGGAAGAAAGGAAGGAAAGAAAGAGAGGAGGAGAGGAAGGAAGGAAGGAAGGGAGGAAGAAAGAAAGGAAGAAAGAGAAAGAGAAGAAAGAAAGAAAGAAAAGAAAAAGAGAGGAGGAGAGGAGAGGAAGGAAGGAAGGAGGAAGGGAGGGAGGGAGGGAAGGAAGGAAGGGAGAAAGAAAGAAAGAAAGAAGGAAAGAAAGAAAGGAAGAGAAACTAGTCTCTCGCTTGATGCCTGAAGTAATTTGGACTTGCAATAACTTCAATTCTTCTGGTCCAATTCCTTATCCATGATCCCAACATAATGCTGCAAAATAATCATCTCAACTAACACACTTGTCAGATCAAAGAGAAAAACAAGAAGCCTATTGTACTCTCTGCATGGAATTGAATTAATTGCTTAGTTTAGCTAAAAAGTCTGTCAGTTTTCATATAAATCCAGCTCTTATCTATATATCCTGAAATAAACATGTCAGATTAACCCCAATTTACAAATGAATTGTATTTGTAAAACTATTTGCTCAGTGATTTTTCCCAATTTATATGTAAATGGAGGTTGGTGTTCCTGGCTGGCCCAGAGTCTTTTTAACCCCTAAGTTCTGGGCTAAGGAACTAGGACTGCTCACCAAAGCGCTGCCCTCCAGACCAGGTCAACTGTACTTACAGGGCAGTGCCCAGACAACTCTGCTTCCTTCCTCTCTTCTACTTCCACACCCACTCATCTGCTTAAATAGTCCAGGTATTTTCATTACAGCAGTGGCAGCACATCATACAATGATGTGAGACAAAGCTCACCACAAAAAAATAGACATTTGATTGTCAATTTGATGGTGCAGATTTCAGCCACAGTTCTGTCACCTTGCCTATTGAAATGATTTAGTTCAAAATAAAGCATTACTTACTATAGATTTTTGATTAAAAAGATCTACTAAGAGAAAGGAATATTTTTGGCACTCATTGCCAGAATATAAAAAAGTGTGAACAATTGCCAGTTGTTCATTGTGTGTGACCCACATCACATGGCGAAAAGGCAATAATGAAGTATGAAGACTGTGAATTTGGAAATAAAGCTTTGTCTCTCATTAAAAACCTAGCACCTGCTTGTATTTTTTTTTTCCAGGAAAAAACAAGTTTGTGTGGTTGAGTTATTTACAGATGAGCAGTACTTCTTAATGCCAGGAATGCCCTGCTGCCTAGTCATAGTCGTGGTGAGGGCACCACCCCTTCCATGTAGCTCTAAGGTACAGCAGCCATATTGAGCCTCCATGAACTCCTAAAATCCCTAAGATCGTCTCATTCTAAAGGTGAATCATGTTAGTTAGGAAGGGATGGAGTTGGGGGTCCCAGATTGGTTTTATTGAGGATAGAATGGAGTTGGGGGTCCCAGATTGGTTTTATTGAGGATATACTTTTGGGTCTTCTGGTTTCCTCAAAGTTTTGTGATCCTCAGGAAAATGGTAAGAAACCATTTTATTTTCCCATGTCCTTGATGACTAGGGCTAGCCATCAGTAGAGATGCAGGGATCTGTCTATGGGCAATCTGCGCCAAACTAAGTACCAACCACCAAAACTGAGTACCACTTTGAAGTAGTGGGTTTGTTAAACTTTGGTTTAAACTTTGATTTGGCTCATGCCCAGAAACCTGGTTCTCTCAAAGCAGCTCCTGCAAGTTGGTAAAAGCAGTGGTCCATGGATCCCAGCAATGCCTTCAGTGAGTTCATGTGTCCCTGTATTCGCCTTTGGAAGGCCCTCCCAAGTTGACCCTGGTCTTGGCCTCATCACTTGCTTTCACCAAAAGGACCTTAGCAGAAGAGACACAGAGACGGGAAAGTCTTCCCTCTTGCTGTTCTTGGCACCCTGCTGCCACGGAAACAAGCTCAGGCTCGTCTGACGGCAATGTGAAACACATGGCCCAGCGACCCCATGGCCCGGCTGACATCCAGTCAACCCCAGGAGCAGGGCTGCCAGGGTGACTGGGCACGGACCTCAGCCACGTGACTGAGGCGGGGAGAATTGCTTGGCTAAGCACATCCCAAATTGCTGACCCGGGGAGTTGGGATCTAAATCAATGGTTGTTCTTTTAAGCCACTAGTTTTGAGGTGGTTTTTTACATAGCAACAGCTAACTTATACAGGCAGCAATAAAAAGACCCAAACACTTTTGCAGATGATCCCCTTTCTCGTCATTTTTTTTTCAGGCGTGGAAATTAAACCATTGCTTATAGTGAGAGGAGTAGTACTAATATAATGATTTGGCTTCACTCACAAAAGAACAGCAAAGTAGGAGAACCTTCACTTCTCAGTCTCAAAACTTGCTATAAAGCTACAGTAATCAAGGCAAAAATGACTGACCCAAAGATAGACACATAGATCAGTGGAGCTGAATAGAAAGTCCAGAATCAAACCCTTATAGTTATGTTCAATTGATTTTTGACACAGAGACAAAATAATTCAGTGGACAAATGATAATTTTTTCAATACATTGTTCTAGAACAATTGGATATTCATAGGCAAAAATAGCAACAATTTTACATCCTTATCTTATACCATCTCACACTAGAAATCAACTCAAAATGGATCCTTGTCCTAAATATGAGAGCTGAAACTATACAAATTCTTGTGGCAAGATAAGAGAAAATATCTGTGACATTGGGTCAGGAAAGATTTCTTAGATGTGGCCCTAAAATCATAATCTATAAAGGAAAAACTGATAAATTGATAAATTGGGCTTCATGAAAATGTTAAAACTTTTGCTTTTCAAGAGACATCATTAAAATTAAAAGACAAGCCACGGACTAATGGAAAATATTTTAAAATATGTATCTCATAAAAAATTTGTATCCAGGATATATTAAGAACTTCTACAACTCAATAATGTTTTAAAAAATTAAAAATAGGTAAAGAACCCTGACTTGATCTTTATATATTATATGGCTTGATCTTTCTATGGTTTATTTAGATGTACCAAAATATTATATGTATCCCCCAAAATATGTACATCTATTATGTATCAATTTTAAAATAAAAAAGAATAAAAATTAAAATAGGCAAATAATTTGAATAGACATTTATCCAAAGATGATACCCAAATGCACTATTAGTACATGAAAAGATGCTCAATGTCCAGGCGGGTGGCTCATGCCTGTAACCCCAGTACTTTGGGAGGCCGAGATGGGTAGATCACTTGAGGTCAGGAGTTCAAGACCATCTTGGCCAACATGGAGAAACCCCATCTCTACTAAAAACATAAAAATTAGCCTGGCATGGTGGTGCATGCCTGTAGTCCCAGCTACTTAGGAGACTGAGGCAGGAGAATTGCTTCAACCCAGGAGGCAGAGGTCGCAGTGAGCCAAGATCCAGCCACTGTACTTCAGCCTGAGTGACAGAGCGAGACTCCATCTCAAAAAAAAAAAAGAAAGAAAGAAAGAAAGAAAGAAAAGATGCTCAACATGAAAAATCATTGCGTGATTGTAAATCCAATTACATCCACTTCATTCCCTCTAGGATGATGATAATAAAAATTCAGACAATGGGCCAGGCGCCATGGCTCACACCTGTAACCTCAGCACTTTGAGAGCCCGAGGCGGGCAGATCACTTGAGCTCAGGAGTTTGAGACCAGTCTGACCAACATGGTGAAACCCCATCTGTACTAAAAATACAAAAATTAGCCAGGTGTGGTGGCACGTGCCTGTAATCCCAGCTACTCAGGAGGCTGAGGCAGTAGAATCGCTTGAACCCGGGAGGCAGAGGTTGCAGTGAGCCAAGACCGAGCCACTGCACTCTGGCCTGGGCAATGGAGTGAAACTGTGTCTCAAAAAAAAAAAAGAAAAAAAGAAAAAAAATTTCAGACAATAACAAGTGTTAGCAAGGATGTGGAGAAACTGAAACTCTCATATGTTGCTGATGAGATGTCAAGTGATACAGTTGTTTTGGAAAACAATATCTGTTTCTTAAAAAGAAGTTACACACAAACTTAGCATATGACACAGGAATTCCATTCTTGAGTACCTGCCTACCCAAAAGAAATGAGAACCTATGTTTACTCAAAGACCTGTATGTGTATATTCACAAACAGCATGTACATAATAGCCAAAAGTAGAAACAAGCCAAATGTCTATCAACCAGAAAATTATTTTGGGAAAAAAAGTATATACTCATATTTTGAAACACTACTAGGCAATAAAAAGGCACCAACCACAGACACAGGCTTCAACACAGATGAACCTCAAACCATTATGCTAAGGAAACAACGTATTCGCAAAGACCTTATATTGCATGGTGTGATTTTTATGTAAAATGTTTAGAAAAAGTATAGAGTAAGGAAACAACGTATTCGCAAAGACCTTATATTGCATGGTGTGATTTTTATGTAAAATGTTTAGAAAAAGTATAGAGCAAGGAAACAACGTATTCGCAAAGACCTTATATTGCATGGTGTGATTTTTATGTAAAATGTTTAGAAAAAGTATAGAGTAAGGAAACAACGCATTCGCAAAGACCTTATATTGCATGGTGTGATTTTTATGTAAAATGTTTAGAAAAAGTATAGAGTAAGGAAACAACGCATTCGCAAAGACCTTATATTGCATGGTGTGATTTTTATGTAAAATGTTTAGAAAAAGTATAGAGTAAGGAAACAACGCATTCGCAAAGACCTTATATTGCATGGTGTGATTTTTATGTAAAATGTTTAGAAAAAGTATAGAGTAAGGAAACAATGTATTCGCAAAGACCTTATATTGCATGGTGTGATTTTTATGTAAAATGTTTAGAAAAAGTATAGAGTAAGGAAACAACGTATTCGCAAAGACCTTATATTGCATGGTGTGATTTTTATGTAAAATGTTTAGAAAAAGTATAGAGTAAGGAAACAACGTATTCGCAAAGACCTTATATTGCATGGTGTGATTTTTATGTAAAATGTTTAGAAAAAGTATAGAGCAGAAAGCAGTTAGTGCTCGCCTGGAACTGAGGAGAGGAGAGGAAATTGACCGCAAATGGGCCCAGGGAACTTCCTGGAGTGATGGAAACATTATACAATGGGATGGTAGTGATGGTTATATAATTCTATAAAGTCACTAAAAAGCATTGATTTAGATGCCTATAACGAGTGTATTTTCAGGTAAATGAACAATACCCCAATAAAGCTTAACTGTTAAAAAGAAACTTTGGAGTCTCTCTTAAGAGAAAAAAGAATTGGTCAATGCTTGAAAATATGACTTTGAATTTAACTATACATGAAATCTGGTTTTAAAAACCTGACCCATTGTTACGCCTTCTCTCTGTGTGTGCATGGGCGCGTGTGTGCTAGTGATTGATGTGCTGAATGATAACCTTATGCTTTTCTTTGGGGCTTCTTAGGAAAGTGAAGACTTTCATAACACATCACTCCAGGCAGGGGGACTGGACGGCACGTCTGGGAAGAGGATAGAATGACGCATGCACAACGGGGGCTGTACTGACACGGGGTAAGCACACCTGTGAAACCACTTCTCCACCCCGTCCCACTGGCTGTCCCCCCAGCGCCCACCAGCACACTTCCGCGTGGTCAGTCTCCTCCCTCCGTCCAGATGCCCAGCCTCAGATGCACGGCACAACGTGAAGGCGGCCCTGATGGAACACATGGTTCTGTTTTGCTGATTTGGTCCAGTTGTCTGAAAAGATATTGTCTTAAATGGCATGCTATTTAGCACATTTCACTTTCCTTCAGGAGACATCTGAGGAAGGAAAACACATCATACATGTTCCTGATTTAATTTTACTTTCTCCAATTTGAGAAATAAACTGTTGTATTACTTTACAATGAAAAAGAAGATTGCACCCGACTTTTGTTTTACAACATCTATAAAACAAGTATTGTTGTGATAAATTAAATCTGGCAAGGATTAAGGGAAAATTCATCCAAGTGATCATGCAGCTTAAAGCAACATCAGCAGGTCAGTTAAACAATCCTTCTGCCAAACATGGCCTGTGCTTAAACCACACCCAGACAAAGGAAAGTTTATTCTATTTTTAAAGATTTCCAGAGAACAGGATCATAGGAATTTTTACCCCTTAAGGCATTTAGTCTGTCTGAGAAATCTATTTTACATAGAAACATGATAGAAACAAAGAGAACATGATTGTCCTGCCAAACCCAAGATTTTATTATTATTATTATCATTCTGAAATACAAAGGACAAAGTGGAAGATAAAATTTATGCACTGTGTCTGGTGCATTTCTGATTAATGAAACAGACCCTTATATTTTATTAAGGTTAAGTAAGCAGCCCAGCCAAGAAGCTGAGCTTTTGCATTTTAATTTGGAGAATTTCAATGATAATAAAGCTGCAGAACATAATGAAGTTAAAACCAAGAACTGTTTTCCCTAGAATCCTACTCTTTTCCCCAGCTATTGCACTAAAGGAATTGTAGGTTAGCTAGTGAGAGATACTCTTGTAAATTTAAAGTATTTATATGGCATTCGCAATTATTGTTCTGAGATATAGAACATCCTCCTGTATAAATAGAAAAGTCAGCTCACAAGTGTTTTAAAACAAAGAAGACTGAATAACCAAAAAGTTATTTGAATATACATATAAAATATAAGCTTCTGGGCATATTTTAATTTAAAAGAAATCAATGCTTTTCTAAAATAATTTTAATTACTGGAATTGTCCATCATCATTACGACATTATGTCTTTCGTTTTCGTTTTCTTTTTCTTTTCTGTTTTTTTTTTTTTTTTTTTTTTTTTTTTAGAAATGGAGTCCGGCTCTGTAGCCCAGGCTGGAGTGCAGTGGAGCTATCTCGGCTCACTGCAACCTCCGCCCTCCAGGTTCAAGTGATTCTCCCACCTCAGCCTCCCAAGCAGCTGGGACTACAGGCTCGCACCACCATACCCAGATAATTTTTGTGCTTTTAGTAGAGACAGGGTTTCATCATGTTGGCCAGGATGGTCTCCTTCTCTTGACCTCGTGATCCTCCTGCCTCAGACTCCCATAGTGCTGGGATTACAGGCGTGACCCATCGCGCCCGGCCACGTCTTTCGTCTTCTCATTCAATGTGATCGTGTGCTCAAATTGTCCTCCTCCCAGTGGGTAATGGGCACACACTGACCTTGTGAAAAAAAACGAACTCCAACAAATGTTTTCCCCACTTCGGTTTGTGACAAAAAAAAAAAAAAGACAAAAACAAACAAAAAAACTGAGATGCGGACCTAGGATGGAGACTAAGCCAGCTTTCTGCATGGCCACCGGCAGCGAGGAGAGATGCGCGTCCGTGCGCGGCCAAGTGCAAGAACAGAGAACGGCCGGGAGGAGGCGGGAGCCGAGCGCGGGGAGCCCGCCTGCGTGGGGCCTCTGTGCTGCAGCCTCCCGGGAACCTGCTCGCTCCGCTCCCACAGCCGCCACCTCTCCCGCTCCTCTTCCCTCACTTTTCCCCGCGTATGCAGGAGCTAATATATACATTGTATTCGTTTATGTAAACGAATAAAAACTGCAGCGTTCCGCCGCAGGTAAGTATTTAACCCTTATCGCCCTCCTATTTGCCACTTCACCTGAAAGGTACTGGCACACATATTACCCTTTTACTGCCTTGTAAGTCGTATATGTGGGACCTTTGAAAGAGAAAAGGTGCCTGTTGGGAATGGGGGGAAGCAAGTCTGCGCTGTCGCTGTGCAGGGGGAAGAAGACGCAGCTCTGCACAGCGACTCCAGAGGAGGCCAGTGTCTTCCGCGGCTAAACACTCCAGGTCAGGAAGCAACGCGGACGACTTTCCTTTAAAGAGAAATGGAGAAAACCTGGGAATGCGGTCCTGACGGGAAAGGAGAAGGCTGTGACCTCATGCCCAAGAGCAAAGAGAAAGCGTTTGCTCACTTGGAAACCCAGGAACTGTGTCAGATGCTGAGTTCAGGCATTGGGTGTCCGAGCACAGAAACCGTGTGCCCAGGACAGTCTTGAGTACCACGAAGAAGTCCCGGGACGGCCCTGGGTACCACGAAGGAAGCCTCGGGACGGCCCTGGGTACCACGAAGGAAGCTCCCCATGAAGGAAGCCCCAGTACGGCCCTGAGAACCACGAAGGAAGCCCCGGGACGGCCCTGAGAACCACGAAGGAAGCCCCGGGACGGCCCTGGGTACCACGAAGGAAGCTCCCCACGAAGGAAGCCCCGGGACGGCCCTGAGAACCATGAAGGAAGCCCCGGGACGGCCCTGGGTACCACGAAGGAAGCTCCAGGAAGCCCTGGGTACCATGAAGGAAGCTCCAGGACAGCCTTGAGAACGACGAAGGAATTCCCAGGAAGCCTTGAGTACCACGAAGGAAGTTCTAGAGCTCTAAGAAAAGTCTGGTTTTCATGTGTTTGACTGCTTTAAAAGCAACACAACATTCGGAGCCAGGGAAGGCAGGGATAAAGGCTGCTCTTGATGAGTTCCATCAGAAAACTTTTTTTTTTTTTTCCTGGATCAGACAGAACCCACTGAACAGAGATGAAAATATTCTCTTCAGAGTTTGGTTAATTCACTAAGGATTGGAATAAGTCTTCATAACTCTAAATTTAAAAAAATATTCAGTGAGTTAGTAGAACATCATAGAAAGCATGGATAGCCATGAAGCAGAAAGGAGCAGAAGCTATTACAGAAGACGTTTGGTAAGCTAGAATGGTTTTCTATCATAAAAAATTCTGAAAATTAAATAATTTGAAATGGGGGTTATTAAGCCTGTTGCACAGTCTTTAAACAAGGGCTAAGTACTAAACCAGGAGTTCGAATCTCTTTTTTTTTTTTCTGAGACAGAGTCTGGCTCTGTCACCCAGGCTGGAGTGCAGTGGTGTGATCTCAGCTCACTGCAACCTCTGTCTCCCAGATTCAAGCTATTCTCCTGCCTCAGCCTCCCGTGTAGCTGGGATTACAGGCACACGCCACTGTGCCTGGCTAATTTGTGTGTTTTTAGTAGAGATGGGGTTTCTCCATGTTGGCCAGGCTGGTCTTAAACTCCTCACCTCAGGTGATCCACCCGCCTTGGCCTCCCAAAGTGCTGGAATTACAGGCGTGAGCCGCAGCACCCCACCTTAGAATCTCTCAATTTAAAAAATCCAGTGTGTTCTTATATATCACGGATTGTATTTTAAGTCTCGCATAATTTTCTCTTAAACCTCACAAGAGTTATTTGAGGTGGCTTTTGTTATCATTCACAGATGACACTGAACATTGGGATGACAACATAAGCAACCTGGTGTTATTATCTCATAATTGCAGGAGCAAGAATTTGAATCTGAGTTTCCTTAAAGGTAAAAGTTTTGCCTTTTTACTATCCTGCTATGATTCCTGAAGATCTGAATTTTTATGAATGCTTTATAGACCTCAGTCCGGGAAGTTCCCTATGGTCGTGACTAAATGATTGTAGCTTATAAGAGGCTAGGGTTTAGGCAAAAGCTGGTGTTAGAGTCCTCCTGCTAACTGGGAGAGTCAGTGCCCCAGATGAACATGAGTCTGCAGAACTAGTTGTCATGAGTCTAGATGATATCAGCTTCATTCTCTGTCTCCCTCTCTTATTCCCTAAATCTATCAGTAAGTTTAGGTATGCAGGAGGGTTAGAGTTGCCACCTGTCTTAGGTGAGGTTCTCCAAGAAACGGAGCTGAGGTTAAATTTGCAAGAAGAAAGTTTGAGAGTTTCTCTCCAGATCAATACCCATGGAGAACTGAAGGAAGTGGGATTGGGTAGACAAAGGAGTTGAATTGTGGTGTAGCTACAGCAAAGGCTTGCCACCCCTTCAGCTGCCAACATTCCAAGAAGCTGGTGGAGTAAGTGCTTCTGTCCTAAAGGAGAGATGGGGCAGTCATCAGAGCTTCCACAATACCTCTGCCTTCTGTGAGTCCGCTTAGACCAGCTTGGTGGACAAAGCACAGGCCAGGCTCACGCAGCAAGTGGTAGACTCTCTCTGGGTGCCTGGCTCACCAGCAGTAGCAAGGATCACCCCTAACTTACTCAGTCACTGTCTCCACAAAGCAATGCCACATTCAGGAAGTGCTGCTTCCTTAAAGATCCAGAGGTGGAAACTGACAAAGTCACTACCAAGGATTTAACTGTATGGATTAGGGCCTTGCTGGGGGTTGGTGGTCTGGGCTCAAACTAGAGATGCTCCCTGGAAGTGGAACACTGTATCCAGCCCGTTTTTTGACCCTGCACATATGATACAGGCTCCAAAGATCATCTGAAAGAGGTTTCATAGAGGAAAAATGATTTGCTATGAACCTGGAGTAAACCAGGGCACCACATCCTGACATGGACCGCTGGGCCAGCTCAGCCATGTCGTAAAGGAAGTTAATCTCTGGGCTTAACAAACACCTATATGTCACACTAAAGGAGTAAAATATCCTTTATTCAAGGTAGGGTATTGCACTCTATTATTGTCGGAATGATCTCAGTAACTATTTTCCAAAAATCAGATGTTAAATCACATTACACCCTAAGAGTCTTTGTCTACAAATGATTGCTGTGGTTTAGAGAGCTTTCATTCCCTCGATAAAAAACTGTTGAATACCTACTATGTGCCAACCAGTATTCCAGTCAGTGTGGACAAAAAAATTACCGAAAGAGCATTTCCTGCCATCCAAAATGACACAGATTAAAGACACATAAACAGCTAGTTATAAAGCAATTTGATCAATTCCACAGTAATGTACAAATTGCTATGGGAGCCCAAAGGAAGGAGTAATCAGGCAAGCGTGACAATCACACACTTGGAAGTGCTGGCAGGTGCTGAACTGCGCGAGGGGGCACAGCTTGAACCCGAAGGGCCCTGGAGTCTCGGCCCTGCCTCGGTCACCGCTGACACCACCGCTGTCCGCTGACACCACCGCTGTTTGTGTCGCCATCCTCGCTGGGGCAGCAGAGGCAACTCTAGGACGTTGGTAACAGGAGAGCCAGAGAGGGAGAAACAGTCAAGTAAGGCAGGTCTTCGGAAATGGCTTTCCACAAAAGCCAAACAGAACTTGATACTTGCATTCAAAGAAGATGCAGATATAAAAAAGAATAGAAACGTGATTAAACCGCCAAATCCTTTACTCCTTTTCCTCTTGTCATAATCTCAGCCTTTCTCATTGATACATAGCTTATTATCACAGAACATGGACCTTAATTTCAAAACCACATTGAAGGACTCGCCCCCGCCCCGCCCTCACACACACACCCTCTCCAAAAAACCTGCTTCCTTTTTGAAGAGTTATTTTTGCTTAGGCTTCATTCTTGCATGCATCCACAGCTTCATTTTTGTTTGGAGTTTTAAATAGCAGTTAAAAAAAAAGAGCTTACCTCTTTGAAAAGCAGTGTAACGTCTGGCTCTGTGTTTCTCCTGCCACCTGGGAAAATGACTTCAGATGGTCTGTTGGGAACTACTCACACGGTAGCTCCCTCCCACTCACAGGCAAAGCAGTCCCCTCCTGAGGCTACAGACTGAGGGAGGGAGCGGGGCCATGTCAGCTTAGAGAAGGCGGGCACCTTTCTTCCATGGTTGTCCTGCAAATTGCTTTACCACTAGGAGCCTAGAAGGAGGAGTTTAGAACCATCTGTTTTTCCTTGACAGTTAGGAGTAAAATGGATTTTAAGATGAAAAAGTTTATATATGGCTATTTTTTTTGGCTTTCCAATGTTGTGATTTTTTTATTTTTATTTTACTTTAAGTTCTGGGATACATGTGCGGAATGTGCAGGTTTGTTACGTAGCTATACATGTGCCATGGTGGTTTGCTGCACCCATCAACGGGTATATATGACTATTCTAACCTAAAGTGAAACTTGACATGCAGAAGAAAGTAGTGGGAGATGCAGAGACATCTCTACTAGTTTAGAAATTTGTGTGAGGTTTTGAATGTTGTGAGCTCCTAAAAATTTAAGATGACTTTCTGATATAAATAAATCATGAGTGCCAGAATTAAATACATGGTATTTGTATAAGAAGACCCTTGTTTTCCTTCTGTGCTGTGTTATTGTTTGATGTCTATGAAACAAGGTTGTGAAAAGAGTGAAAATCTGCCAAGAGAAGGAATAAGAGAAAAACATGGATGGATTCTCATGGAAAGTACCCACTTTGCAGAATGGCATCTGTCCTGGTAGATCTCACCCACAGTGATGGCCTGTGTTTTCAGGATGCATCCAACAGGCCTCCTCTTGCCCTCCTGAGGCTGGAATGGCCTTGGCCACACTGTAGGGGCAGAAAGGAGACCAACGCACGTGCAGAGACTAAAACTGGAGAAGACAAACTTGAATTCCACAGCACTCTGGCAGGACCCGCAGGGTGGCCCAGCACACTGCCCACCACAGTGACTCACGCAGCTGTCTGCCTCTGATGAAACCACGCGCCAGGGGCCCTCAGCTACAGAGGCACTCCACAGCGAATACTCCCTTCCGTGTGGTTAATGGGCCAAGGAGAAAATCACTGTTGGTAGTATGTTCATTAGAATTCTGTGAGAATAATAGTGAGAAGAATTTCATTGGCTGGGATTCTAAAATGCGTCAGGCACTGGGATGGGGACTGGAAAGGCTTTATCCCCAATTACAGTTCTGTTATATAAATAATGTATTCCTCAGAAAATTAGAAGCCAAAAAGTTAAATGACTGAACAATGTTCACATAACTAGCAAGTTGCAGAGGTTGTGGTTGAACCTAATATTTCTGACTCCTGAAAATTTTCACAGTCTCACTGTGGATCCCTTAAATAATGGTGCCGTCAGGTACCATTCATCAAGCATTTACTGTGTACCTGATTTTCTTCTATGCATTTTACATATATCCTCTTATTTAATCCCCGCCATCAGTTTTGCAGTCAGTGTTATTTCTGTTTGCAAATCTCTTATAAAGGTGAATGTTTGACAACCTAGGTAAGGTTTGGGGATAGTTGTCATCTGTGATACAGAAGGCAAGCCGGGTCTTTGTTGTCAATCTTGTTCAGGGAGCAGATTGGACATAAAGTTGTCTACATCTTGACAATTCCGTAAGAGTCTCTAGAAATATTAGCCAACACTGTGCTCCTTGTATATTTCGTATTGCCGTGAGTGAATCAGGAATAGCATCTTTTACCCACAGAGGATAATAACTGCATTACACTGATAACAGTGATTAAGATTAGAACAAGTTTTGGGGTCATCCCAACCTGGTTTAGAACTCTGCTTTTTTCAATATGACCCTGTAGATACTATGTAAGCTTTCTAAGCCTCCATTTTCTCATTTGTAAATTATAGATAATAATACCTACCTTGTAAGTATTCTTGTTGTGCAAATTAGATAAGGTGACACCCATAAAACACTTAGTACAGTGTCTGGCAGCTACTAAGTGCAAAATAATTGGTAGCTATAGTTATCTTAAAACAAGAAATAATCACATTTTATAGGTTGAACCAGTTAGGATTGGATATAGCTGTGTTTAACGGGAAAAATATAGCAGTGGCCTAAAGAAGATAAAAATGTACTTATCTCTCATGAAAAAGAAGCAGAGAGCAAGTACTCCAGGACACATACGGTGACTCTGCGGTGTCATCAGGGAGGCCCAGGCCATTGTCTTTGTTCCAACATCTAGACAGTGGCTTCCATTCTCAAGATCACTCATGGTCCAAGGTGGCTTCAGCAGCTTAAGCCAGGACATCTGACTTTTGGGCCTAACGGAGAAAAAGTAAGACAAAAAGGCACCCCTGAAGCTGAGTAAGCTCCCTTTAAGTCACCTTCCGAAGAGTCCTATGCAACTTGTCTGCTTCCATCTCACTTACCAGACCATAGCTACATGACCACACTATGCCACAAGAAAACTCAGAAGTGTCGTCTTTTATTCCAGGAAAAATGCCCAGCTGAAGGTATCAGGATTTGTTTCTAAGAAGGAATGGAAAGAAATATGCTGGAGAAAGCAACTGGCAGAGGCCCTGCCATACTGGGTAGGAAGGATCTCACCATGACGATGCACGTCATGCTGATGGAGTAGTGGTGATCTCTTAGTCCGCTATTTCACTATGAAGATGAGTAAACGCTCATCTGCGGAGGCAACAGGATGCATGAAGGATCACAAGTGAGGCAGCGGCAGTGTCCACAGAGAACTCAGACCTTCTGACTTCCAACTGGTTCAATGTATTTTTCATTCAAATTCACTGCCTTTCTTATAAATGACTTTGGCTTTTTGAAAATCCCCATTTAGGCCGGGTGCGGTGGCTCACGCCTGTAATCCCAGCACTTTGGGAGGCCGAGGCGGGTGGATCACGAGGTCAGGAGATCGAGACCATCCTGGCTAACACGGTGAAACCCTGTCTCTACTAAAAATACAAAAAAATTAGCCAGGTGTGGTGCTGTGCACCTGTAATCCCAGACACTTGGGGGGCTGAGGCAGGAGAATGGCATGAACCTGGGAGGCGGAGCTTGCAGTGAGCCGTGATCGCGCCACTGCACTCCAGCCTGGGTGACAGAGCAAGACTCCATCTCAAAAGAAAAAAAGGAAACCCTCATTTAGGGATATTAGATAAGTATTTCTTTTAAAGCTTTCAGGTCTTGTTTTGTGATTTTTCTGCATCAGTTAACAGCTTGTCACTCCCCAATATAGAACATGTCTTCCTTTGTAATCACGGTTTGTAATCACTAACAGCCATTTCACCAAAGGCGATGAATACGATTCTGTTAGTTGCTCCATGGATATTGTTTTCTAAGCCTTTAATTATTTTGTTACACTCCTCTCAGTTTTTTTCATTACTCTTCCAGTCTACAATTTATTCTATAAAGATATAGTTTGCCCTTCCTGCGGTTATATAGCCCATGGAAATATTACAGAATATAAAATTTGCAAGCTTATGTTTTGTTTTGTTTTGTTTTCCACTGGTTAAAGCAATAATAATTTATTATTGCTCATGAGTCTATGGGTTAAATAGACAGTTCTGCAAATCTTTTTTTTTAAATTATTATTATTATACTTTAAGTTTTAGGGTACATGTGCACAATGTGCAGGTTAGTTACATATGTATACATGTGCCATGCTGGTGCGCTGCACCCACTAACTCGTCATCTAGCATTAGGTATATCTCCCAATGCTATCCCTCCCCCCTCCCCCCACCCCACAACAGTCCCCAGAGTGTGATGTTCCCCTTCCTGTGTCCATGTGTTCTCATTGTTCAATTTTCACCTATGAGTGAGAATATGCGGTGTTTAGTTTTTTGTTC
Source organism: Homo sapiens (assembly GCF_000001405.40). Taxonomy (NCBI): domain Eukaryota; kingdom Metazoa; phylum Chordata; class Mammalia; order Primates; family Hominidae; genus Homo; species Homo sapiens. The sequence continues at coordinate 187,056,389 of NC_000004.12, read as the reverse complement.
TTGCAATAGTTTACTGAGAATGATGATTTCCAATTTCATCCATGTCGCTACAAAGGACATGAACTCATCATTTTTTATGGCTGCATAGGATTCCATGGTGTATATGTGCCACATTTTCTTAATCCAGTCTATCATTGATGGACATTTGGCTTGGTTCCAAGACTTTGCTATTGTGAATAGTGCCACAATAAACATACGTGTGCATGTGTCTTTATAGCAGCATGATTTATAGTCCTTTGGGTATATACCCAGTAATGGGATGGCTGGGTCAAATGGTATTTCTAGTTCTAGATCCCTGAGGAATCGCCACACTGACTTCCACAATGGTTGAACTAGTTTACAGTCCCACCAACAGTGTAAAAGTGTTCCTATTTCTCCACATCCTCTCTAGCACCTGTTGTTTCCTGACTTTTTAATGATTGCCATTCTAACTGGTGTGAGATGACATCTCATTGTTGTTTTGATTTGCATTTCTCTGATGGCCAGTGATGGTGAGCATTTTTTCATGTGTTTTTTGGCTGCATAAATGTCTTCTTCTGAGAAGTGTCTGTTCATATCCTTCGCCAACTTTTTGATGGGGTTGTTTGTTTTTTTTCCTGTAAATTTGTTTGAGTTCATTGTAGATTCTGGATATTAGCCCTTTGTCAGATGAGTAGGTTGTGAAAATTTTCTCCCATTTTGTGGGTTGCCTGTTCACTCTGATGTTAGTTTCTTTTGCTGTGCAGAAGCTCTTTAGTTTAATTAGATCCCATTTGTCAATTTTGGCTTTTGTTGCCATTGCTTTTGGTTTTTAGACATGAAGTCCTTGCCTGTGCCTATGTCCTGAATGGTAATGCCTAGGTTTTCTTCTAGGGTTTTTATGGTTTTAGGTCTAACGTTTAAGTCTTTAATCCATCTTGAATTGATTTTTGTATAAGGTGTAAGGAAAGGATCCAGTTTCAGCTTTCTACATATGGCTAGCCAGTTTTCCCAGCACCATTTATTAAATAGGGAATCCTTTCCCCATTGCTTGTTTTTCTCAGGTTTGTCAAAGATCAGATAGTTGTAGATATATGGCGTTATTTCTGAGGGCTCTGTTCTGTTCCATTAATCTATATCTCTGTTTTGGTACCAGTATCATGCTGTTTTGGTTACTGTAGCCTTGTAGTATAGTTTGAAGTCAGGTAGTGTGATGCCTCCAGCTTTGTTCTTTTGGCTTAGGATTGACTTGGTGATGCGGGCTCTTTTTTGGTTCCATATGAACTTTAAAGTAGTTTTTTCCAATTCTGTGAAGAAAGTCATTGGTAGCTTGATGGGGATGGCATTGAATCTATAAATTACCTTGGGCAGTATGGCCATTTTCACGATATTGATTCTTCCTACCCATGAGCATGGAATGTTCTTCCATTTGTTTGTATCCTCTTTTATTTCATTGAGCAGTGGTTTGTAGTTCTCCTTGAAGAGGTCCTTCATGTCCCTTGTAAGGTGGATTCCTAGGTATTTTATTCTCTTTGAAGCAGTTGTGAATGGGAGTTCACTCATGATTTGGCTCTCTGTTTGTCTGTTGTTGGTGTATAAGAATGCTTGTGATTTTTGTACATTGATTTTGTGTCCTGAGACTTCGCTGAAGTTGCTTATCAGCTTAAGGAGATTTTGGGCTGAGACAGTGGGGTTTTCTAGATATACAATCATGTCGTCTGCAAAAAGGGACAATTTGACTTCCTCTTTTCCTAATTGAATACCCTTTATTTCCTTCTTCTGCCTAATTGCCCTGGCCAGAACTTCCAACACTATGTTGAATAGGAGTGGTGAGAGAGGGCATCCCTGTCTTCTGCCAGTTTTCAAAGGGAATGCTTCCAGTTTTTGCCCATTCAGTATGATATTGGCTGTGGGTTTGTCATAGATAGCTCTTATTATTTTGAGATACATCCCATCAATACCTAATTTATTGAGAGTTTTTAGCATGAAGGGTTGTTGAATTTTGTCACAGGCCTTTTCTGCATCTATTGAGATAATCATGTGGTTTTTGTCTTTGGTTCTGTTTATATGCTGGATTACATTTATTGATTTGCGTATATTGAACCAGCCTTGCATCCCAGGGATGAAGCCCACTTGATCATGGTGGATAAGCTTTTTGATGTGCTGCTGGATTTGGTTTGCCAGTATTTTATTGAGGATTTTTGCATCAATGTTCATCAAGGATATTGGTCTAAAATTCTCTTTTTTGGTTGTGTCTCTGCCCGGTTTTGGTATCAGGATGATGCTGGCCTCAAAAAATGAGTTAGAGAGGATTCCCTCTTTTTCTATTGATTGGAATAGTTTCAGAAGGAATGGTACCAGTTCCTCCTTGTACCTCTGGTAGAATTCGGCTGTGAATCCATCTGGTCTTGGACTCTTTTTGGTTGGTAAGCTATTGATTATTGCCACAATTTCAGCTCCTGTTATTGGTCTATTCAGAGATTCAACTTCTTCCTGGTTTAGTCTTGGGAGAGTGTATGTGTCGAGGAATTTATCCATTTCTTCTAGATTTTCTAGTTTATTTCCATAGAGGTGTTTGTAGTAATCTCTTACGGTAGTTTGTATTTCTGTGGGATTGGTGGTGATATCCCCTTTATCAATTTTTATTGCGTCTATTTGATTCTTCTCTCTTTTTTTCTTTATTAGTCTTGCTAGTGGTCTATCAATTTTGTTGATCCTTTCAAAAAACCAGCTCCTGGATTTATTAATTTTTTGAAGGGTTTTTTGTGTCTCTACTTCCTTCAGTTCTGCTCTGATTTTAGTTATTTCTTGCCTTCTGCTAGCTTTTGAATGTGTTTGCTCTTGCTTCTCTAGTTCTTTTAATTGTGATGTTAGGGTGTCAATTTTGGATCTTTCCTGCTTTCTCTTGTGGGCATTTAGTGCTATAAATTTCCCTCTACACACTGCTTTGAATGTGTCCCAGAGATTCTGGTATGTTGTGTCTTTGTTCTCATTGGTTTCAAAGAACATCTTTATTTCTGCCTTCATTTCGTTATGTACCCGGTAGTCATTCAGGAGCAGGTTGTTCAGTTTCCATGTAGTTGAGCGGTTTTGAGTGAGTTTCTTAATCCTGAGTTCTAGTTTGATTGCACTGTGGTCTGAGAGATAGTTTGTTATAATTTCTGTTCTTTTACATTTGCTGAGGAGAGCTTTACTTCCAACTATGTGGTCAATTTTGGAATAGGTGTGGTGTGGTGCTGAAAAAAATGTATATTCTGTTGATTTGGGGTGGAGAGTTCTGTAGATGTCTATTAGGTCCACTTGGTGCAGAGCTGAGTTCAATTCCTGGGTATCCTTGTTAACTTTCTGTCTCGTTGATCTGTCTAATGTTGACAGTGGGGTGTTAAAGTCTCCCATTATTAATGTGTGGGAGTCTAAGTCTCTTTGTAGGTCACTCAGGACTTGCTTTATGAATCTTGGTGCTCCTGCATTGGGTGCATATATATTTAGGATAGTTAGCTCTTCTTATTGAATTGATCCCTTTACCATTATGTAATGGCCTTCTTTGTCTCTTTTGATCTTTGTTGGTTTAAAGTCTGTTTTATCATAGACTAGGATTGCAACCCTTGCCTTTTTTTGTTTTCCATTTGCTTGGTAGATCTTCCTCCATCCTTTTATTTTGAGCCTATGTGTGCCTCTGCATGTGAGATGGGTTTCCTGAATACAGCACACTGTTGGGTCTTGACTCTTTATCCAATTTGCCAGTCTGTGTCTTTTAATGGGAGCATTTAGTCCACTTACATTTAAAGTTAATATTGTTATGTGTGAATTTGATCCTCTCATTATGATGTTAGCTGGTGATTTTGCTCATTAGTTGATGCAGTTTCTTCCTAGTCTCGATGGTCTTTACATTTTGGCATGATTTTGCAGCGGCTGGTACCGGTTGTTCCTTTCCATGTTTAGTGCTTTCTTCAGGAGCTCTTTTAGGGCAGGCCTGATGGTGACAAAATATCTCAGCATTTGCTTGTCTGTAAAGTATTTTATTTCTCCTTCACTTATGAAGCTTAGTTTGGCTGGATATGAAATTCTGGGTTGAAAATTCTTTTCTTTAAGAATGTTGAATATTGGCCCCCACTCTCTTCTGGCTTGTAGAGTTTCTGCCAAGAGATCCACTGTTAGTCTGATGGGCTTCCCTTTGTGGGTAACCCGACCTTTCTCTCTGGCTGCCCTTAACATTTTTTCCTTCATTTCAACTTTGGTGAATCTGACAATTATGTGTCTTGGAGATGCTCTTCTCGAGGAGTATCTTTGTGGTGTTCTCTGTATTTCCTGAATCTGAATGTTGGCCTGCCTTGCTAGATTGGGGAAGTTCTCCTGGATAATATCCTGCAGAGTGTTTTCCAACTTGGTTCCATTCTCCCTGTCACTTTCAGGTACACCAATCAGACGTAGATTTGGTCTTTTCACATAGTCCCATATTTCTTGGAGGCTTTGTTCATTTCTTTTTCTTTTTTCTCTAAACTTCCCTTCTCGCTTCATTTCATTCATTTCATCTTCCATCGCTGATACCCTTTCTTCCAGTTGATTGCATCGGCTCCTGAGGCTCCTGCATTCTTCACGTAGTTCTCGAGCCTTGGCTTTCAGCTCCATCAGCTCCTTTAAGCACTTCTCTGTATTGGTTATTCTAGTTATACATTCGTCTAAATTTTTTTCAAAGTTTTTAACTTCTTTGCCTTTGGTTTGAATTTCCTCCTGTAGCTCGTAGTTTGATCGTCTGAAGCCTTCTTCTCTCAACTCGTCAAAGTCATTCTCCGTCCAGCTTTGTTCCATTGCTGGTGAGGAACTGCGTTCCTTTGGAGGAGGAGAGGTGCTCTGTTTTTTAGAGTTTCCAGTTTTTCTGCTCTGTTTTTTCGCCATCTTTGTGGTTTTCTCTACTTTTGGTCTTTGATGATGGTGATGTACAGATGGGTTTTTGGTGTAGATGTCCTTTCTGTTTGTTAGTTTTCCTTCTAACAGACAGGACCCTCAGCTGGAGGACTTTTGGAGTTTGCTAGAGGTCCACTCCAGACCGTTTGCCTGGGTATCAGCAGCGGTGTTTGCAGAACAGCGGTTTTTCGTGAACTGTGAATGCTGCTGTCTGATCGTTCCTCTGGAAGTTTTGTCTCAGAGGAGTACCCAGCCGTGTGAAGTGTCAGTCTGCCCCTACTGGGGGGTGCCTCCCAGTTAGGCTGCTCAGGGGTCAGGGCTCAGGGACCCACTTGAGGAGGCAGTCTGCCCGTTCTCAGATCTCCAGCTGCATGCTGGGAGAACCACTGCTCTCCTCAAAGCTGTCAGACAGGGACATTTAAGTCTGCAGAGGTTACTGCTGTCTTTTTGTTTGTCTGTGGCCTGCCTGCAAAGGTGGAGCCTACAGAGGCAGGCAGGCCTCCTTGAGCTGTGGTGGGCTCCACCCAGTTCGAGCTTCCCGGCTGCTTTGTTTACCTAAGCAAGCCTGGGCAATGGCGGGCACCCCTCCCCCAGCCTCGCTGCCACCTTGCAGTTTGATCTCAGACTGCTGTGCTAGCAATCAGTGAGACTCCATGGGCGTAGGACCCTCCGAGCCAGGTGCGGGATATAATCTCCTGGTGCGACATTTTTTAAGCCCGTCGGAAAAGCGCAGTATTCGGGTGGGAGTGACCCGATTTTCCAGGTGCCGTCTGTCACCCCTTTCTTTAACTAGGAAAGGGAACTCCCTGACCCCTTGCGCTTCCCGAGTGAAGCAATGCCTCGCCCTGCTTCGGCTCGCACACGGTGCGCGCACCCACTGACCTGCGCCCACTGTCTGGCACTCCCTAGTGAGATGAACCCGGTACGTCAGATGGAAATGCAGAACTCACCTGTCTTCTGTGTCGCTCACGCTGGGAGCTGTAGACCGGAGCTGTTCCTATTCAGTTCTGCAAATCTTGAAACAGTCATAATATTCCTTTGTTGGATATGTAGTTTACAAATGTTTTATCCATTGCTGTGGCTTCTTTTTCATCCTCTTAGCAAGGTCTTTTACAGATTAAGTTAAAACCAGAGAATTCCCTTATCCTCCTCGCAGGACATGTGACAGGGGGATGGCCCACTTCACTGGTGCCCCAGTGCTCAAACCCCTAGGCGCAAGCTTATGTTTTTATTGACAAAAATTTAGTTTGCATGGTTCTATCTCATTTAAACTAAATTCTTCCAAATACTAGAGTTCTATTTGATGTCTGTACTCCTTAGGGTCTTTTTAAATAGAATTGAAAGAACCTTAGAAATAGGAAGCTGTGTGTTGCTATAGGCACCCTAGTACATGGACCGAAGCAGTGAAAGACCAGAATCCTAAGTCCAGGCCCATGAATTTTAAATGAGTCCTCAATTAGAGAGTGAATTCTCTAGCTCCTAATTAAAGAGGCTTTAATCACAGACAATGAATAAAAAGCGTGGAATAACAAGTGGCATAAGGGAAGAAATCATAATTATTTAGATGGGAGGAAGCTGTGATGGAAAAAAATCTGTGCAGTAACATTCGCTGATCATACTTCCCAGGCATGGCTTCAAAAGACATTTCCTCTTTCTCTCTAGAAAACTGGATTTACCTCAATCACAGATTCCTTTGAAAATGAGTTAGTAGGGAATTCCAAGCTTCAACAACACGTCTTCTCATGGAAAGACAATAATCCTAAATTGGTAAATGGAAAAGACAACAGGTTTTAAACATAGCCTAAAATGAGATATTGTGTTTTGTAAATAATGTATATAAACGTGTCTATTTTAAAAGTTCTAGAAGGATATACACCTAGATATTGATAGCAATTATCTTGAGTGGTAGAATTGTGAAATTTATCTCTCTCTTTTGCATATACATATACATTTATGTATATGTAGATAATTTACTTGTATACTGTATTTACTTGTATACTATATATATACTGTTTTTCTAAAAGGAAAGGCATGTTTATGTTTTAATTTTTAAAAACATACCTATGGATGATTAACAACTAACTTTCAAAGAAATAAAATAGGCTAATTCCTAGTTGCACATGTTTGTGAATAAACCAAATCCATCCAATGAAAGTGTATATTGTGTGGATAAAATATCTATTGTATTTGGGGAAGTTATAGTACCACTTATCCAACAAAACATTTGGTCCTTCTAAGATGTCAGAATTTATCTACTCCTATTTTTACAAAATTTGAGAAACAAAAAATCTTCTTTTCTTCCAGATGTTCACATCATGGTACTATTATTACTTTTATTATGGTATATTAAGGACAGATGAAAAACAAAAAAATAATACATTCATATGAACTTATTAGCATTTAAAAATAAATTTCTATTTTGTTATATTTTAAAAGCAGTAGCACAAATAAATGACATATATCATTTATTCAGTCTATAAATGATGACAAAGTTCATGGCACATATTGACTGATAATCACTGGCAATAATTCCAAACCCCCAGGACCCAAAGAACCACAGAGAGGGTATCCCTGGCATCTCTAGTGTGGGTACAACCTGAATTGCCTGCACTTTATATTATAAAAGGGACTTTCCTGAGATGTCCTTCCACCTTCATTCCCCTTCTCCTGTGCCTTCTCTCACCTGCTCACCCCCTCTCTCCACCAAGGGGCAGGAGATGTGTGATAGGAGATGGAGATTCAGCCAGTGCCAAGAAGCAGGGCACTGAGTGAAAAAACAGCGTGAGTGCAGATTACATAGAAGTGTCCCCCTTGCGCTTCAGAGCCCTTCTTCTCAGGATCCCACAGCACCCCATGCCCGTGAGCTGCCTTAATCATACATCAAATTCAGCACTCATGGCAGGAGCTGCTGCTTCCAGTCCTTTTTGTGCATTTGTCTTTCCTATATATGCAATAAAACTCTAACTTGATCATAAACTGTGTCCTCTCTGTGCCTATGGTTGGAACGTGTGTATTTCTAGTCAAACCTGGTAAGCCGATGTCAGAGCCCAAGAGAAGTCTATAGCCATCGGGCTGAGAGTCGTCCTGGAAAAAAATTCAACCAAGTAGGATGTAAACACTTTGTTTCAGTGAAGGAAGATGCACGGAACTGAGGAGAAAGCCTCTCCGAGGTTGATTTGAACAAACAGCCAAGGAGCCTGTTAAGAAAGAACGCATCCTAAAGCATTACGAACTGACTGGGCACAGTTTGAAAGGTTCAAAAATGGATGGTGCTTGGATACTGTGTCAGTTTAGTTTGTTCCCGGTCCCCTTTCCAAGGAAAAGGAGAATTGTGCATCAAAGGTGAAAACCTTGAATCCTGAAATTTCTATAAATCATTGAGGCACAGCAAAGTCACCCCCAGAGCCCTTCAAATGGGTTACAGTTCAAAGGGCGGAGGCAGAACGGCCGGTAAATCGAGCCAGGACCAGTGTGCCTGTGGCAAACGGATCACGACCCCAAACACAGGCTCTGCGCTTGCAGTTTAGATTTATAGGCCAATCACCAAGCCTCAAGCCGCCAATAAAAAGGGGAGAGTGTATGTTTCCACCCGATTATGACTGAGCCTCTTTGTGGCCAGCCGGCTTGCCAAGAGAGCGGCTGGCTCACAGTGGGCATCCTCTCATTTTGAAAGGCCTGAGGATGCGGCGGGGGGTAAACAAAGCATGTGTTTCCAAACTTCAGATGTTACACCAACTATTCTTTTTACCTTGTCCGTTAAAATTGGGCCAAAGGACTTACTCTTAAGTTTGCTAACTTCCTTCCCTGGGCAATTTCTGGGCTTCATCACTCATATGATCCCAGGAATTTACTGCACTTTGTAGAGCTCCTCTGCCAGAGAATGTGGTGTCTCTTCTTGGTTTATCTGTTCATCTGTCCATTCCCTCATCCTGTGAAGCAGGGTGACGGGGAGAGAAGAGGTACCAAAATCCGGCCTGGTCATCCCATCCTTTGGAAAGGTGGCTGCCCACTGTGTATTCCCAGGGGAACCCCCAAGTCTAACTGTGAAGGTCAGGCTTCCCTAGAGCCAACCAGACACATGGATCCTTGGTTGCTGTCCCCTGCCAGAGGCTCTAAGTTAAATATATATAGATATATGTATATCTCATATATATATATATGTAAATGTTTACTGGTAAATACACTCTTCTTTAAAGAGAAGTTTTAAGCTTACAGCAAAATTGATCAGAACATACAGAGATTTCCCACAAGCCCCCACCCACCCCCGCACACACAGCCACCCCACTCTCAACATCCATTATTCGAGTGGGACATTTGTTACAACTGATGCACCTGCAATGTCATATCACCATCACCCAGAGTCCACGTTCCATTAGGGTTTGCTCTCAGTGTTGCACATTCTACGGGTTTTGACAAATATATAACAACGTGTGCACCACTGTACCATCCTACGAAATAGTTCCACCGTCCTAAAAATCCTGTTTTCTGCTTATTCCTCCCTCCCTCCCCAAAAACCCTGGCAACCATTATCTTTTCATTGTCCCCAAGCTGTGTCTTTTCCAGAGTGTCATAGAGTTCAGTTGTACAGTATGTACCCTTTTCAGATTGGATTCTTTTATTTACTTAGTAATATGCATTTAAGGTTCTTCTGTGTCTTCTCATGGTTTGATGGCTCATTTTTTTTTTAGCACTTTAAAAATATTCCATTGTCTGGATGTACCACAATTTATTGACGCATTCACCTACTGGACATCTTTGTTGCTTCCAAGTTTGGGCAATTATCAGTAAAGCTGCTATAAGCATGTACTTGCAGATTTTTGTGTGGACATGTATTTTCAGCTCATTTGGGTGAATACCAAGGAAAGCAATTTCAGGCTCCTATCGTAAAAGCATGTTTTGCTTCAGAAGAGGCTGCCAAACTGTCTTCCAAAGTGGCTGTGCCATTCTGCATTCCCACCAGCAACGGATGACAGTTCCTGTTGCTTCACACCTTTGCCAGCAATTGGTGGCGTCAGTGCTCTGGATTTTCATCATTCTGATAGGTGTATGGTAGTGTCTCGATGTTGTTTTAACAGAGAAAGATTTTCATCAAGACCCAGAACCAATGCCTGGTTCTTATCCACATGCCTTTCTATGATTACCTCTCTGAATTATGGGGTTGCAATGTCCAGAAACAAAGACACCATGGGGAAATCTCTAAGAGGCACACAGCATAGAGGTCTTATCAGGGGAGAGGAGAGCTAAGTCCAGAATGGGCTTTACCACTGCTTGTGTTAGTTTCCTATTGCTGCTGTAGTAAATTGCCACAAATTCCATTGCTTAAAACAGTGCTAATTTACTGTCTTAATGTTCTGGAGGTCAGAAATCCAAAATCAGTCTCACAAGGCTGAAGGCAAAGTGTCAGCAGGACGGGTTCCTTCCGAGGCTCTGGAGAACTGTTTTCCTGCCTTTTCCCACCCGTAGAAGCTGCTGCACTCCTTGGCAGGTGTCTCCTTTTCCGTCTTCAAAGCCGGCAGCATAGCCTGTCTCTCTGCCACCACGTCACCCTCTTCTGAGGTCACTTCTGCCTCCGCCTCCCTCTCACAAGGGTCTCGCGATGATGCTTAGAGCCCACCAGGACAATCAGGTCATCTTCCCATAGTGAGATATCAGCAAGGTCCCTTTTGACACATAAGGTAAGGTTCACAAGTTCCTGGGATTAGAACGTGGACATCCTTGGAGGTGTATTATTTAGCCCAGCACAAACACCAAGTAAGGACATCTACAGTCCAAAGCATTTTATGTTCTAACTGACATTTTAGATTCTTTAGATATACAAGATACTGCAAAAGAGACTATGTCTTACTGTTAGTAGAAAGAAAATAGATAAATCCTTGCCTTTACCTAAAGGAAATCCAGGTAAGAATGACAAAGCATTAATGACATTGGTAGATGCTAATTTCAACCCTTCATTATTAATTGTTTGTCTACCTTTTTTCCAATTTTGCCACGTAAGGGGGATCTGTCCCACTCTACCTGTAGCAGATTATCCCTGAATTATTAAAATCCAAATGAACATGTGGCAATTGGCTTCCATTATGCACAAATTTATAATTCACAAGGTATCTGCTTCTGTAGGTTGAGGGGTGGTGGCAGTTATTGGACACACAAAACCCAATGGGCTGTTAAATGCATCAAGGAATTTGAACCACATTACACATTTCAAGTTTCTCGATGAAAATGAGATGTAAAATGGGGGAATTAAACTGTGTTAATTCATTTTTGCCATTCGAGACTATGATTCAATGTTATAGAACCTAGCGAATCAACATTTATGTAATTGGGAGTTTTTTATTACATTCTGAAAGACAAAGTATTTTAAAAATTGATAAAGGCCTTTCAAACATTGTGTCCCTTAAAACCAAACTAGCTATAACTGTTATTTGTAGTCAACACTAAAACATAAGAAAACAAAAACAGGGCAGTGGAAAGTAGTAGAAAAAACATTAGATTTATAGCCAAAAAAAAAAAAAATCACAGAATTTTGGCTCTGATGATGCTGCTTATAGCTGTGTACTTTAAGACAAGCAGTTTGATTTCTCTAACCCTCTGTTTCCTTGTTTACAAAATTTGAACGATATTGCCTTCTTTGAAAGATTGTCACAATAAGTAGATGAAATACTGCATCTCAAGAGAATTGTTACATGTAAAGTAAGATGTTACTAGGAAGGGCCCACCATGGTCTATAGCTTACTTATAAACATATCCATTGTTAATTGAATTTTTGGTGGTTTAAATTAACTAAAAATGTTCAGGTATTCTTAAAGTTAAAAGTTACAATAACAAAATTCATCTCTAGCCCCAGAGGACAACTCTAAATTTACCATATTGTTGAAGTTACTATTGCTATTTTATCATCTAAGGAAATACTAACTTCTGGAAATAATAGTAGCTTCAGAAAAAAGGACATGGTTATGGTGTCAAGAGGGCTGAAATGAAAGACATCTAACTCAGCCATTCCATTTGATGTGAAAGAACAGGTACAAAGGTACTGACATGACCGGGAGATAGAGAGGGGCAAACAGCCTAAGGAGAAAACAGCAATTTAAATGACTGAAATCTACAAATGTTTTCATTTAATATATAGTCTTTTAATTTAACACGTTTCGTAAGTAAACTCTCATGATATTTTCTAGAACAGCAATCCACAACCTTTTTGGCACCAGGAATCAGTTTCATGGAAGACAATGTTTCCATGGACGGGTGTTGTGGGGAGACAGTGACAGATCATCAGGCATTAGATTCTCATAAGGAGCATGCAACTTAGATCCCTCACATCTGCAGTTCACAATAGGTTTTGTGCTCCTCTGAGAATCTGATGCTGCTTCTGCTCTGACCAGAGGCAGAGCCCAGGCGCAGTGCGAAGGATGGGGAGCAGCTGTTATACAGATGAAGCTTTGCTTGCTCATCTGCCAATCACTTCCTGCATGCTGCCTGGTTCCCACACTGGTTCATGGCCTGGGGGTTGCGGACCCGTGTTCTAGAAGAGGCAAATAATAGTAGCAACAAGTACTACAAACACTCATCCTGAAGAGTTGCACCTACCTCCTAGAATTCTTATCAGGATTTAGAGTATAGCTCACTGAGCTGCCCCCAACCCAGGCCTTTGCCCTGTGACCCCCTGCTCACCCCTGTGTAGCAACCGAAAAGTTAATTTAAGCCTGGTATGAATAGACCCTCCAGGACTCTACCCCAGGACCACAGCCAGTATCCCTTCTGATTGGTCCACACCTGTGCTGTCCAGGGCGTTCCATGTTTTAAATATCACCTCAGCTCACATATAGACCAGTTACTCTTCTCTGTATGTATTCAGAGGTCGGCCTTCCAGATCAGCGGCAAATCCTGACACCTAATTATAGGCACCTTTTACAATTTTCTGTGGATCTAGGATTTCTGTTCAGTACCATCCAAGTGGGGCATTATACAGAGTAGCCAGTCAATACATATTTGTTGTTAGATTGTTCCCAAATATCCTACTTTCAACAAGTAATCTACACTCCTTTACCTTTCCACTCAGATACAGTGTTTTACCTGTTAATAATTTAGCTGCACCTTTTTTTCTCTTGGAATCTTTGCATTGATTCACAATTATCTTCAAATGGGAAAATTAAATCTGTAAATAATTCTTAATAGTCACAGGACCAGGACCCAATCTGCATATGCCATGGATTGCTGTGTTCTAACAAAGCAAGCATAAGCTAGAGTTGTTTATTTATTTATTACAAAATGAATACTGGTTATAAAAAAAAACCTGCTCTGTTTATCAGCTTCCTCAGAGGTAAACACTGTTAATATAGAAACACTTTTCTACATGACTTCTAAAATTTTTGATACAAAAAAATGAGGCTTTATTATAAAAGTTTTCTAGTTCTTGCTTTTTTCCCTTGACAGGTTCTTGTCAACCTCTTTTCATGCCAGTACATCAAAGTCCTGTTGATGGTCATTTAGATTATTCAACTGCAAATAACATTGTAGAAATATCTTTGAATAACATCTTTGAAATGATTGACAAGAGTGATAAAATATTAATTGTATGCATATTTATACCAAAATAAAAATAGTGGGTATTTTTGAGAATTGGATTTTCTTTTGATTTTTCCCTTATCTTTTCTTCTATATTCTCCTAATTTTCTACACTGAACATGTATTAATTTCATAATCACACAAAAATTTTCTAAAACTGAAATTTAAAACACACTGAGGAAAATAAATATTCAATGTACCAAAAATTAATTCCACCGCACTGTAATAAATTATCTGTTGGTCAATGCTTTCATTGTATACTAGACCCTGTGGATTGAACAAGGTCTTTACCTATGCTCCATTCATCAAAATGAATGCTTAAAATATCTTTCCATTTAATATGGTCTCAAAGGGATTTGGCAAAATGCCTGCTTGAATGCATTATTAAATATGTCCAGGAGAATACTGTTTTGATTTCATAAGTCAACTTCGGAAGACAAAGAACACAGCCACCACAACATTCTTCAGTTAACTATGATCAAGTTGGTTCTAGTCAATTGTACGTACCTTGACGGCCTTTGATTAAACTGTGTCATTACAATCACGCCAGTGGATCGCCATCATTTGAATTTGACTCATGGAAAAAGTATTACATAATTTCTTTTTTTTTTTTTGAGACAGAGTTTTGCTCTTGTTGCCCAGGCTGGAGTGCAGTGGCGTAATCTCAGTTCACTCAGTTCACCACCTCCCGAGTTCAAGCAATTCTCCTGCCTCAGCCTCCAGAGTTGCTGGGATTACAGGCTTGCACCACCACGCCCAGCTAATTTTGTATTTTTTAGTGGAGATGGGGTTTCGCCATATTGGTCAGGCTGGTCTCGAGCTCCTGACCTCAAGTGAACCACCCACCTTGGCCTCCCAAAGTGCTGGCATTACAGACATGAGTCACCATGCCCGGCAGTATATATAGATATATACATTTTTTTGAGACAGAGTCTTGCTCTGTCGCCCAGGCTGGAGTGCGGGGGTGACCGCGGCTCACTGCAACCGCCATCTCCCGAGTTCAAGCTATACTAGTGCCTCAGCCTCCAGAGTAGCTGAGACTACAAGCATGCGCCACCACACTTGGCTAATTTTTGTATTTTTAGTAAAGATGGGGGTTCACCATTTTGGCCAGGCTGGTCTCAAACTCCTGGCCTCAAGCAATCTGCCAGCCTTGGCCTCCCGAAGTTCTGGGATTACAGGCGTGAGCCACCATGGCCGGCCCCTCTATAAATATTTTCAAACCATATGACCACTTTATTTGTTTAGATAGAGATTTTTCAACCCCTGAGGAAAGAGCTCTTACTGTCTAGGCTCTCACTGACCACCAGTGCTTTGATCACCATTTTTAAAATTTTAATTGATTAGAAAAAAAAAAGAACAATGTGCCAGCTTCAGCTAAACATACCAGAGAAAGATAAAATTAGTAACCATGCGTGGGGTGGTACAGAATTCCAGGGGTTTATTAGGCATAATCCCACCTCAAGATGAACTCACATGTAAATATTTATGCCGGGTCCAGTGGAAACCTACACACAACAGATGGCTCTCAGGAACAGTAAGGAGCTGGAGATCCACTGGGAGCCACGAAGTTCCAAGACTGGCTTAACATGATTCAGGGCAATAAGGCAATCCGTTGGACTGGAAATGAAGTTGGCATGCTGATAGAATTTTCAGAAACGTAAGTGTTATTGCATTTATCCATGGAAATATAAAGTAAGCTTTCCTACATTGGATTCCTTCTTCCTTGCCCATTCAAGATATTTTTTCAGCTTTCAACTGATTTTATCCGTGCTCTAAGAATCCCACTATTTGGGAAGCTGCTATATCTACCTAACCATCATCTTTTGCTGAAAAATATTCCCTGTGGTGAAAGTATTTTGTGGAATTGTCTATGAAAATGTTAATTATTTTTGAGGTTGTGTCAATGACTTCATGACTAGAGTCAAAAATGCACCTGGGATTTTTGTCCGTCATGGCTGGGAATTACTGCTGCATTCGCCAGTGCAATGGTTAAATGGAATGAGCATGTGAGGCCCAAATGTAGGACCTTGGCAAGCAAGAGTGCCTGGTTTGATTGTATGTTTTCATTTTGTAGAAGGATGTCACAAGCTTTTAAATTGGGTATAAAATGACAGATAGTTACATGACTACTTTTATCTATAAGACAAGGGAGTTGAACAAAATTATTTCTAAGTTCCCTTTGATTTTTGAAATCCCATGATTCTACCTTTATCACTCTCAACATGACAGTAACGGCTGCCCACTGCTGTAACAGCATTCCAAGAAGGTTTTTTAATGACCATCGACTGCCAACTATCATTTTCCGTGTCACTGGCCCAGAAAAAGGCAGGTCCATTTGGAATTTATAGAAAATGAGGCATTAGAACCACAGACTAAAGCTATCCGTTCCTGTGTGGCTTCAGACATAGGGTTTTAGCTGAACAGAGAAAGCATTTCTTAATGGTGACTATTTTGGCCAATCCGTACAAAACCTCATCACCCTTACAAATAGAAGCGATTAATTAGAGTAATGATGACCAATCTTTGGTGCCAGTTCCCAGAAAGTAAAATGCATGTCAAAATATTCCTAAAAGGTTATCTTGGCTGGGCAAAGATGGAACATGAATGCTTTTTCCAAGGTGGCAAATGAACAACAGCCCTCCTCTGCGACTATCCTCTGTGACTGCCTTTTATTATTTTTTGAAAAACGAAGAGGCTTTTGGGGACTAGGAAGGAGTAAAAGGCAAGAGTAGAAAAATGGGAGGTATTAGATGGTATCTGAATACTGCATCTCAAGGATTCAGTAAAAGCTCATGAAAATGCTTTGAGACTCTGAGCTTAAGAAGCACTGTGCTGGGACCCAAGTAACCACAGGGAGAAGCCACAGGTAGCCTCTCTACTTCACCATCTAATACGACAGCAGCAGCTTAAAGCAGCAGCTTAGGGCTTAGGGGCAATAGACCTCCAAGAAGAATTTGAGGGAAAGAAAGAAAATTAAAAGCCGTATTCCTGAGGAAGTCATTGCCACTTCGGGGATTCCTGAGATTACCTGGGAAAGGATCTGGCCTGAGTTGCCGCCTGGAGATTTGGAGATAAGTAGATTTGGGTGTCGCTGTTAGCATGATCACATTTTTACCTGCAAGTAATGAAGGTTAGAATATATACACTAATGGTAGATGAATTCCAAAAATTTAGATTTTTACCTGACATAGTGATACAGATACCCTCTATTTTGGTAAATAAAGAGGTAAAATTGAGAGCAAGCCAAAATTCATTTTTTTCAGAGTGAACTGAAGTTAAATAGGAAGTTTTAAAGTAGAGAAGTAGAAAGATTGTTGTGTGCAAATATCACTATTATACTTTAAGGAAGTGTTATCCCTCAGTATTAACTATGGAAACTGGCCAAGTCAATACAACACTCTGGCCTTATTTTTTAATTACAAAAATAGGAGGATAAATAAAGTGATTCTTAAAGCCCTCTATAAGTTTTAATGTTTGTAATATTCCATGATTCTGCCAATTGCTTCTAAGAAAAAAATAATATATATTATATATAATATATATAGATCATATATTATATATAGTATATATAGATCAAAGGCAGTTGGTAATTTGGGTGTTAGGTCCTTTGATTATTCGGTTACTTTTATTTTTGATGTTTTGATATAACATAAACTACTGTAATTATCAACATCGATTTTAGTCTTTAAAATATTACCTCCATTTAGACCTATAGTAACGTGAGAAGTTTTCTATTTTTAGCCATGAAATCCTCTGCACCACAGTCACAAATTCAGGTGGAACAAAGCATTTGCCTTCTCTATATGGTATGCCAACCTCTCTATACGGTATGCCAACCTCTCTATACAGTATATGCCAACCTCTCTATACGGTATGCCAACCTCTCTATACGGTATCCCAACCTCTCTATATGGTATATGCCAACCTCTCTATATGGTATATGCCAACCTCTCTATAAGGTAGGCCAACCTCTCTATACAGTATGCCAACCTCTCTATACGGTATATGCCAACCTCTCTATATGGTATATGCCAACCAGCTAGAGGAAAAACATATCCCAATGCTGCACTACTCCAGGAGCAACAGGGTCCCCAGATTCAGGTGATCTTCTTCCCTTTAGTCCCTCATTCAACACAATTCACTTCCATAGAGGTATGGTTTCTAGCCTACACCAGTTTATTCATGTAGCAATCAAGCATACTGGGTCGCACTGAAAATGAAATCTCAATCTGCTTCACTAAGGGAACTTTTTATTTCTTTTAAGCTCTGTCTTTGATTATTACCCCATGGCACAGGAAAAGCAGTGATAAAGCACTTTCACTGATGTCACCCCTGTGGTATCTGTTACACCTGTGATGAAGTAATTATTCAACTATAATAACTGCTTATTAAAATGAAATGCAATAAATACTACAAAATCTGTAACTCGATTTAGCTACTTAGGAAATACGTAGCCATGGCCCATTAAGCTACCAACAGCAAACATCTATTCATGTGTGTATGTAATCTGCAATTGTATTCCCATGTTATTTTTAAACGCCCTGTGTTGTGATATCCTCAGTTCAATTATTAGCAAACAGGTGTCCTCATTATACAAAAAGTGTAAATGGCCATCAACAACTCCCCTGACAGCAGAGAAACTAAAGACTCAATTCTCATGGAGAATCACTTTGTCACGGAGATTATCTTTCAGCACCTGCCTGAGTGGAAGTGTCTTTTCTGCTGTACCTAATGCCTACCTGGGGAATAGATTCTACTTTGGACACTTCCATAAACATTAAAAACAAATTCTATCCAGAATAAATAATTCTAAGACTCACATAAGAAGCATTCTCTCACTGCCTCTGTGGATGTTACTTTGCTGGCTACAGGCAAAGAGTATAGTAAATACGGGAGAGGTGATACTGTGGTTAGCTACTACAAAAGATGAGGGAAAACAACAGATCTTAATAAATAAACGACATAGCGTTTTGTCTCCATGTTTCAAAGGAAATTGGCTTCTAAAGAAGAAAAGAAAAACCTACTTTCAAACTTTATTTGAACTGTCTAGAAAGAGATTATATAATCAAAACAAGAGAAAGCATAAAAGGAGTTCAACAGCTTGGGCAACACAGGAAGACTCTGCTTCTACAGAAAAATACAAAAATTAGCCAGGTGTGGTGGTGCATGCCTGTAATCCCAGCTACTTGAGAGGCTGAGGTCGGAGGATCACCTGAGCCTGGGAGGCAGATGTTGCAGTGAGCCAAGATTGTGCCACTGCTCTCCAGCCTGGGCAACAGGGAGAGACGCCATCTCAATCCAGCCTGGGCAACAGGGAAAGACCCTATCTCAAAAAAATAAAAAAAATAAAAACGAGCTTCAAGAAAACTGGGATTTGTCTTCCCTTTATCTGTATTTTCTGAAAGCATATAACCTGCCCTACTCACTTCTTCTTCTTCTTCCCATTGCTTGTAGTTTCTTTCTGTTTAAAATTTTAGTAATAATGATTGCCTCTGAAGTGTGTTATAAGTTCTACTAGAACTTCGTGACCTTGAAAAAAGACCTTAATGACCTTGGAGGAAAAGAGTTTTCTCTCTTAACACACACACACACACACACACACACACACACACACACACACACACAGGCACATATACACACACACTATTTCACTGGTTGGCCATTCATCGTCTTAGCCTAAGTGTCAGTCATTGATATTTTAACAAAATCTATTCAATGTTTGCGTGTAACTGGCCATGCATGTATGTAGGAGGTGCGTTATTTGTTAATGTAGACACTCAACTGGAGGCTCTCTGTTACTTCCTAAACATTCTGAAGCTGATTTTTATAACTTGTCTTTGTGGCAGATACTAGGTGGAAACACTAACATAGTAAAGCACTCTGTATTTCTGCTCTGAAAGTCTTTATGAAAACACTCACAGTAGGGGAATTGCTATTTCAGATGAATTGAAAGCTCATATGCAAGCCCTCGCAGACAATAGAAGAGGAGTTTCTCAGGCACGCTGCTGGATTGACTTTGTAGTGGAGACAGAGATTTGCCCTGTTCATTAGTTGAAAAATAAGAGGAAAAGAGCAAGTTTTAAAGTAACTAATTGGGCTGAGTACAGTGGCCCATGCTTGTCATCCCAGCATTTTGGGAGGCTGAGGCAGGAAGATGGCTTGAGCTCAGAAGTTTGAGACTAGCCTAGGCAACATGGTGAAACCTCAGCTCTATTAAAAATACAAAAATTAACCAGCTATGGTGGTGTGCACCTGTAGTCCCAGCTACCTGGGAGGCTAGGGTGGAAGAATGGCTTGAGCCCAGGAGGTCGAGGCTGCAGTAAGCTGAGATAATGCCTCTGCACTCCAGCTGGGTGATAGAGAGTGAGACCTCATCTTAAAAATAATAATTAAAAAAAAAAACAGAAGCAAATAAATTTGAAAAAATAAAGTAAATAATTGAGATTAAAATTTTATCCTTTTAATTAAATTTCACTTTCTAGAATTGATATGCACCAGCTCATGACTTTTACCTTGTATTAGCACGATCAGAAAATCGAGGCTTTGCACCACCTAGTTTTTTAAACAACTAATTAGATTCACACCTTTTTTTTTTTTTTTGAAACAGAGTCTCTCTCTCTCTCTGTCACCCAGGCTGGAGTGCAGTGGCGCGATCTTGGCTCACTGCAAGATCCACCTCCTGGGTTCAAGCGATTCTCCTGCCTCAGCCTCCCAAGTAGTTGGGATTACAGGTGCCCACCACCGCACTCGGCTAATTTTTATATTTTTAGTAGAGACAGGGTTTCACCATGTTGGCCAGGCTGGTCTCGAACTCCTGACCTCAAGTGATCTGCCCGCCTTGGCCTCCCAAATTGCTGGGATTACAGGTGTGAGCCACCGCGCCCAACCAGTTCACGCCTTTTTAGAGCAGGTGTCCTTACACAGGCCTTGCAGATACTCTCTCACCCTCACAGCCCAGAAAACCACCAACCCCATCAGCTTGAGAGAGGCAAGCAGAATCTGTGATGGGCTGAAGGGGCTCATCAAAACACTGAAACACTGAAGCTATAGGCGGAATGTTTTCCTTACCTTTATGTGTGTTAGAGTTCTTCTTTGCAAACAGCAAAAACTAATTCTGGTGAATTCATGTGAGAAAGGAATTTAACAATACATTGGATAGTTCACTGAATTTACTGGAAATATATTACGTATCCCAGAAATCAGTTATAAAACCAAGGGAGGCCAGCGATTCAAAACAATAATGAAAACGATACCACAGGCAAGACTGGTTAAGACTCCTCTGCTATCGGACACGGCATTTCACCACTGGAAACAGCTGTTGCTGGCCTAGAACCTTGAATGCTGCTCCAGCTCATGCCTGGAGAATAAATGCTAAGCTGTGCCGACTTCTTTGCAACACTAACTCTGGTTTCAAGACCTGGGACTAAGCAGGATGAAGCCACGTGCCAGCATTCTATCTGTGCAGGTCACAGACTGCAAATTGGCCTCTGCCGATTCTGGGTTCCATGCTGGTGCTGAGGATTGATTGTCCCTAAAACTCATGCAATGAGTTTGACACTGAGCAGCTTAAAAGAAAATAGATATACAATGTAAATATATATGTAATGTATATAATGTAATAAAATTATGGAAAATATAATTTTATATAATTAATGTAATAATGTAAATATAATTATATATAATATATTATATATTATTAGTTGTATTAGTCTGTTTTCATGCTGCTGATAAAGAATACCCACAACTGGGTAATTTACAAACAAGAGAGGTTTATTGGACTCACAGTTCCACATGGCTGGGGATGCCTCACAATCATGGCAGAAGGCAAACCACATCATACATGGATGGTGGCAGGCAAAGAGAGAGCTTGTGCAGTCAAACTCCCATTTTTAAAGTCATCAGATCTCGTGAGACTTATTCACTATCATGAGAACAGCACAGGAAAGACCAGCCCCCATGATTCAATTACCTCCCACCAGGTTCCTCCAATGACACATGTGAATTGTGGGAGTTACAATTCAAGATGAGATTTGGGTGGGGACACAGACAAATCATATCATTAGGCCCCGACCCCTCCCAAATCTCATGTCCTCACATTTCAAAACCCATCATGCCTTCCCAACAGTCCCCCAAAGTCTTAACTCATTTCAGCATTAACTCAAAAGTCCACAGTCCAAAGTCTCATCTGAGAGAAGGCAAGTCCCTTTCACCTGTGAGCCTGTAAAATCAAAAGCAAGTTAGTTACTTCCTAGATACAATGGGGGTACAGTCATTGGGTAAATAACAGCCATTCCAAATGGGAGAAATTGGCCAAAACAAAGGAGCCATTGGCCCCACGCAAGTCTGAAATCCAGCAGGGATGTGAAATCAGAAAGCTCCAAAATGACCCCCTTTGACTCCATGTCTCACACCCAGGTCATGCTGAGGCAAAAGGTGGGTTCACCTAGTCTTGGGAAGCTCCACCCCTGTGGCTTTGCAGGGCATAGCCTACCTCCTGGCTGCTTTCATGGGCTGGCATTGGAAGTCTGCAGCTTTTCCAGATGCACAGTGCAAGCTGTCAGTGGATCTACCATTCTGGGGTCCAGAGGATGATGGCCCTCTTCTCACAGCTCCACTAGGTGGTGCCCCAGTAGGGACTCTGTGTGGGGCTCCAACCCCACATTTCCCTTCTGCATTGTCCTAGCAGAGGTTCTCCATGAGGGCCCTGCCCCTGCAGCAAACTTCTGCCTGGACATCCAGGCATTTCCATACATCTTCTGAAATCTAGATGGAGGTTTCCAAACCCCAATTCTTAATTTCCGTGCACTTGCAGGCTCAACACCATGTGGAAACTGCCAAGGCTTGGGGCTCCCACCCTCTGAAGTCACAGCACAAGCTCTACGTTGGCCCCTCTCAGCCATGGCTGGAGTGCCTGGGATGCAGGGCACCAAGTCCCTAGGCTGCACACAGCATGGAGACCCTGGGCCTGGCCCAGGAAACCACTTTTTCCTCCTAGGTCTTCAAGGGTGTGATGGAAGGGGCTGCCATGAAGACCTCTGACATACCCTGGAGACATTTTCCCCATTGTCTTGGTGATTAACATTTGGCTCCTGGTTACTTACCCAAATTTCTGCAGATGGCTTGAATTTCTCCTCAGAAAATGGGATTTTCTTTTCTATTGCATTGTCAAGCTGCAAAATTTCCAAACTTTTATGCTCTGCTTCCCTTATAAAACTGAATGCTTTCAACAGCACCCAAGTCATCTCTTACATGCTTTGCTGCTTAGAAATTCCTTCTGCCAGATACTCTCAAGTTCAAAGTTCTACAAATCTCTAGGGCAAGGGCAAAATGCTGCCAGTCTCTTTGCTAAAATATAACAAGTGTCACCTTTGCTCCAGTTCCCAAAAAGTTCCTCATCTCCATCTGAGACCACCTCAGCCTAGATTTCATTGTCCATATTATTATCAGCATCATGTTCAAAGCCATTCAACAAGTCTCTAGGGAGTTCCAAACTCTTCCACATTTTCCTGTCTTCTTCTGAGCCCTCCAAACTGTTTCAGCCTCTGCCTGTTACCCAATTCCAAAGTTGCCTCCACATTTTCAGGTATCTTTTCAGCAGCACCCACTCTACTGGTACCAATTTACTATATTAGTCTGTTTTCACACTGCTAATAAAGACATAGCCAAGACTGGGAAATTTACAAATGAAAGAGGTTTATTGGACTTAACAGTTCCACATGGCTGGGGATGCCTCACAATCATGGTGGAAAGCAAGGAGGACCAAGTCACATCTTACGTGAATGGTGGCAGGCAAAGAGAGAGCTTGTGCAGGCAAACTCTCATTTTTAAAACCATCAGATCTCATGAGATTTATTCACTATCACAAGAACAGCCAAGAAAAGATCCACCCCCATGATTCTATTACTTCCTACCAGATTCCTCCCAGGGACACATAGAAATTGTGGGAGTTGCAATTCAAGAGGAGATTTGGGTGGGGACACAGCCAAACCATATCACACACACACATATGTTTTAGGAAATTGTGCTTTTCACTGAAAATACAGTTTATAACTTTTATCAGATTCTTATCCATGTTGGTAACCTAATCAGACTAGGAACTGCTATGAATAGAATCATAGAACTTTACCTCCAGAAGGAACCAGAGAACCAAAGAGATGAAGAAGTCACACAGTACCAGCCATTAGTACAATTAACACAAGAGCCAGAGTAGAAAGTCTTGGAAAGCTGAAGCTGTTTGTATTTAAACAAACATAATCCTATTGATGGGCCTTCAATTTGAAATTTATATGTAACTTTGTATCTCCCAATAACTTTTCAATTTATGAGAATTGTCAAACTCCTTTACAGTCACTAGATGAAGAAAACTTATTGGCAGACACAGAAAAGATCTTCACCTTGTTAACTGATAGATTCAATGCCATCCCCATCAAGCTACCAATGACTGTCTTCACAGAATTGGAAAAAACTACTTTAAAGTTCATATGGAACCAAAAAAGAGCCCGCATTGCCAAATCAATCCTAAGCCAAAAGAACAAAGCTGGAGGCATTATGCTACCTCACTTCAAACTAGACTACAAGACTACAGTAACCAAAACACCATGGTACTGGTACCAAAACAGAGATATAGACCAATGGAACAGAACAGAGCCCTCAGAAATAATACCACACATCTACAACCATCTGATCTCTGACAAACCTGACAAAAACAGAAATGGGGAAAGGATTCCCTATTTAATAAATGGTGCTGGGAAAACTGGCTAGCCATATGTACAAAGCTGAAACTGGATCACTTCCTTACATCTTATACAAAAATTAATTCAAGATGGATTAAAGACTTAAATGTTAGACCTAAAACCATAAAAGCCCCAGAAGAAAACTAGGCAATACCATTCAAGACCTAGGCTTTACCATTCAGGACTCCATGACTAAAACACCAAAAGCAATGGCAACAAAAGCCAAAATAGACAAATAGGATCTAATTAAATTAAAGAGCTTCTGCAACTATCATCAGAGTGAACAGACAACCTACAGAATGGGAGAAAATTTTTGCAATCTACCCATCTGACAAAGGGCTAATATCCAGAATCTATAAAGAACTTAAACTAATTTACAAGAAGAAATGAAACAACCCCATCAACAAGTGGCCCAAGGATATGAACAGACACTTCTCAAAAGAAGACATTTATGCAGCCAACAGACACATGAAAAAATGTTCATCATCACTGGCCATCAGAGAAATGCAAATCAAAACCACAATGAGATACCATCTCACATCAGTTAGAATGGTGATCATTAAAAAGTCAGGAAACAACAGGTGCTGGAGAGGATGTGGAGAAATGGGAACACTTTTACACTGTTGGTGGGACTGTAAACTAGTTCAACCATTGTGGAAGACAGTGTGGTGATTCCTCAAGGATCTAGAACTAAAAATACCATTTGACCCAGCCATCCCATTACTGGGTATATACCCAAAGGATTATAAATCATGCTGCTATAAAGACACATGCACACATATGTTTATTGTGGCACTATTCACAATAGCAAAGACTTGAAACCAACCCAAATGTCCAGCAATGATAGACTGGATTAAGAAAATGTGGCACATATACACCATGGAATACTATGCAGCCATAAAAAATGACGAGTTCATGTCCTTTGTAGGGACATGGATGAAACTGGAAACCATCATTCTCAGCAAAGTATTGCAAGGACAAAAAACCAAACACCGCATGTTCTCACTCATAGGTGGGAATTGAACAATGAGAACACTTGGACACAGGGTGGGGAACATCACACACCGGGGCCTGTTGTGGGATGGGAGGGAGGGGGGAGGGATAGCATTAGGAGATATACCTAATGTAAATGACGAGTTAATGGGTGCAGCACACCAACATGGCACGTGTATACATATGTAACAAACCTGCACGTTGTGCACATGTACCCTAGAACTTAAAGTATAATAATAAAAAAAAGATCTTCACCTTATATGAAAAAAATTTAAAATAAATTTTAAAAACTGGATGTTGTAACTTGCCTGCAAGTTACTTCTCCTCTCGGGGCCACTTAGAAACGACAGCAACACTATTTCCACTCACTTCCAGTATTAAAGGTACAATTAGATCTCTAAATTAAAAAAAAATTATTTCTGGGGGCATATATGGTTCTATTGTGAAATAGTCTACGTTGAGTCAACGTTTGAGTTAATGAGCTTCATTAAAATGTGTTAGCAGATTCTTAAACATTTGCTTTGTAGAATTTCTTTCCTTTGCTTCCTTTTCTCCTTTTCTTTTTCCTTGCTTCCGTCCTATATTGAAGAAACGCACATAAACACTCGTGGAGGAAAGAATCACGTATCATGCATGGGTTTCTTTTGCTCCATCTGTACTACAATGACCACTTGTCACAATTCGACCTTTCATTTAAGAATTGGTTTTTTTTTTAATTTTTTTTTTGAGACGGAGTCTCGCTCTGTCGCCCAGGCTGGAGTGCAGTGGCGCGATCTCGGCTCACTGCAAGCTCCGCCTCCCGGGTTCACGCCATTCTCCTGCCTCAACCTCCCGAGTAGCTGGGACTACAGGCGCCCGCCACCGCGCCCGGCTAATTTTTTGTATTTTTAGTAGAGATGGCGTTTCACCGTGTTAGCCAGGATGGTCTCGATCTCCTGAACTCGTGATCCGCCCACCTCGGCTTCCCAAAGAGCTTGGATTACAGGCGTGAGCCACCGCGCCTGGCCAGAATTGTTTTACAAAGCTGAGAAAAAGATAATAATAGCTTAATATGAATAAGAGTAACAATGAGAAAAATGAAACTGGCCATCAAATATTTAAATATGTGTCTTTATTAATCTTTATTCAAGAAGCTTTCAGAATGCTTCAATTAACTTGTAAAATCCCATGAAGACCTATGAGTAGAAAAATACACCGTTCTTCATTTTATGTGTTAGCAAACCAAGGCAAAGAGAATGAAGGCTTCCTTAGGCATGCATTTTTAAGCAGTAACCAGGGGGTTACAAAGTCATCAACATAATAATAAGACAACTCAGACTTCTAGACCATGAATGAGGCAATACACTAGATAGTATGATTGTGTCAAGTAGATGTTAAATGAAATTGGTGGTCAATATTACCTAGTTAGTTAGTAATCATGGGCTGTGAATAATATATTGGAATAAAAGAGGCAAGGAGAAGGTGGTTGGTGGTGGGAGTGGGAAGTTATGACAGTTTTTTGGTGGCTTCAGAAGATATTTGATCTGAAGAGAGCAGAGAATTTAGAGGAAAAGTGAAGATCTGAAAATACATATTTGAATAAGTAACAGTAAGCTGTTTGTAGTTAAACTGTATCTTTCCTTTAAGCTGTTCGTATCTTTCCTTTCTAAGTGTCTGGATCGTGTATAATAGGAAGTATAAATTCCCTAAGTAGTTTGTTATTACTTGAAACATTACACTTAGGAGTTTAATTTGGGGAGAGCGGTTTATCAAAGCAGGATTTTAAGAAGACATGGCTGGTATTTCCATGAATAAACTTGACCTAGAGCACTGGTAGGGAGAATAAAAAGGTAGAAAAAAACTTACAAAAATATTACGAGAACACATGTAATACTGATACTCTTATTTGCCTTTCAACAATTTATGTCACACAATTGGCAGGAAATTGAGCCAGGTCCCAAACTCAAACGTTCTGACATCAAACAGTGGGCTCCTCCTACCTATACAGACTGTATTAAAAGGGAGGGTGGACATGAAGGTACACATTGATAAAAAGAGCATCAATTTATTTAGTAAAGGGGATAGCGATCAGAGCAAAGCTAAGGCCTAGAGATACACATTTCAGGGCAAGTTGGGAGAACTGAGTTTTCAGAGCTAATGTCAGTCTTTGCAATGAAGCAGGATTGTGTATTACTGAGGTAGAGAGAAGAGACAGGTCCAAGGCATCCTAGGTCTAGAACTTTTTCAAGTCTCTTAAGCTTGGTGCAATAGCAGAGAATATGGATGGGGAAGTGAAGTGGGGTATTTTTCCTAAAGTGGCATGACAATCACAGTCAAAGGTTGAGATAAGGAAGTCTACAATGTTGGTGACAGTTGCAATAAATGTCAAACTAAGGTTGCAAAGTCTGGAAGGGAAGCACAAAGAAGCCCCATGGATAGAGGGAAATGAAAGGAACAAGCACCTAGAAAGGTGAGAGAATGAAGAGCTTACAGGGGTGTACTGCCCTAGTGCATGAAGCTGCTGCCCAGACCAGTGTGGGGAGGACAGAGAAAGGCTTGGCTTGATGTGAGGCCTTTGATGAATGGCTTAGCCAAATGCTAAGGTGGTTGAAATGGGCTCCATGCTATTGCATCCACATCTGTATCATCGTTGACCTTGGAGGAGGAATCCTCTGGCACCATCGCTGAGCTCCAGGGGCGACTGTAACCCCCAGTCACCTAGTGCTGCCTCCTTTGCACCTGTGAGGCCAACAGCTGGTTGCTGGCATGGACTCTGTAACCGTTCTTCCTAGCTCTGAGTCACCTAACGCCATAGATGGATCTATATGCACTCCACAACCCAGGGAGCCGAGAGCTTCAAATAATTTTAAATCAAAAGTTTAGCCTCAGAGGGCATAAGGTTAACCAAAAGTCAGCTTTGCAAAGTCCATAAAACAGAATGAATAAAATAAAATGAGAAGCATGAACATAGCAGTCACTGGAAAGGGAATTTATGCTTCCTATTATACACGGTCCAGACACTTAGAAAGGAAAGATAAAGACCAAAACAAATTTTTTTTGAAAAAAGGCTTTCAAGAGATTACTTTAATGCATATTACTCTCTGTCAATAAAAGGCATGATCAGATATGCTGTAAAAATGGCTATGAATTTAGTCAGGATTATTCTCTTTCATTTTATTGGTGGCCGATATGCTAGGAAAAGATACTAAGAAAATATAAGCCTGCTTTGAAGCAAGTACATAAAAGACAACTTGGAATTTAGTAGCCATAACCCTTGGTCCTGATTCTAAGTGTCGCAACCTTGTGAAAAAGCAAGCATTTTTCAGTAAGGCTAAAGGGAAAATGACGGGGAGGCTCCAAATGGCATTTTTAATGTAAATTGTTAAGGCTCAGTGGAGATGATGAGCTTTTAAAAAAGAAAGAAAGAAAGAAATCACATTGACCAAGAATATATTTGGGAGTTCTCTCAGCAACAGTCATTTGAAATATGATCTATGAATGTTAAGGAAATGCACCGAGCCACAGTCGGCTACTACTAAGACCTTGCATCAGTGTCTGTCCAATTAACTTAATACATCTGATAATTATGCCCACACCATTAAAAGGTATTCGTTTTATGGGCTGTGGGTTGATAGGAAAGATTACTATTTTACCCATATCTGTAATGTCGACTGGAGAGCTGCCGCACTTAAGTTCCCTGCACTCACAGCTCATAAATTTGAGAACAAACTCTCTCCCACTCCCAGCCTTCCAACCCTCAGGCTGCACCAAGGAAGTATTTAAACTGGAAGAAAAAAAGCAGCTCACCAGCTGGAAGGGCTGCAGCAAGTCTAGGACACTGTGACGCAGAGTGCAGCCTTCAGAACGGAAGACCTGCAAGAGGACTCCAGTGCAACACATCTGCTCTTCCACTTCAATGAGACAAATGTCAGATTAGCTGCCGTCAGCAGCTTGCAGCAAACTCAGGGTGATCAAGGAAGGTGAGCTTTTCCTTTCTGATAAACTAC
This sequence comes from Homo sapiens, assembly GCF_000001405.40. Taxonomy (NCBI): domain Eukaryota; kingdom Metazoa; phylum Chordata; class Mammalia; order Primates; family Hominidae; genus Homo; species Homo sapiens. Next base: position 187,027,249 of record NC_000004.12, on the reverse strand, counting down.
ACACACACACACACACACACACACACACACATATACATGCACATGCATACATTTTGCTTTCCTTTTCTTTCCAATATAAAAAGGGAAAGACATTGAAAGAAAGGTGAACTCATTCTTGGGGACATGTTCACAAGCTTAAAAGAAAGTACAGATCAGAAAATGGCTAAAAATTGTGGGTTTTTTAAATGGAAAGTTTGATGGCTTTTACAGGAAGAAGCAAGATATATGATAAAGACATCAATTTTTTGTTTTTTTTCTTAAATTAGTTAATAAATATTTACTGATGTGATATAGTTTGGATGTTTGTCCCCTCCAAATCTCAGGTTGAACTGTGATCCCCCGTGTTGGAGGTGGGGCCTGGTGGGAGGTGTTTGGGTCACGGGGGCAGATCCCCTATGAAAGGCATGGTGCCCTCCCCACGGTAATGAGTGAATTCTCCCTCCATCAGTTCTGACAAGATCTGGTTGTTTAAAAGAGTCTGGCACCTCCTCATCTCTCTGGTTCTCTCTCTTGCTCCCCTTCACCTTCCACCATGAGTTAAAGCTTCCTGAGGCCTCACCAGAAGCTGAGCAGATGCTGGCACCATGCTTCCTGTATAACCTGCAAGACCTTGAGCCAAATAAACCTCTTTCCTTTGTAAATTGCCCAGGCTCAGGTACTCCTTTACAGCAATGCAAAACAGACTAGCACCTGATACATAATGGATGCACCGTTGTCTGGGGATATCATCACATACAAGTTGCACACCGTTTCTTCCCTCAAACTCACATTTTACAAGAGAACTCGATTCCAGTTGAATTCTCAGGTTTTCACAACCACAGAATAAGTTATCCCGTTCTATTCTCTCCACAAATAAATGAGAATTAGAATAGAGATGAATAGTTCAACACTGTTGCCTGCAAATTAGTTTCCACAAGGTGCGCTAGTGATCAAAGACAAGGTTCAGTCCCACAGATGAATCTAGAGCATATCATCAAGACGGACATGTTAAAAAGCACAGTGTGGCACATGCCACAGCAGAAGCACGGGGCACATGCAGAGACCAAGGAGTAAAGGACAAATTCTGTGTGCAGGGGCATTGAGAAGGGTTTGCCATGTGGAGATGCTGGAGCTGGTTACATAATGGTGGGAAGGGAAGGGGAATTCCAGATAAGGAAAGACCATTTTCACCCGGTGATACACAGAAGCCCCAGAGAGCGAGCATCGTCAAGATCTCTGCCTCCATCCCACAGAAAGAAAATTTCAAAAATGTGTAAAGTTGCAAGCATTTCAGCATTTCAGCAAATCAATTCTACTTACTTAAGCTCTGGACAGAATATCAGCCCTCATCTTGATATATGGTAGAACAACATTTTGTTTTCACTTCCATCCCATTTCCAAAAGAAAACACAGGAGAATTTAATCTAAAAAGGAGGGCACAGGATGTTAAATTTTCATTTGGTGTCTGAGAAGCAACAGTGCCATAAATGCACAAAGAGCTGGGTGAATTTGTTTATTTTCTGTAACAAAAGTCTAATGATAACTAGACTAAAAACAGTGTTTTCCTCCATTATATTCAAAAAAAGAAATATCATATATGTGCTATGTGTTTGTCAGTCTGTATTTGTCTTATGCAATTTAATGGGTATCAGTAAAAAATTCAAGATTTTCTGTTGAACAGTCTCATAAAGGCTTTCTTGTATCAAACATAACAAACCTAAGTGCCTTGTACGTCACGGCAGGTCAAACCAGTCCAGTGCCTAATATTTTCAAGGTTCTCAGCAAACTCCAAAATTCTAGAAATATGTCTAAGATGCTTAAGTGTAGCCCTATTTCTCAAAGTCTTTTCCAGACCAGTGAAAAAATGAAGAATGGCTCCATCATCATGTTGTGTAGAATGACTTTGCGTGTTCCATATCTCCATACCACAATTCTATAGTACAGGTGCATGGAAAGCATCTGCATTTGGGGGAGATGTTAATTTCCCTTTCTTCAGAACTATCCCAGCTTCTTTGATTCAAGTTGCTTTCTCAAATACTTGCTTTTCCTGAACTCCACTGAACCATGAAATATAGGATGTATTTATGATGTTTTGGAATTGTAAATAAATAGTATGTGAAACCATATGATCATGTTTGTTGTTGTTGTTGTTTTGAGACATAGTCTAGCTCTGTCACCAGGCTGGAGTGCAGTGGTGCAATCTCTGCTCACTGCAACCTCTGCCTCCCAGGTTCAAGCAATTGTCCTGCCTCAGCCTCCAGAGTAGCTGGGATTACAGGCGTAAGCCACCACACCCAGGTAATTTTTTTTTTTTTTTGTATTTTTAGTAGAGATAGGGTTTCACCATGTTGACCAGGATGGTCTCGATCTCCTGACCTCGTGATCCACCCACCTGAGCCTCCCAAAGTGCTGGGATTACAGGCATAAGCCGCCATACCCAGCTAATTTTTTTTTTTTTTGTATTTTTAGTAGAGATGGGGTTTCACCATGTTGACCAGGATGGTCTCGATCTCCTCACCTCGCGATCCACCCACCTCAGCCTCCCAAAGTGCTGGGATTACAGGCATAAGCCACCACACCCAGCCATGACTATGTTTTTTATTGAAATTTTTAATTCTGTCTTTAAAACCATGACTGAATTAATACCCTTGAACAGTTAAACATTTGTTTTGCTTCCCCTATCCCACAATGGGGATACGTTGTCTGATTATCTGGCAAAGTAGTGCACCAGCACCTCAAACTCCATGACAACACAACAAATGTCATCAACTCTTTAGCCAAATAGTATGAGTTCCGTGATTGCAGATTGCATCAGATAGTCAGTGGGCAGCCGATAAATTTGCCAAAAGCGTGATACAGGGACTGTTTATAAGGTGAGGGATTATAGGAAAGTGCGGAGGGGTCAGAGCAGCATTTTGGAGATGGGGACAGTGAGGTGCAATTAGTACTCCTCGGCCTGTGGGAGTAACAGGAGGAAGCAGTTGCCAGAACATCAGGGAAAGGGAGAGAGATGCAGGCAGGTACCGCCTGCTTACTGCCTCCTTCAGTCTCCAGGTGGTGCTCCCTGTTGGTTGGACCTAACTCAAAGTCTGAAAGCAAGGGAGGTGCATTGATGTGGAGCCTATAGGTCAACCTCCAGAGCACACAGCAGAGTGGAGAAGGGTGGAGTGGGTATCTGGAAGGCAAAAGGAAGATGTCCTGCCTAGCCATAGACCTAGAATTTAGGACTTGAAGTTTCACCTCCTGACCCTGAACATTCCAACAATGAATGGATCATGAACTCAAATTTTCCAAGCTTGGATCTGGTCATGTGCTCATCCTTTTCTAGAATTCATTCATTCTTTCTTATTGTTGGAAAGCATTGCCCCAGCAAAGCAGTAAAAAGTAAGTAAAGTGAACTAGATGCAAATATCCAAGCACCTAAATCATATCTGAAGAGTGATTTTGGCAGTAAGAGGAAAATATGGCTCCTGGGTTGTGTACTTCCATGTGCTCCTCTTGTAAACAAAGCATGGAATCCATCAATAGCTGTGATACGTTTGAATATATTCAATAAAGAGAAAGCAGATTTACGAATTCATACATTCCATAGTCAAACCTTAAGGAGACTATGCTAAACTGACTGTGTCAGGCTTGATGTCACGCATCTTCAGATTGACCAAATGCAAGAAGCATTACCATACAGCAAGAACTTTACTTCAGTCATAGCTATGTATTTGGTTCTATTTTTGGTTATGACATTTCTTCTAAAACTAACTCTTTCATATCCACAAAACGTGGGATCCAATATGCAATGGAGAGTTACTTATGCTTCTTGCTGTATAGCCAAGACATCTTAATAAGAAAGAAAACTTAATAAATAATCAAGTTTCTTTAGATATAGCCTATACTTGAGATAAACTGAGATCTTTCTAATGTGCTCCTTACTGAATTGAAGTCTTTTAAAAACTAGTTGAAAATAAAATTTTTTAAACTTCATTTGCAAAGTAGTTTTCTAATGGATTTGGTCCTATCATTAAGATCACCTCACTTAACGACTTTAAGCCAGTCATACATATATATTTTTCCACCAAAAAAGTAAATTTCACCTGGTTTTTTGTGTAAATTCCTGTCCACAGGAACATCTTGAAGTCTGGTCTCTGTAGGTCTGTGGCAAAATAAGCTGGGAGCAACCGGGAAATGCACACTGTGTGCTGGCTCTCGAAACACATCAACAGCAAAATATTGAATTATCACATTGCCTGTTTTGGGAATAAGTTTCACTAGTCAACTTAGATCCAGCATTAGTAATTTGTGAAACTTGGCTCTTATCCAAGTGAGCAGATATATTTCATAGAAACGGCTATTTACAAGGTTGCTGAGTTCAGGTGAAATCAGCTATTTCTATCTAAACCCCAAAAAGGGATGGCCTTTTGTCTATGTTCTGAAGTACGACTTGAGATTATAAACAATTCTGCAGGCTAGTGAGAATAAACCGTATTATTTTAAACTTAGACATGATCCTGTCATTACCAGGGGTTTCTAAATGTTCTGAGTTTTTATTCTAAGGGCCATTGATGCATTTAGAAACTTAGTTTTTAAATTTGAAAGACATAATTAATGTGGTGGATTTTCAGAATTAAATCAGATTCCAAGGTACCATAGTTCTTAGAAGCTTTTTTGAACTTGACAGGTATCTTGATTAGAATTACTTATTGTTTTTGTGATTTTATTTCCCACATTTGCACATATCATAAACTAATTTGTAATTTCATTAGCTACCACATTCATCTCTAGATTATCTGCTTTTACAAGCAGATACATTTTTATATACTTCAATGATCCAGCACACTGCCTTGCATCTAATAGAAACACATTAAATTACTTTGTCAATTCAATCAACAATTTAATGTGAATTATTTGGCTGTAGTTATCTCTCATTTTCTGAAATACCTGTAATTTTTAAAAAAATTGTTTTTAAAGTATTTCTATAAAACACCACTTTTCTCCATTGCAAAAGTCAAGACTTTCTTGTGAGGTAAAGTCTACAATTGATTTTGTTGAACATTTTTAGACACACCAACTCATAGCATCCCGCACGCTACATTCCAAATGCTTCTGCATCCATTTAACATTTGTGACATGAACCATACTATCGTCTCTAAGAAGCCTTTCTTGTCTATGAAATCTTCTTTCATTTCGAGTGAGAGGGTTGGAATAATATTTATAAAGTTTGTCATATTATGGAGTGTTTTAACGCTTACTGATTATGTTATATATTAACTATTTTCTTGCAGTGAAGTCATAAGTCCCTGTACAGAGGAGGTGAAATGCCACATTCTTCCAGGAGGCCCATCTGTATCCAGGTAAATTCCCAGCAAAAATGGCACTGAATAATTACTTACCAGCTGACATATTAGTACTGTCTACCTTGTTCATCCTACCTTCCTCCAAATGAATGAAATATTTTTATATTTGAAAATATGTACAACTCCTAGATATCACCTTGACTTCCTATTGTTTGGTCTAGCCTAGGTTAGAGAAGCAGTTTCAGCTCACTTAATAATTCCTGCCCACTGGCTTTGCTGCCCACAGAGCTGTGTTGAGTAGGGTTGTAAAGCTACACCAAGGCTCAGCAGGAAAATCATCACACTCAATTAGAAGTATCTGACAAGAAGAGGCATGCCTATGGAGACTTGCATGATCTGGCTTGGGTCATTCACAACACATAAAGGAGATGGTTGGTGGCATTCTATAGGTAGAGTCCACCATGTAACATCCGATCTATTCCAACTTATTCATTTCTATTGTCCAAAATCCAAGTGAAATACATAAAAAGTCCCTTGGGGTTTAGATGAGCCCTAAATTTAATCTTAGGCACATGAAAAATCAATTTTTTTTTTTTTGAGACAGAGTCTCACTCTATTGACCAGGCTAGAGTGCAGTGGCACGATCTAGGCTCACTGCAACCTCCGCCTCCCTGGTTCAAGCAATTCTCCTGTCTCAGCCTTCCAAGTAGCTGGGATTACAGGTGCCTGCCACCATGCCCGGCTAATTTTTGTATTTTTAGTAGAGATGGGGTTTCACCATGTTGGCCAGGCTGGTCTAGAACTCCTGACCTCAAGTGATCCACCCACCTCGGCCTCTCAAACTGCTGGGATGAGCTACCATGTCTGGCCTGAAAAACATGATTTTATCTGGTCCTTTTCAAGATGTGACTACTTAACACATTTTAAAAGACAAGAAAAAGCATTTCTCAAGTCCAAAGGTTAAAAGGCTTTTAAAAAGGAAACATACATAACTTTCCCAAGCTGACTTTTCGTCTTCAGAGTAATTTTTGTTTTTTTGTCTTTTCTGTCATGAGCTAGATACATCAAGAAACCTTGGAGTGGTTAGAGGGGCAACAGAATGGAACAATTCTATCCTACTGGAATTCCTGTTTCAAAATTATAACAAGGTCAATGTGATGGAACATCCTAGCTCAGATTCAGTTAGGGCAATGACCAAGAAGATGCTTCACTGAACCACAGAGAAAGCGGCAGAATTAGACATTTACTTTACCTCCCACTGCAAATTGTTAAATACTTTCAAAATTTAACTGGGCATTAAATGCATGTATAATTAACTTTAAAATATTCCTTGTTTCAAAATATTCCCATAACCAGCCAAATGGGAAGCATATGTGTTGTTTTAATCACAACTGTTCTACTGGAGGCCGAAGGCATTGAAACTTAAAAAATCTCAGCAAGTTTATTTAATATAACATAATAATATTAAAAATAATCCTTTGTATTTTCATCTGCACATGTCAACGAATTTTGGAAACATCAATTCCGTAATCTTCACCAATGCATTCAATTTAGATGACGATAAATCCACTCCAAAGCGAACTCTTTTCCACATTGTATGTTTTCCTTCATGATAGAAAAGAGGCTGCCTTTTGCCCCTCAATTTCAAATATTGACAGCCTAGACCTTTCACTTCTTATTGGAAAGGTAAGCCATAGGTCTTAAAGAAAGAAGTTTGTGACTTTCAGTTACAGGAGATTCACTAGAGAAATAGAAAATGACAGCAAGCCGTTTCCTGTGTTTTGTTCCTTAAGAAAACACTGAATCTGATGCTGTGATAAGAGATACTGACAACACAAATGAGCTCAAACCCCAGCAGGCTTCCTCTCTGGGCTAACAGTCCTGCTGGGAGGCGCGTGCTTTTCTGCAACGAGCCGTGTGCACTTGCAGAGCCTCAGCCCTGGCCTCCTTCTCATGGTTGCCTTCTCACTTGTGTGTGCATAGCAGATTTCCCAGGGAAATCTACAGTTCATACAAAATCAGCGAATTAAATCCAGCAGCTGCTGGCCCTCGTGGGTCAGTCTGCTGAGAGCCATACCCAAACCGACCAGGACTCACTCTCCGCAGTGTGCTCTCGCTTGGTCTTCCCCACATCAGAGGCTGGTCCAGATGAACCGTACCACCTGAAATGTTGTAACATTAGAGAAAACAAATTGAGATAACTCAGGCTGAATCACCGTTATCCAATGAACAGCTTACTGAAAGTTATATACGATGCACATTTGCATAGATACATTCACCTACCAACAATTTAAAAGAATCAGAGACAATTAGCATTGTTATTTGCATTTTTCCAAAAAGCTCTCTTCTAGGCCAGGCGTGGTGGCTCACGCCTGTAATCCCAGCACTTTGGGAGGCCAAGGCAGGCGGATCACCTGAGGTCAGGAGTTAGAGACCAGCCTGGCCAACATGGTGAAACCCCATCTCTACTGAAAATACAAAAATTAGCCAGGCGTGGTGGCACGTGCCTGTAGTCCTAGCTACTTGGGAGGGTGAGGCACGAGAATTGCTTGAACCCGGGAGGCAGAGATTGCAGTGAGCCGAGATCGTGCCACTGCACTTCAGCCTGGGTGACAGAGGAAGATTCTGTCCCAAAAAATAAATAAATAAATAAAAGCTCTCTTCTAAATCCTTGGTCAGTAGCAGTCTACAAGATAACTTGGCTTGGATTTAGATTCATTTTTTTTAAATTGTTGTTTCATCTAATTTCTCAGCATTTGTTGCTTTTCTGCTCCCTACCATCCCAGGTAACCCCATAATTGCTTGCTTCCCATCCCAGGATAATTTAATAACAGGCAGCTTTATATCAGCCAGTCCCTTCCCTGCATTGTGCTCTGGAAGATTATTGCAGAGAGTTTTCAACCCACCTAAACTTTTAAAAAAATACTCAGACATCTTACTCAATTACTTGCCAATAGCTCATGACTAATTTCTTTCTAATAGCAATACTGAGATCTGTTCAGTCGCTGGGAGAGTAAAGGGCACAGTTTTTCTCCAATGCCGTCTGCAAAGTGTCTTCTCTACCGGCAAGGTATTGCAGTACTCTAGACTTTGAAGGATGGGAACAACTGTCAGGGTTACCTGAAATAATCTCCCCAACTTCTTAGAAAAACTTTTACATCCACAATAGCACTTACAAAATCCTCTTGAACCATCAATCAAACTTAAATAGATATACCTTCTGCTTCCTTGATCCATTTCATATTACTAGGGTGGAATACATTGTCACATGATTTCTCTTCCTACGCATTGCTTTCCATTGAAACAGTGGCTTTGCAAAACAAATTTAGATTTGCACATCAATCTATTTCAAAGTTAATGTTTAAGATGTGCTTTTTACTTTTAACACAAAAATATTGACCACTTTATGTATTTGATGTGACATTGATTTTTGCATTAATGCTTTATCAGAAGTGTTCAGTGCCTACTGTATTGCCAACTCCAACTTTCTTTGTTAAACAGAAGAAATTAAGCAATTAAATTGTTGTTCTGTTTTCATAGTGGAATTAAAAATGTATATCTGTTTTCTTTTTTTTGCATTTCTAAAGTTTTATTTTACCAACAGAACTTTTGCAATAATAAAAGAACTCAAAAATTATTTTTAAATAAAATAACACATCTGATATGGGCAGTTTATATACTCCAGGCCAGAATTGGAGGAGAGTCTTCTGGGGAATCTTAGAAAGGAGAATAAAATCTAAGACTAATGAAGTTGGGGATCTTCAAAGAAGGAACCTAGTCGCAGCATCCTGCAGTCCTCTGCTTACCTGGGCAGGAAAGATATTGCACCCTGCAAAAAAAGCAAGATGCTATCAAATGGAACGGTAGGAGAATTTGAGAGTAGATTAGCGATAAGAACATACAAATCTAAACCAAGAACAGAAGCAAACAGTTACTAGTTCAAGTGGGTTTTTTAAAGAGTGTAGAAAAGGATGAGAAAATCATACATATGACCTGGCTCAGGTGTTAACAATGTTTACGCCGTCCTAATACAGTATATTCAAATACCCAGGGTGGGCCAAGGGTGGGCCAACCAAAATCACTTACTCTTACTTTATGTTGGGATGAGGAATTAAGAGGGATGGAGGGGAAAGCGGTTACAAAGAGAGTCAAATTCTCAGCTCTCATTTTGGGAAGTCAGTAGTTAACACATAAAACCAAAAAAGTCAAGAAGTACTGAAAAAACTGTTAAAAATTAAGAAGTAGCAAAATAAACCTGTTAATTAGAGGCATGGTAATAAATAACTAGAAAAAAAATTAGCTAAGAGTTAAAAGGGGGTTGTTCCCAGCAAAAGGAAAGCAGGTAGGGCAGTCAGGAGCTGATGCTTTTTGTAACAAGCCTTATAGAATTATTTACTTCTTAAAAGTGTGTACATAGGTAAGTTTAAGTAAAATAAAACCAAACTAGGACCTATTACATATATAATAGTATAACTCAAGAATTGTTAAAACTATAAATGACAAATTTAGTGTATTCTGTTCATGACAGGAATATTGCTACAAGCATTAGATTCAACTACCAATTCATATGACTCCGGCTTATATGGCTATACCTTAGACTCTTGGAAGGGATCAGGTTTCAACATCCCCTCCCCCGTTAAGGACACTGAACAGGGAAAAAGACAGGGATTTGCTGACACACTATTTCAACAGCATCAACATAAACAGCGTCACATTGTTGAGCTCTCCCTAAAAAAAGATATGCAATTATTTGTCCATCTGACTAAATTCCCCAACTACAAATGAGATGAATGGTAGCATAAGAGAAACAGCTCTGAACTTGGAATGTAATCCTGGGATGATTAATCCCAGTCAACCCAAATCACTCCATCTATAATAGAACCTCTCTAGAACTCTAGCCCCTGTACTCTGTTTTTCTTTTTCAGCACTTGTTATTTATTTTACATATTTTTTCTTTATTTGTCATTGATATCTCCTCATTAGAACTTCATGAAGATAAGTACTTGTTTTGTTTTGTTCTAATTTTTTAATTTCAACTTTTATTCTAGTTATAGGGGGTACACATGCAGGTTTGTTACATGGGTATATTGCACCCAGGTAGTGAGCATAGTGCCCAATAGGTGGTTTTTCAAGCCATGACTTGCTCCTTCCCTCTCCCCTCTAATAGTCTCTGGTGTCTATTTTTCTTATGTTTATGTCCATGTGTGCTCAGTGTTTAGCTCCCACTTATAAGTGAGAACATGTGGTATTTGGTTGTCTGTTCCTATGTTAATTTACTTAGGGTTGTGGCCTGCAGCTGCACCGTGTTGCTACAAAGGACATGACTTCATTCTTTTTTTATGGCTGCGTAGTTTTCTACGGTGGATATGTACCATATTTTCTTTATCCTGTTCACCAGGGATGAGAACCTAGGTTGATTTTATGTCTTTGCTATTGCAAATAGTGTGGCAATAAATATACAAGTGTATGTGTCTCTTTGGTATATTTATCTATTTTCCAATGGGGATATACCCAGTAATGGGATGGCTGGGTCGTATGGTAGTTCTGTTTTAAGTTCTTTGAGAAATCTCCAAATGGATTTCTTTGACAGTAGTTGAACTAATTTACATTCCTGCCAACAGTACATAAGCATTCCCTTTTCTCTGTAGCCTCGCCAGCATCTGTTATTTTTTGACCTTTTAATAATAGCCATTCTGACTGATACGAGATGGTATCTCATTGTGGTTTTAATTTGCATTTCTCTGATCATCAGTGATAGTGAGGATTTTTTTATATGTTTCTTGGCCACTTGTATGTCTTCTTTTGAGAAATGCCTTTTCATTTCCTTTGCTTAATTGGGTTGTTTTTTGCTTGTTGATTTGTTGAAGTTCCTTATAGATTCCAGATACTAGACCTTTGTTAGCTGCATAGTTTGTAGGATGTCTGTTTACTCTGTTGATAGTTTCTTTGGCTGTGCAGAAGCTCTTTCGTTTAATTAGCTCCCACTTGTCAATTTTTGTTTTTGTTGCAATTGCTTTTGGGGACTAAGCCAAAAATACCTTGCCAAGGCCAATGTCAAGAAAGGTATTTCCCAGGTTTTCTCCTAGGATTTTTATAGTGTGAGGTCTTACATTTAAATCTTCACTCCATCTTTTTGTATTGGTAAAAGGCAAGGGACTAGTTTCATTCTTTTGCATATGGCTAGCCAGTTGTCTCATCACCATTTATTGAATATAAAGCCCTTTCCCCATTGCTTATTTTTGTTGGCCTTGTTGAAGATCAGATGGCTGTAGGTGTGTGGCTTTATTTCTGAGTTTTTTATCCTGTTCCCTTAGTCTATGTGTCTGTTTTTGTACCAGTATCATGCTGTTTTGGTTACTGTAGCCTTATAGTATAGTTTTAAGTCAGGTAGTATAATGTCTCTGGCTTTGTTCTTTTTACTTAGGATTTCTCTGACTATTCAACTCTTTTGGCTGCATATGAATTTTAGAATGGTTTTTTCTAATTCTGTGGAGAACAACATTGATCATTTGATAGGAATAGTGTTGAATCTGTAAATTGCTTTGAGTAGTACGGTCATTTAACAACATTGATTCTTCCAGTTCATGAGCATGAAATGTTTTTCCATTTATTTGCATCATCTCTGATTTCTTTCAGCAGTGTTTTGTAGTTCTCCCTGCAGAGATGTTTCACCTCCTTGGTTAGCTATATTCCTAGATATTTCATTTTCTTTGTGGCTATTGTAAATAGGATTGGATTCTTGATTTGACGCTCAGCCTGGCTGTTATCGGTGTATAGAAATGCTACTGATTTTTATATATTGATTTTGTATCCCAAAACCTTGCTAAAATCATTTATCAGTTCTAGTAGCATTTGGCAGAGCCTGTAGGGTTTTCTAAGAAGACAATCATGTCATGAATAAAGGGAGATAGTTTGATTTCTTCTCTTCTTATTTGGAGGCCTCTTATTTCTTTCTCTTGCCAAACTGCTCTGGCTAGCACTTCCTGCTCTATTTTATTCCAAGCTCCCTCTCTGCTGCATCTAGCACAGAGTAGAGGCTCAGTAAACATTTGTTAAATGCATGAATTCATTTGCCCCACTTGTAATCACCATGGCAACACCATCTTAGTTCCAGCTGCTATAACAAATTACCATAGACTTGGGAGGTTAAACAACATTTATTTTTCACAGTCCTTGAGGCTGGGAAGTCCAAGATCAAGGTGCTGGCAGATCCCACGTCTGATAAGAGCCTGCTTTCTGGTTTACAGGTGACTGGCTGTCTTCTCACTGTGTTCTCATGGGAAAGAGAACAGAGGAAGCAAGTTCTCATGTCTCTTCTTATACGGGCACGAATTCCATTCATGAGGTCTCCACTCTCATGACCTAAACCTACTAAGACCCCATCTCCTAATACCATTAATTTTAGGGTTAGGATTTCAACATATGAATTTTGGGGGTACATAGGCATTCAGTCCATAACATGTACTCACTGTGATTTTGTCGAGGGAATGGCTTTCCCATGGACTATCAGAGATGGGGCTGTTATTTCTAAGGGGATCTGCTACAGTTTCCATAATAATGGGGGAACATAACACACAGAATAACTTAAAATGACTGCACAGTCCCAGCACCACCACTCTCCTTCCCCTGTCTGCATAGCTCCTCAACTACCTCCAAGCCACTCCATGGTGTACGTCCCTTCCTTGGCTCCCAAATTCCAATGAGCAAAGGCTCAAAACACTTCCTACACAGACAACCCACATATAAACCTTCCAAGGACAAGCAATAATTAAAATACTCATGGCAGTATAAATTTAGATTTTGAAAACAAGCAGTTCTCCAAAGGAAACAAAACCTGCAGGGACAGCCTTTAACAATAGTAGAGCAGGACGGTGTAGTCCTCTGGGGCCATAACTTCAGACTTCTCCATTCTAGACCAGAATCTCTCTACATATAACTATGGAATGATTTTTCAGGACAAGAGGAATATATCCCTCAAAGATACACACACACACACACACACACACACACTCTCTCTCTCTCTCTCTCTCTCTCTCTCTCTTTCTCTTTCTCTCTCTCTCTCTATTGGTTCCGTTTCTCTGGAGAACCCTGATTAACAGACTTCTCTTAGAAACCAAAAGCATTTCTTATAATTTTTAATGAACAGTTTTTCAGTTTCTCCTAACAATAACTTCTAGTTCTAGACCAAACCAATGTCACCTTGTTACATTAATATAAACAGCTGCCAACTAAATCTGATATTCCAATAATCATTCATGTTTTGGAGCCACAGACTGCAAAGAAACAAGCTTATTTATAAAGGGGCCTAAGGATAAGGAAAGAGACTCGGGAAAGAAAAATAACCAGGGGGATTTTTGTAAATAGTTTAAGCCATCCACTTCAAACTAGGTAGCAAGATTAGTTGCCTTTTCTGGAGAGAAGACTCTCATATTGATCATGTAACAAAAAATACGATGTACTGAAAGAAGTCATGCCAAACAACATTATGGAACATATTGATAAATGTGTGTCTCCTAGCAATTTCACATTGTAAAATGAGATTGAAATACGCAAGAAATGGGATTAATAGCCCCGCTTGAGACGTGGCATCTTGAAAAATGGCTGATGACCATGTCAAGTGTGACTGCAATTCTCAAGAAGCTGCTTGCCATAGAAAACCCTTGTGATTTGTTATGAACTATGGCTTGCGAATGGAACTGGGCCCTTTTATTGTCATTTGCATTTCATTACCAGATATTATAGATTGGAAGAACTGTTTAGGAATCTCACGTGGGAGATGTTCTAGGACTTTGCATGTTAACTGCAAAACATTTATGAGCCCGTTCTTCCTTGATGATACCTAGGTAATAAACTAAAATGACTACTTGTACCAGAGTGATACAAATTATTTATCCTTGACTTCCAGCTCCTTAAGAGGCTCTACTTTTTTTTTTGTGGTCTGGGAAAATAAAGATGATGCCTCTGTCACAGAAGTATAGTGTATCTAAGCCACCCAGTGCTATGCCCAGCACTTGATATGCATTCAACACATGGTACCTATTATCATTACGAGTATCTATCTAGGAGCTCTGCCAGTGATGATGCTTAAAAGACTATGCATCTTGCCTAATGTTAGAGCCATGGTTTGCGCCTGTCCTTGACATTAGAGTGACACTTAATTCTGCAAATGGCGAGTTCTTCTGTGCTAGTCACAAATCTTTGCTTATCTTTCTTCATCCTGGCGTCTCTTCCCAGCCTCAGGTCTTCCTGTTCTCCTCTATTCCAACAAAGCTGGGCTTTGCACTAACTACCCAACACGCTTTCTCACTGCTGTTTCCACCTGTCTCGCTGTCGTAGATGTCCAGCCAAGTGTCCTACACCCTATATAATTCCCTGTCAAGAGCCTGCCCTTTCTTCACGCTCCATAGAAAATGCTCCTTCATGAAGCCACCTCCTTTTCCAGTGTGCTCCTTTCTTCTATTAAATCCCTGCAAGCATCTCTTACGAGGCTATGCTTTTTCACTAAAGGATATTACTGTCGTACATCATAAGTTCCTTGAAGATGGGTTTTGTCCCATAATCTTGGATTCTTCACTATTGTTTTACCTTATTTTTTTGGTATACAAAGTGCTCAAATACTAGTTAACTTGAAAGGCAACTTCTAAAGTAAAATAATATTTTAATATATTCTGTAGTGATGATGATATTGATTATATCATCTACCTTGGACTTGAGTTCATAGCATCTGGTGCACAGTTTGTGGTTATTAATGTTAAATAAGAATCACGACTGTCTCTAAGCATGGATCTCACTCATTGGGGCTGGTAACTGTACTTGGAATATTTTACTTATGATCCTCCAGTGTATATATTTTCTTTCTTTAACAAAATAAAGGGATTTCTTTAAGTTTTGCTTTTAAAGTTCAACTTTCTATCACTGCTATCTGTGAACTCCAAGTATGTTAAATCATATTTGGTTCCTGGTTTTCCTACATTTATTACCTGTCCTCTCCCACTGTCATAAGGTAAAAATCAATTGATTATATCATTGGAAAAATTCACCATGGGTGACAAGAGAAAAGGAAAAAGAATTTAGACAGTACAATTTTCCTGGTTGACTCAGCTTCAGGTAGGGAATCCACTGCAATTATACTCAATAACTTAGAAAATTTGATGGCTTGAAGTCCTCATACTTTTCTTCAGTCTGTGAGTCACTTAACTCAAAAAATGTCTCTGAGTTTGACATCTAACAAAACCATGGAAACAATACTAACAGTGCTTCCTCCAGCCTCCCCGTAGAGAAGTATGGTGTTTTCAGAAGGAGTATGCATAAACAAAGCCACCTGGTTTATAGAACTATCCCCATAGAGTGATTCCCTTTCCATTCTCATTCAACTCTTCTCAGTTCTTCTGAATTCTTCAAGGAAGATGTCTCCACTTGGGAATACTACCATTTTTAATAAACTCTCTGACATGTGCTAAGGTTCAATTGAAAAAAAAAAGAGAGAGAGAAGGCTTCAGGTACAGAAGCTTCAGTAAGTCAACAGTACACAGGAAGAATTTAAGATTGTTTTATTTTCATTGAACTTATCTTTATAATTACAGTCTATATATAATGAATTGGGTTTTCTATTTAAATTTCTTCTAACAAACATTTGTTTAAATCTAAGCAGTGAATCAATTAAAAGGAAACATTGGGTACATAGAGAAAAGAGGTGTAAGACAAAAATCGTGGCTCTGACTCTCTATGGCCATTAATATGACCAGAGTCTGGAGGAGACTGTCCCGGAGGCTGTGCCACATTTTATCTGGAGAAAGCTTAGAGAAGAAGAGGAAAGGTTTAGCATGGATTCAGAAAATATTGAATATGCTCCTAAAAACAAATAATTATTCAATCTTCTCTACATGGGCTTCTTATTTTCTAAAGCTTTTATAATTTTCTTCTTCATTGCTACGTATACTTATTTCAAGTCTCAACTAAATCTAGACTCACAGCAAAGAAATTTAAAAATACTGTCCAACTCACCCTAAATTCCCTCATGTCAGTTGCATCATTTTGTATATATTTCCTTTTTTCTACACTAGATTATAAACCCCCTGGGAGTAGAGGCCATGTATTCTACTTAGAAAATGTCTGAGAGTAATGCCTGCATTTGTAGATGCTGTTTAATTTCAGCAGTGGCTGTACGTGTATTTTTAGCAATTCAAGTTAAATAAGATCCAAGTGATAGAAGTCCATTCAACTTTACCTTTTACAACAGGTGGTGAAAGACCTGGAGAACTGAGTTTAGTTGAAAAGATACTCACAAGTCTCATCTTGAACGCATGTCATGACATTTAGAAGCTAGAAGGGGCTTCAGAAATACACTCGTCAAACTCAATTCAAGAAAACTGAAATCTAGGTACATTAAGGTCACAGATGTAAGCATTCATAGTTCTTAGAATGAGTCTAAACTTCAGAACTGGAATGGAAAGTAATTCCCAGTTCATGCTGCTTCTTCATTGTAAGATTAGTTATTCAATAAATATTTATTGCACACTTGCTGCGTAGATGCCAGGCGTTCAAAGTGATTATGTGAACTCTGCCTATAAGCTGCTTAAACTCCAGAAGCTAATATATGTTATTATTAGGTAACACTGTGAATAGAATGCTCAAAAGACCTTTAGAGTTGTTTCAATAATAGAAAGTCATATAAAATGTCAGAGTGAGTCAAGCCTTCTAATATGAATCCCTTATCTTGAGAAAAGCTGGTATGATTCACATAGACGCTGCCTAAAAACTTTTTCTTGTGAAAGGTCTGCCAATAGCCCAAGCACTAAGCCAATTCAGAGTGTTTACCTTTCTGAAATTTCAAGCAGGCAAAATAGCGCTTTTTGTATGGTATACTTATTTCAAGAGGTAGAAAAATCACCAACTCCCTGCCTCTGAAGGTCTGTACTTAACTGTGTATTTAATGCTGACAGGAGCCATCTAAACATTAACATCATTTCTACTGAAAAACAAATTGGAATTTAATTCTGTTATTTTCATGACTGTTCATCATCATTCCCCATTCCTCAAAAACTTGTCAGACATTGTTTTGGATCTCTCTTCCCAAATATTCTCTGATCTATACTTTCTGGAACTAATATTCATGATGATAATGTCACTACTGGTATCTAGGTCATTTATATGTGATGTATAAACCATGGCTTACTATTTTTAAATCTAGTTAGTTGTATATCTGAATGATCGACTAATAGATATGTGTGTGTGTCTATGTATATAAAATAAAAAATCTTAACCAAACAGAAGTTGTGCAAAGCTTTTTAAACCATTAACCTGATGTTGTGGAAAAAACAATGAGTCTAAGAGAGAAAATAAAGTTGTAAAATTATTTGGAGATATTCCTCTATTTCTAGTTGAAACAAATTTCCAACTAAGAGTAACTGAGATTATTTTTATATGGGTAAAGTAAAATGGAGAATTAAGATAATAGTCTGAATACATTAGAATACCAACCCATGTCTCAATCATATTCCTATTTATTTGGGTAATTGTCTCCATTTTTCAACATATTTTATTCTTTACTGATACATAATACTTACACATATTGATGGGGTACATATTTTGATACATGCACGGAGTGTGTAATGATCAGGTCAGGGTATTTAGGATGTCCATCACCTCAAACACTTATCATTTCTTTCTGTCAGTAACATTTCAAATCTTCTCTTCTAGCTATTTTGAAAAATACAATATATTGTTCAATATATTCACCCTACCATGCTATCAAACACAAGAACATATTGAGCAACATTTTGTATAGGTGTAGACTTTACTTAACAGAAGTTAACTTTTGCCCCATCTTGAAATAATATAAAAACAATGTTATATCCCTTCACTATCTATTAAGTAGATAATTTTGGAAGTGGTATTAGTCATTGTTTGGGCAGATATGTTTTGAACTTATAATTTTTTGTTATTGCCAAATTTAAAACATTTCCATTTGAATTCTGATACTTTAGGTTTAACTGTCCATAGTTACCATTTTTAAAAAGTAAAGTACTAAAGATGGTTTCACCCTAAATACTATGAAGCATTTAAAAAAGAAGTAACACCAATCTTTCTTAAACTCTTCCAGAAAATTAGAAAAGAAAATAACACCTCTTAAATCAAGCTATGAGGCCAGAATTACCCTGACACCAAAGCCAAAGGCAGCACATAAGAAAAGAAAACTATAGATAGATATCCCTACTAAATATAAATGCAAAAATCTGCAACAAAAGACTAGCAAACCAAATGAAGTAGCATGTTAAAAGAATTATACATCATGATCAGTTGGGATTTATCCCAAGAATGCAAGGGTGGTTCAACATATACAACGAATATAATACACCACATTAATAGAATGAAGGAGGGAACACAAAATCATCTCAAGTGAAGCTGAAACAACATTTGAAAATATACAACATGCTTTCATGGTAAAAACACATGATAAACCAGGAAGAAAATGGAACATCCTCAACATAATAAAGTATATTTATGAAAAACCCATGGCTAAAATATACTCAACGGTGAAAGACTGAAAGCATTCCCTCCAAGATCAGTAATAAGACAAGGATGCTACTTTCACCACTTTTATCCAGCATTATACAGGAAGTTCAAGCAAGGGCAATTAGCCAAGAAAAAGAAATAAAGGGTATTTTAATTGAAAAGGAAGAAGTAAAACTATCTGTATTTACAGAAGACATAATCTTGTATGTAGAAAATTCTCTCTCTCTATGTATATATATAAATATAATATGTATATAGATAGATAGATAGATATATTTAAAGCACCACAGTTCAACAACAAACAGACAAACAATGCAATTTAAAGATTGGAAAAGGAAGTGAGCAGACATTTATCCTAAGAAGGTACACAAATGGTCAACAAGCACATGAAAAGATGTTCAAAATCATTAGTCACTAGGGAAATGCAAATTGAAACCATAATGAGATACCATATCACATCCACTAAGGTGGCTATAATTTTTTAAAAAACTGAAATAACAAGTGCTGGTGAGGATGTTGAGAAATTGGAAGCCTTGTGTATTGCTACAATATAAAAGATGCAGCCACCATGAATACTACTTTGGCTTTGCCCCGAAAAGTTAACATGGAACTATTAGATTACCCAGCAATTCCATTCTTATTTATGTAGCCCAAAGACTTGAAAACAGGTATTCAAACACATATCTGTACACCAATGTTCATATTAGCACTATTAACAAATAACCAAAAGGTGAAAAATCAATAAATTTACATCAGTGAATGGATGGATAAACAAAATGTGGTATATCTACCCAATGGAATGATTCACCTGCAAAAAGTAATGAAGTACTCACACATGCTATAACAAGGCTGAACCTTGAAAACATTATGTTAAGTGAAAGGAAGCAAACATAAAAAGTCATATATTGTATGATTCTAAATGTCTGGAGTAGGAAAATCCACAGAGACAGAAAACAGATTAGTGGTTGATGAAAAGGATCCCCTTTGGGTTGATGAAAATGTTCTGGAACTGGGTAAAGGTTATGGTTCCACAACATTGTGAATACATTTGTACACATCAAAATAGTTAATTTTATGTTATGTGAATTTCACCTCAATTAAAAAAGGCCCTGCCCATTGAAGTGTTTTAAAAGGTTTTTTAAAAACTAAATTAAATTTAATTACATGTTCAAAAAACTCTCAATTTCTAAAAATCTCCCCCAGCTATTTGTCTGAGTACTTTGTTTTTTGTTGTTGTTGTTGGGTTTATTTGGGAGAGAGGATTTTCTGTTGACTTTGTTACTGTCTTTTGTTTTATTATTTTTACTTCATTATTAAGTCAAGGCTAAAGATGCAGCAGGTAGTGAATCAACCAAACAAAGCAATCTTCTAAGCTTCCTAGAAGACGTGTAACAAAATAGAACCACCGGATCTAGGAGTCTTTAAAACTCTACCATTTGACTATTAACTCATCTAATAGTTTTGCATACTGATCTAATTTTACCGATTAGATCACAAATTATTAGTGTGAAAGCAGAGTGCCTGTGACTGCTGTCGGGTTCCCTGACATCACGCTGGAAATGGAGTAGAAGTTTTTTCAAACCACCTTTGACTGATAACCTCATTTTCATTTATTTTAAAAATAACAAAATATAAACAGGAATCTCTTCCATCAATGAAAATAAATTTGGAATGTTTTTAAACTTTTGTTCAGAAAGTTAAAGAATAAGGATTGATCTACATTGCTGTGTCTTGAATTGGCCAGTATTTTCACTTAGACCAAGGACATTTCTAAGGTCACCTCTCTTACTAAAGAAAAAGTGTTGACTTAGATATTTAAGGTTGAAAACTGCTCCTTCAGAAGCTCTAAAATCACTTGAGCAAAACTAGAAGCAGCCTTTATGCAATCAGCACATTTATTTACACACACCCCCGTCTTCATTCTTCAACATGCCTTTGAAACACTAAACTTGACAGTTTTTGAAAAGCTGCCCTGTTTCAACATATAACTATGAGAACTCCCATAACGCGGCTGTTTCCTTTCAAAAGAAGGAATGCAGGGGAATTTTTTTTTCTGTTTAAACAAATGCTATTGTTTTATTGCCAATTTTGCCTTAAAAGTACTCATTAACAAATCCAGCAGCCTTATTAGGTATTTTTAATCAGTTAACAATGCTGTCAGAACTTGTTATAAATTCCTATACACTATGTGAAAGTTCCTCAGTTTCCAGTCATTCTTTGAACCTGTGACTACATACCTGGCAATTTCTTTCCAGAATGTTGCTTTAATGTTGTACAGTCACCATATGATGATAGGATTTCCTTAAAACAGTACAAAAAGTAGTTTCTTCAGTTTCATGCTATGAAATTGATGATAAATTCATATTATATTGTCTTAGTATCTTTTCAGCTTCTAAATCTGTATATGCTATAAAATGGCACATTAAATATTAACTCCACAAAGTTGTAACCACTCGGGAATGCCAGCAAATCCCCCTTCCAGCCTGCATAGAAAAGGGTCTTCTTCCCAGACACAAATCAATCTGAAGTTTATTTAAAAGTTAACAGATGATATCCCACTCATTTATGTCAATCTTCTGGAAATCCTGGCCTTCATACTGTTTTTACTTTCAAAAATTTCAGCATAATGTGTTTTCAATACTTGAAAGATTCAAAACTGTTTGATGTTTTAATGCTCCATTAATTTGTTATTTTAAGAAACATAAAACTAAAATGTGACCTGAAAATGAACTAAAAAAAATTCAAATGCTGAACACACAAACTAAAGCCTAATGGAAAAATTATTGGCAACATTTATCCCATCAAAAATTGTCTATGACTTCAGCCTCCATACATATATTTTCTTTTTTTTCTTTTTGATTCAAAATCATCCCTCTATCATCTATAGTATAACCATGGTATAATCAAAAACAAACAAACACTTGTAAATTCAAGATTCTGAAAATCATATTTCAACAAAATCTTTGCTGCCCTTTCTCATTTTCTGAAAACAGAAAGTTTAAAAAATGAGATTGACACCAAATTAGAATTAAGGTTATGCATTGTCATTCACTCAGCCACAAAATACTGAGATATTGTGTTCTTACCATGTCATCAACATTATATTAAGTATTCTGGGGAATGTAAATGAAGTACAAAATGTATTCTTGGTCTCTGCAGTACAACCAAAAGAATTACCTCCCCTACATAAATGTCGAGTAAGTGTTATTGTGGGACGACATCACCTAAACAAGAGAAGAAAAAAAGGACTCTAGTTTCTAAATACAAGCTTTGTATAGGTATTTTTCAGCAAGTTGACCATAAAAGGCTAATCATCCTAAATCCCCCTTCTGAAGAAATTGAGGGCAATTAAAAAGATGAAAATCTACTAACTTAATTATCACAAGGATATGAAAATTACCCCACAAGTCAATCTTGGCTTCAGAAGATATCAATTATTCCCAGCATACACCGACCCCTCCTCTTTTGGTAGGTCATTAACCTTGCCCAGTAGAAAGAAATCTCCGCATTGCATACTACTTAAAATGTTTTGCCTTGAATGTTATAAACCAGTAGTCCTTCAATGCCAGGTAAATAACATACCATCAATCAATACTAGTGATGAAAGTCAAGGGTAAAAAGGCACTAAAACATGCTGCATTTCAAAGAAGCTGAACAACCATCCATCATTTGTCTTTGACACTTAGAGAGGTAGCAGTTACACTGAATTGGAGGGCACAGGAGGGGAAAGAGGAAGAACCTCAAAATAAGCAATATCCAAGTCAACAATTTGCTACAGAAAAAAAACATTTTTTTAAAAAACTAACTGAAAATACAGCCATGCTTTGACTTCAAATTAACAGATTTTTACATAGTAAAGTTTATTTTTTACTAGGGATTAGGAAAGACAAGAGAATACATAATATGCAAAACGCAGAGTTTCTGTCTCAAAATTTTTTAGCTAATCATAAATGTAAAATCTACTTTTATGGTTATATATTATATATGACATACATAATATTATACTTTCACACTTATATAATATTACATATATATAATGATCATTATAGAAAAATTTTGTAGCACCAGTGCATATTTTAAATAATATGGGAAATGTAATTGTCTGTAATCCAGTTTTATATCATTTCGAATTGTGAACTCGAAAAGCACTACAAAAATTCATTGTATTTAAGACATTAAGGATTGGCAGCATTAGGTTGTAAACATTTCAAGCTGCAAATCTGTCTTAGTTTGAAGTTGGGTAGTATGACATAATCCGTCTTAGTTTGAAGCTGGGTAGTATGACATAATCTGTCTTAGTTTGAAGCTGGGTACTATGACATATCCAGCTTCGTTCTTTTTGCTTAGGATTGCCCTTGTTATGCGAGCTCTTTTTTGGTTCCATAAGAATTTCCAAACAGTTTTTTCTACTCCTGTGAAGAATGTCAATGGTAGTTTAATGAGAATAGCATTGAATCTATAAATTACTTTGGGCAGTATGGCCATTTTCACAATATTGATTCTTCCTATCCATGAGCATGGAATGTTTTCCCATCTGCTTGCGTCCTCTCTGATTTCCATGAGCAGCGTGGTTCTCCTTGAAGAGGTCCTTCACTTCCCTTGTTAGCTGTATTCCTAGGTATTTTATTCTCTTTGTGGCAATTGTGAATGGGAGTTCATTCATGATTTGGCTCTCTGCTTGTCTGTTGTCAGTGTATAGGAAGGCTTGCGATTTCTGCACATTGATTTTGTATCCTGAGCCTTTGCTGAAGTTGCTTATCAGCTTAAGAAGCTTTTGGCCTGAGATGATAGGAGTTTTCTAGGTATAGGATCATGTCATCTTCAAACAAAGACAGTTTGACTTCCTCTCTTCCTCTTTGCATACCCTCTATTTCTTTCTCTTGCCTGATTGCCCCGGCCAGAGCTTCCAATACTATGTTGAATAAGAATGGTGAGAGAGGGCATCCTTGTCTTGTGCCAGTTTTCCAGGGGAATGCTTCCAGCATTTGTCCATTCAGTATGATATTAGTATTGGCTGTGGGTTTCTCATAAATGGCTCTTATTATTTTGAGATATGATCCTTTAATACCTAGTTTATTGAGAGTTTTTAATATAAAGGGATGTTGAATTTTATTGAAGGCCTTTTCTCCATCTATTGAGATAATTATGTGTTTTTTGTCTTTAGTTCTGTTTATGTGATGAATTACACTTATTGATTTGTGTATGTTGGACCAGATTTGCATCCTGGGGATGAAGCCGACTTGATTGTGGTGGATAAGCTTTTTGATGTGCTGCTGGATTCTGTTTGCCAGTATTTTATTGAGGATTTTTGCATCGATGTTCATCAGAGATATTGGCCTGAAACTTTTGTTGTTGTTGTATCTCTGCCAGGTTTTGGTATGAGTATGATGCTTGCCTCTTAAAATGAGTTAGCGAGGAGTCCCTCATTTTCAATTGTTTGGAATAGTTTCAGAAGAAATGGTACCAACTTCTCCTTGTACCTCTGGCTATAGTAAGAAAAACAGCATTGTACTGGTACAAAAACAGGCACATAGACCAATGGAACAGGACAAAGAACTCAGAAATGAAACCACACATCTACAACCAGCTGATCTTCAACAAGTCTAACAAAAACAAGCAATGGAGAAAGGATTCCCTATTTAATAAATGGTGCTGGGAGAACTGGCTAGCCATATGCAGAAAATTGAAACTAGACTCCTTCCTTACACCTTATACAAAAAATTAACTCAAGATGGATTAAAGACTGAAATGTAAAACCCAAAACTGTAAAAACCCTAGAAGAAAATCTAGGCAATACCATTCAGGACATAAGCATAGGCAAGGATTTTATGATGAAATCACCAAAAGCAATTGCAACAAAAGCAAAAATTGACAAATGAAATCTAATTAAACTAAAGAGCTTCTGCACAGCAAAAGAAGCTATCATCAGATTGAACAGACAACCTACAGAATGTGAGAAAATTACTGCAGCCTATCCATCTGACAAAGGTCTAATGTCCAGAATCTACAAGGAATTAAAGCAAATCTACAAGAAAGAAACAAACAACCGTGGCCGAGTACAGTGGTTCACACCTGTAATCCCAGCCCTTTGGGAAGCTGAGGTGGGCGGATCATGAGGTCAGGAGTTCGAGACCAGCCTGGCCAATATTGCGAAACCCCGTCTCTACTGAAAATACAAAAATTAGCCAGGCATGGTAGTGCACACCTGTAGTCCCAGCTACTCAGGAGGCTGGGGCAGAAGAATTGCTTGAACCCAGGAGGTGGAGGTTGCAGTGAGCCAAGATTGTGCCACTGCACTCCAGCCTGGGTGACAGAGCAAGACTCCATCTCAAAAAACAAACAAACAAACAAACAAAAAAAACCCCACTAAAAAGTGGGCCAAGGACATGAACAGACATTTCTAAAAAGAAGACATACATGCAGCTAACAAACATATGAAAGAAAGCTCAAAATCACTGATCACCAGAGAAATGCAAATCAAAACCACAATGAGATACCATCTTATGCCAGTCAGAATGGTGATTATTTAAAAAGTCAAGAAACAACAGATGCTGGCAAGATTACAGAGAAATAGGAATGCTTTTACACCGTTGGTGGGAATGCAAATTAGTTCAACCATTATGGAAGACAGTTTAGTGATTCCTCAAAGATTTAGAACCAGAAACACCATTTGATCCACAAATCCCATTACTGGGTATATACTCAAGGAATATAAATCATTGTGTTATAAAGATACTTGCACACATACATACATACATGTTCATTGCAGCACTATTCACAGTTGCAAAGACATGGAATCAACCCAAATGCCCAACAATGATAGACTGGATAAAGAAAATGTGGTACATATACACCATAGAATACTATGCAGCTATAAGGAATGAGATCATGTCCTTTGCAGACACATGGATGGAGCTGGAAGCCATTACCTTCAGCAGACTAACTCAGGAACAGAAAACCAAACACCACAAGTTCTTACTTATAAGTGGGAGCTGAACAGTGAGAACACATGGACACAGGGAGGGGAACAACACACACTGGGGCCTGTCAGGGAAGGAACTAGGTGGGGGGCGGGTGGAGAGCATCAGGAAAAATAGCTAATACATGCCATGCTTCATACCTAGGTGATGGGTTGGTAGGTGCAGCAAACTACCATGGCACATGTTTACCTATGTAACAAACCTGCACAGGTACCCCGGAACTTTAAATTAAATTAAATTTTAAAAATCTCTGTTTAAAAAAAAAATTTTGAAAACAATGAAATAGACCATCATTCCATTTGTACTTTTTGGGCGAATTTTTCAAATTCACTGGACAAACAAGACTGAGAAATTTATTGCCATTTATGAAGGGGGAGAAAAATGCAACCACGACTCGATTTTCAGTATATTTCCCTTTAAAATGTCTGGAACATATTCATGCTTCATCCATTACTGAAGCCCTTACAAAATATGTAGTCCACTGTAAATGAGAGAAGTTAAAGAAGAGCTTCTTTAAAAATAGAATCAGCCGGGCTCGGTGGCTCAAGCCTGTAATCCCAACACTCTGGGAGGCCGAGACGGGCGGATCACAAGGTCAGGAGATCGAGACCATCCTGGCTAACACGGTGAAACCTCGTCTAACTAAAAATACAAAAAATTAGCCAGGCGTGGTGGGGGGCGCCTGTAGTCCCAGCTACTCGGGAGGCTGAGGCAGGAGAATGGCGGGAACCTGGGAGGCAGAGCTTGCAGTGAGCCGAGATCGCACCACTGCACTCCAGCCTGGGCGACAGAGCCAGACTCCGTCTCAAAAAAAAAAAAAAAAAAAGAATAGAATCAAAAGTATTTATGGGTCAATTCTACTTTTGGTGAGAATATTTGGCTTAAAACCAGTCACCTTGAGTTCCTACCTGCAAAGACAGGACACACCACAGAAGATGCTGAAGGAGATGCTTGAACTTGGGCCAAGAGAGATAACAAAGCCGGAGAACAAAAGACAAACTTGAGCCAAAAGGCACACTGCCAATTATTTTACTGTAAAAGAAAGTTCATACACAAATATGTTCATGAACAGGAAACCAAAAGGAATTTTTGCTCTCAGATTTGGGGATAGTATGGAGTAAAGACAAAAAATTAGAAGTAGATAAGATTTTATAGAGAAGAGAAAGAAGATTTTATTTTCAAAGAGTCTGAAAATGCCTTGAGCCGAACAGGATGGAATGCAATGGAAATATCACTGTGACAAGAATGAGTTAGAGAAAATTAATATCTACATGCACCCGATAGCCGGTAGCCCCACTAACAACACTAAAAGAGAAGTTCAAGATTTCTGTGATCAATACACAGCACTCAGCAGTAGCCATTCCAGGTCAAAGTCAAAGGATAATTAATTGATTTCTATTAATGTTTTATTCTTTTAAGATATAGTACATAGTGATACTTCAAAGTAATCATTTTTTAACTTAAACCAGAACAGAAAAGTCCTTAATGCAGTTATTTCACAAACTACTCATAAGCACAAAGACGATTTTGCTAAAGGTGAAAATATGCCAAGTGCTGAGTGAGAATGGCCCCATAACATTCCAGGAATATTATGGCCAGAATATTAGGCTGTTGCCTTTCAACATTTTCTCTTACACTTTGTCTTAAATGAAAACATGAGCATATGGGAGGAGTACTTGTTTCAAGTTTCTGCTCTGGTTGTTTTATTCAAATTCATTTGACATAAACAGGAACTCGAACACAAACAGCTCTGCTTTCATCACTTGTCAATTTCCGGGGAAACTCAATGAAGCTGAATAGTTTCTAGCATGAAGTGTTTTTTTTCCCTCCTTATGAGATGTACCAAGAAGAAAACAGATACAATCATATCTTTTAAGGAGGACAAATAATTATGTCTTTATTTCTGTCATTTGAGTTACACAAATAGTTTTTGTGGAAAGGCTACACTCCATTATTAATGAACACTATATTGGAAAATTTTTTTACTTTCAATCAGATTTCCTAGGCTTAGCACTGTTGATATTATGGGCTGGATAATTCTTCATTTTAGAGGGCTGTGTCTGTACTTAGTAGGATGTGTAGCAGCATCCCCGGCCCTTATGCACTACAGCCCTTCCCCCATTTGTGACAATCAAAAATTGCCAAATGTCCCCCCCGCGGGGATAAAACCATCCCAGTTGAGAACCACTCTTTCAGTGCAAGTTTTCAAAAAGGTATAAGCCTTCACATTTACAATGAATTCCTTACACTTATCACATCAATGATGACAAAAGTTTAGGTTATAAAAGTATAGTCCTAGTTAAGGATATAAAAGGAAAGAATGATGTTTATAATGGAATGTTCACACCCTCATTGGTCCCCATTCAAACGCCCCATCCGCTGGCCCAAATCCCTCACCCCCAAGAACAAACGGAATTATGTCTCAGTTCAGTCATCTAAGGTGGGATATTCAGAACAAAAATTCTTGTCTCTGGCTCTGAAGGATTATTATTAAGGAACTGCACCCAGGAGGAAGCTGGGGGAAAGTGGGGGAGAGAATAGGGAAGGGGAAAAGCCAGGCAGAGTGTGATTTGAGTTGTGATCCAGCCCCTGCCGGGTGCTTGGAGAGCTGTGGAGCATAAAAATGGCACCAGAGGGTAGGTCTTACCGACAGTAGGTCCTCCAAGGAGGCCAGGGGCCTTTCATACCTGCATCCATCAGCCATTGGCTGCGGGTCACTGGGAACGGCACCATCGCCTCCAGCACAAGGCAGCTCCCCTAGACCAAGGGCTGTCCTTCCAAGGCTGCAGCTGCAGCCCCTGTGCAGTCAGCACCCACAGCAGCTGGCGGATGGGAACTCACGCACAGACAGGGATCTGGAGCTCCAAAAGAAACAAGCAAAAAACAAACAACCGTCCCACACACAAGGTGAGTTCTCAGCAGGCCTCCTCGCTGGCCAGGGCTTAGAGGGACACCCTACTCTATGCTGTTTAGTGCTGAGCATCTTGTTGGAAATACAGAATGGAATGGTGTTGTGGAATGCAAGGTGGGTGTCATAACATAGCATACATTTATTTTTTAAAGAATTAATAGACACCAAAAAATTCAGTTAAAAATTGTGAGGCATGACAATTTGATTAATCCAATTATTATTATATATTATCTAGCACAATTATAATTACAGGAATCTTTTAGAACTGAATCAGAAGGTATATATATCTTCATTCTTATGGCAAATAACTTGCAAAATTTTATTTACAAAAAATAATGAAAAGGCTACAAAATTATTTTTTGCAGAATAGCAAATTGAGATGTTTGGGTTTTTATTGTTTTTTGTTTTTTACTTGCTGTAGAATTTTTTCCAGAAGTATTTCTCTAAAGCAGCTGGTCTTAAACTATGTAGTCTAAGGATCTCCCCTATATGTTCTTAAAAAATACTGAAGACTGCAAAGGCAAAGGCTTCTGTTCATGTGGATCATATCTACCAATATTTATTATATTCAAAATTGAGAAATGTATACATATTTATTATTTATTTTAAAAAAACAATAGTATGGTAACGCATTACATGTTAATACATATAATATATTCTCATGCAAAATAACCATATTTTCAAAAGAAATGAATAAGAAGAGTGGCACTATTTTACATTTCGCAAATCTCCTTAGTGTCTGGCCTAATGGAAAATTTGAAAAGTTTTGTTTAATGTGTATGAACAAAAGCATTCTCACACAGTTATGTGTGAGGAAAAGTGAGAAGTTGTTGTTGTTGTTGTTGTTGAGACGGAGTCTTGCTCTGTCGCCCAGGCTGGAGTGCAGTGGCCAATCTTGGCTCACTGAAACTTCTGCTGCCTCCTGGGTTCAAGCAATTCCCCTGCCTCAGCCTCCTGAGTAGCTGGGGCTACAGGCACCCGCCACCACACCCGGCTAATTTTTGTATTTTTAGTAGAGATGGGGTTTCACCTTGTTGGCCAGGATGGTCTCCATCTCCTGACCTCGTGATCTGCCCACCTTGGCCTCCCAAGTGCTGAGATTAAAGGCATGAGCCACCACGCCCAGCCAGGAGAAGTATTTTAATTGCCTTTTCAGATAACTGTGGATATGGTTCTTTACTACTACACCAAAACTTGACAATTCACAGTTTTTAAAAGACAGCTGCGATGTGGGATATGAAGCCATATCCATGATTCTTTGTGCTCCGTTCTATTAAAATCCGCTGCTCTAGCATACGGCTGGCTCAGGTCTTCTTTACTGGGGCATGATTTCTGCAATATCATACATGGTCATGTGGAAAATATTGGTTTACTGAAGTATATAGATCTTCCAAACATTGACAGATTTCATTCATCAATACAGACAAAATCACGTTTTGATGTTACTACTGACCTTATAAGAAAATATTGGTTTACTGAAATATATAGATCTTCCAAACATGGACACATTTCATTCATCAATACAGACAAAATCACGTTTTGATATTACTACTGATCTTATAAGAAACATCTGTATTAGGAAGCAGTCAGTTTCACAGAGGCAGACACAAGTTTTCCAAAATTCTAATTTTCGCTGGCAACACACATTATTAGTGATTTTACTTCAGGTGAAAAGCTCACTTCATTTTCAAGGAAATGTCTACAAAATAAGCAAGTCTGAATAACCATAGTTGGTCTGAATAAGATAGTTTGTCCTCAAACAGTTGGTTGGAGACTTTTCCTTAGGTCATCCACTGTATTCAGTAAGCAGAAGTGCTTTATTTACACTTCTCGTTTCTTCTAGATGTGTACTCCGAGACCAAAATTAATACAATTAATGATTCTTATTGTTTCATCAAGAATATTCTTCAGCAAAGCTAGCAGATTGCTTTGTTCTGTTTGTTTTGTTTTGTTTTATTTGAACGCACATGTATAGCAATAAAGAATACAGTAACCAGCACTGCAGCTTGGTGCCACTACCGTGATCTGTGCTAAGGCACCAGCAGTTTTATGCATCATTGCTTTTGTGCCATTGCTATAAAATGAGTGAAAAGGGTAAATAATGTTGGTATCACCCTAAGCCTTGTTTTGAGTTGCAGATCCCCTGAAAGCTACTCAGAAACCTTCAAAGGACCATCAGAACGCACTTTGAGAACCACTGTGATGGATAAGCCTTCAGAGGCGTTTCCCTGCGATTCCCACTGCACTCTAATCCACTGGCTTTCCGCACAAGGGCAGCTCCAACAAGGAACCCAACCAGAGTTGAGGGAAATTCAAGTTTGGTAAGTGTTGTCTCCCTCAAACCCTCAAGGCCACAATCTCAAGGATCTACTGCCTTCTAGGCTTTTCCACTCAATCTCAGAGGTGTTTAGGGAGAATTGATTTCAAAGAGTTTAAATCCAGGAATGGGGTGGGAAGACAGAGGATGAGAAACAGAATCCGGAATGGGATATGCGGCAGGGATGGAGATGTTGAAATTAGGAGTTCCTAAGCAAAGCTTTGTATGTATTATCTCACATACTTGATAAAGCAAAAACCAATCAATCAGTCAAATTACTTCCATGGTTACTTCCCATTCTGCTATTCTCTAATTAGAATGGAAACATTTACTGTCGTCCAGTCAACATACAACTACCTTTTTAGTCACAAAAATCCATTACTCGTTAAAATTTGAGTAGTGCCGAAGAGACAGTTGAATATGGAAAAGTCATTTTGCATCCTTGCAGTCAAGCATAGCACATATTACAGCTATCTTTAGAAGACGTAGGAGCTCTGAGGAAATTTGTTCGTATCACATTTAGGAACAATTAATCCCTAAAAGACAATGTGATACTTGAAACATTGCCAGTACAATCTTTCCAGAGACTGTCATTAAATCTTTACTATATATGGAGGGGAAAAACTGCCTTGTGTGGAATTTACCTTTATTCTATTGAAATACTGAGAATTCCTATTTGATCCAGTCTGAAGCCCTGTTATACTCCAGCAGATCTTTGGGATGACTTCCATGCCAAATCCATCCACTATACAGTATTTCAGTTATTTTTGCTACATTGCACACTGGAAAAACGTGTGCAGAATCTTGGGTGAACTGTGTAATAGGATTTGTAACATTTGTGATGTGGATGACATTTTAAAGTGGCTTTACAGACAAAGCATCCTAGGGAACTACTGTGAAGCCAAATAATGAGAAAGACACACAAGTCTATAATCAATAAATGTGATGTAAAATTACATTGAAGAATGCAAAATTAAAATAATAATGTGCTAAACTGTTTCTTAATTGTATATGGAAAACATTACAATCAGTAAATTAGAATATTTTTGTAGGCAATTGTAAGTCGAAGTCTTGAGATTTCAGGGTTATGCTTCTGGATATTAAACATCCTCTTGCAATCTAAACAGCAACTTATTAAAGAACTTAAGAGAAAAAGTTCCTTAATAGATGATGTTAAGTAACGTTTCACTTTTTCCCCTCAGAATTCCTTATGTTTTGCTGACACAGGTGCAGAGAAAGCTGATCTTACTGATTTTTTTTTTAGTTTCCAACCACTCTATTTACATTTTAAAAAGTGAGGAAAAGTTATCAATTTTTCACCAATTCAAATGAAAATTCGTTTTTCTTAAAGTAATTATCCATTGCAGAAGAAACACAGTCTGATACTAGAATTATTCATTTTCTCATTTCTTCATTTCTATTTTCAAATGCAAATGAGGCCTACGTCTTTTTTTCTATCTTACAATGTAAGATTTCATTTGAGAATGAAAACTATTTATAGAACCTCCTATATATTCAGCATATTAAATATATATATTTAACATAGAAAGCATATGAAACATATTAAGCACAGTGTTTTTATATTTTACACTACTGTTCCAATTTTAAGTTAGGTGCAAACTATCTTGAATCTTTTGACATTGTGGCTCTTTGTGATCTCTCTATCAAATTAAATCTTTATCCTAACAGAATAGTTCTTCTACTCTTCTCTAAAGATCTCACACTGAAATTGATTCAACAAAATCTATCACAAGTTTGTAGATGCTTGATCACAATAGTCTCTAGAATATTCTTCCAAAGAAGACCTACAGATATTTCCCCAATGACTCATTTTCCCAAGAAGGTAAAATCTATCTTACTGACTCCCTGCAAATATAATTTGCAGAAAAGAACCTCTACTGATTTAACCATTATGTTACTAAAATAACTGAGTTAGCAGTTAAATAAATAGAAATCCCTTTAGCAAGGAATATTAATGGTTTTTATTATATTTCCTGACTCTGGATAGCTCAGTGCAGTTGATGAAACACTATTTCCCTTAGTACATCAGTGCTTCCATGGTCATATCTTGTCACAAGAAGGAAATACAGAAGGATATGATTGCCCATCTCTGTTCCTCCATGCTATCAAAATCTAACACACGAGATCATTTTAACATCAACCGATACAATATCCCACTAAATCAGCAACTTCAACCTAATAATTTTGAAATGAAATGTGACCTAATCTCAAACAAGTTCTGCTTTATTGAGATCCTTTCATCCTATCATCAATATACGATCCAAAGGGCTTCCTTTAAAGATCATGAATTAAAGTTGCATTATTCCCACCCTGAGGCACACTAAAGTGAACTCCCAAAAATGAATGAATGATATATGGTCCAAGCTCAAAACCATTCAGTGCAGTTCCAAAGCTGTGAGTCCTAATTCATGAAGAGACATTAAGTGAAATGATATAAATACCATGAGATAATATTCTGGAGGGCATCAACAGAATAACTTATTAATTCAATATAATTAAATTGGAATATCATGTAATAAATAAAAATTAAAATATGAGCTCAAGAAAATTAAAAGAGAAGGAAAGATGAGGGTCACAACAAATGATTGTTGAACAATTGTTACCAAAACACCAAGGGTTCAGTCTCAGTCCTGCACTCACTGCAAAGAAAGCCAGTCACTGAGACGATGAGTCTTGCCAAGGGAGAAGGCTTTAATTGGGTGCTGCAGCTGAGGAGATGCTGCAGTCTCAAATCCATCTTCCTGACTGATTAAAACCAGGGGATTATATAGCAGCCAAGAAATGTAAGAATGAATAAGAAAACAGGAACTCGGGAGGAGCAAGGAAGCGATCCTGGTGAATGAGGGGTCCGGCAACCGGTGTGGTGATCTGGGTTCAGTTCTTTGATGCTTTTTGTGAGAGGCCTGAAGGTAGTTTCCTGAGGAAGGAACTCAGATAAAACAAACATAAGTTTCAAACTTTAACAGCAGAAGGTTCCATTCCTGTGTTTATCCAAAAGCAAGTGTCTATAGGACTTTTGGGTTGCTTTCACAAGGAATAGGTTACATGGGACATCTCTCCACGTTGAAAATCGGGAGGATGTGCTTTCCATCGTAGTGATGCCCTCAGAGCAACATGGACAACATCACATCACTGAATTTTTTTTTGGAAAGGATGAAATAACAGAGGACAGATCTTCTATGCAGGAAAAATAGAATTTATAAGAAATTATAAAAAAATTAAAAGAATAGGATTTATTTTTAAAAATGGACTAATACATGAATTTAGCAAGGCCACAAGATATGTGGTCAATATTTAAAAATCTATTATATTTTTATATGCTATTAATGAAAATTGGAAATAGCATACAAAGTATAAATTACATATGGTTAAACAAAATATGTACAATACCTGTACACTGAAAACTACAAAACTTGCTGAGAGAAATTAAAGAAAACCTAGATAAATGGAAAGATATACCATGTTCACTAGTCAGAAAACCTCAATATTGTTAAGGTAAGTAGGTGAACTACAGTTACAACGCACTTGCAATACATTCCCAGCAGGTTCTTTAAAAAATAGTAATAATAATAATAATAAATGTTTCATACACTTGAATTTTATTTTATTTATTTATTTATAACTTTTATTTTAGGTTCAGGGGTATATGTTCAGGTTTGTTATATAGGTAAACTCATATCATGAAGGTTTGTTGTACAGATTATTTCATCACCCAGGTACTAAGCCCAGTACCCAATAGTTGTTTTTTCTGATCCTTTCCCTCCTCCCAATTCTGACCCTCAGGTAAGTCCCAGTGTGTGTTGTACCCCTCTTGGTGTACAGGTGTTCTTACTATTTAGCTCCCATTTATAAGTGAGAACATGCAGTATTTGGTTTTCTGTTCCTGCATTAGTTTGCTAAGGATAATGGCCTCCAGCTCCAGCCATGTTCCTGCAAAGAACACGATCTTGTTCTTTTTTATGACTGCATAGTATTCCACGGGGTATATGTACCACATTTTCTTCATCCAATCTACCATAGATGGGCATTTACACCAATTCCATGTCTTTGTTATTGTGAATGGTGCTGCAATGGACATCTGCATGCATGTGTCTTTGTGACAGAATAATGTATATTCGTTTGGGTGCATACCCAGTAATGGGATTGCTGGGTTGAATGGCAGTTCTATTTTTAGCTCTTTGAGAAATTGTCACACTGCTTCCACAATGGTTGAACTAATTTACACTCCCCTTAACAATGCATAAGTGTTCCCTTTTCTCCACAACCTTGGCAGCGTCTGTTATTGAAGTCTCCAAAAGCAATTGCAACAAAACAAAAAATTGAAAAATGGGATCTCATCAAATTAAAGAGCTTCTGCACAGCAAAAGAAACTATCAGTAGAGTAAACAGACATAAAGAATGGGAGAAAATATTTGCAAACTATGCATCTGTCAAAGGTCTTGTATCCAGAATCTATAAGGAACTTAAATAAATTTACAAGAATAAAAACAAACAATCTCATTAAAGAGTGGGCAAAGGACATGAACAGACACTTTTCAAAAGAAGAAATACATGCAGCTACAGGCATATGAAAAAAAGCTCAATATCTTTGATCATTAGAGAAATGCAAATCAAAACCACAATAAGATACCACCATCTCACACCACCCAGAATGACTATTGTATCACTTAATTTTTATCTGCCAAAAAATTTAAACAAACAGAAGTCATTTTATTTAGTTAAGCTCATGTTTATTCTCTGTGGATTTTTAAAATGTATTACATAATTTAAACAAGGTCTGTCCTGGTACTCTTGCCTCTCATTCACACTGTACATTTGCCATTCACTATTACCTCTCATTGTTACACATTTTTGGAAGAAGAGTCTGTTAATTATGTTCTAAATTCTAATGCCAATGTTCTTAGAATAATAGGAGTAATTATTAAACAGTATCTTTTAGGAGAAACTATTAAACAGTATCTTTTAGGAATGTATTATTTTATTAGCATTTGTGGCTTTTTTTATTTGTTTGTTTGAGACAGAGTCTCACTCTGTCACTCAGGCTGACAGCCCTATCTAGGCTCACTGCAACATCCACCTCCTGGGTTCAAACGATTCTTGTGCCTCAGCCTCCTGAGTAGCTAGGATTACAAGCATGCACCACCACACCCGGCTAATTTTTGTATTTTTAGTAGAGATGGGGTTTCACCACGTTGGTCAGGCTGGTCTCAAACTCCTGACCTCAGGTGATCTGCCCACCTAGGCCTCCTTAAGTGCTGGGATTACAAGCAAAAGCCACCTCGCCCAGCCATCTGTGGCTATTTTAAAGTATGTACAAAGCACAATATGCTCCTATATTCAAAATTTGGCAAATACCATGTGTATATTTTTAATACTATCTTAAAGGCACCAATTGGTGTTAAAGTGACCTAACTTTCAGTATCCTTGCATTTTAGGTTCCAATTTTAATGCAAATCTATTTTGTTTTCAGATTGTCAAGGCTACTTTTTGTATGAGAGACAATGAATACATATATATATATTTCATCACTAATAAGAATAGAATGAGGAGAAAAGTAAAAATATTGAAAAACAGAGGCAAAATTTATTATTTTCAGACACTATTTCATTATTTTTCTAGATACTTAAGAAAACAAATTTTTATAAAATGGCACAAGAGTTCAAAGTGGCTAGATTCAATATCATCATATAAAAATAAATAATTTTCTAACCATCTACTAACCATCTAACCATCAATTAGAATGAAATAGAGAAAAAAAAAACTCAAAATAGCAGCAAAAAAACACAAAATGAGAAATAATCCTAATGAGAAGAGTAGAAGTTCTATTTAAAAAGGCTATAAATGTTGTTTCATACATTTTTTAAAAAGTGAAAAATAGAAATGGGTAACAATATTTTGGTTGAGAAACTTCAATATTACAGGAAATTCAATTCTCCCAATTTAATTTGTAAGTTCTGTGCAATCTTTAACTTCATAAAGAATTTTTATCAGCAGCTTGACAGATTATTCTCAGGTTCATCTATAAGAGAAAAACAAATAAATATAATGGAAAAAAATGTTGAAAATAAGCGCAGTGAGTGAAGACATATACCTACCACATATCCACATAAATCTCTAAGAATTAAACAATAGATACATAGCCCTATGTAGAGAGACCAAAAATAAATCCAAGTGTATATGCTGATTTAAATTATAATAAAGATGGCAAATATGTAGGAAAAAGTCTAGACCAACTGAATAAAGTATAATTAGGTGAATAACTGTTAATATGGGAAAAAAGTAACAAATATCCCTAATTCATACCATACTCAGAAAAAAAGTCAAGGTGTTTTAAAAGTTCAATGTTATACTGAAAAACTAACAGTATAAGAAGAAAAAGGTCAGAAATACATATATTTATACTACTGAAATGGAGAAGGGCTTCTAAAATAACAACCAAAACATATAAATCATATAAAGGACATGATCTTGTTCTTTGACCACTAAAAACTAATAAATTGTTCAATAAAAGATTGTCCATTGACAGATGAATGGATAAAGAAAATGTGGTGTATAATACAATTGAATATTACTCAACCTTCGAAAACAACAAAATCTTGCTATGTGTGAAAACATGGATGTACCCAAAAGACATAATGTTAAATAAAATAAGCCAGTTACAGAAGGACAAATATTGCATGATTCTACTTATATGAGGGATGTGAAATACTCAAAATTATAGAATCAAAGAATACAATAGTCATTCCCAGAAACTCAGGAGTAGGGGAAATGTGGAGTTGTTGTTCAATTGGTGTAAAGTTTTAGTTATGCTAGTTGAATACATTCTAGAGATCTATCTTACAACATATTGCCTATAGTTAGCAATATGATGTGGTGCATTCCAAAATTTGTTAAGAGGTCTCACATTAAGTGTTCTTACTACAACAATGAGGGGAAAGGACACAAGAAAACATTAGAAGGTGTTGGTGTCTGATATGGTTTGGCTGTGTCCCCACCCAAATCTCATCTCAAATTCCTATGTGTTGTGGGAGAGACCCAGTGGAAGGTAATTGAAACATGAGGGCAGGTCTTTCCCAAGCTGTTCTCAGCGTAATGAATAAGTCTCACAAGTGCTGATGGTTTTATAAGGGGGAGTTTCCCTGCACAAGCTCTTTCTTTGCCTCTCGCCATCCACATAAGATGTGACTTACTCTTCCTTGCCTTCTGCTATGATTGTGAGGCCTCCCCAGCCCTGTGTAACTATAAGTCCGTTAAACCTCTGTCTTTTGTAAATTGACCAGTCTCAGGTATGTCTTTATCAGCCGCGTGAAAACAGACTAATGCAGTAAACTGGTACCAGTAGAGTGGGGTGCTACTGCAACGATAGACAACAATGTGGAAGCGACTTTGCAACTGGGTAACAGGCAGATGTTAGAACACCTTGGAGGGCTCAGAAGAAGACAGGAAACTGTGAGACAGTTTGGAACTCCCTAGAGACTTGTTGAATGGCTTTGACTAGAAGGCTGATAATGATACAGACAATGAAATCCAGGCTGAGGTGGTCTCAGATGGAGATGAGGAACTTGTTGGGAACTGGAGCAAAGGTAACTCTTGTTATATTTTAGCAAAGAGACTGGCAGCAATTTGCCCCTGCCCTAGAGATTTGTGGAACTTTGAACTTGAGAGAGATGATTTAGGGTATCTGGTAGAAGAAATTTCCAAGCAGCAAAGCATTTAAGAGGTGACTTGTGTGCTGTTATAAGCATTCAGTTTTAAAAGGGGAAAGGGGCATAAAAGTTTGGAAAATTTGCAGCCTGACAATGCAATAGAAAAGAAAATCCCATTTTCTGAGGAGAAATTCAAGCTGGCTGCAGAAATTTACATAAGTAACTAGGAACCTAATGTTAATTCCCAAGACCATGGGGAAAATGTCTTCCGGGCATGTTAGAGACCTTTGAAGCAGCCCCTCCCATCACAGGACCAGAGGTTTAGGAGGAAAAAAATGGTTTCATGGGCCAGGGCCGGGGTCCCTCTGCTGTGTGCAGTCTATGGACTTGGTGCCCTGCATTCCAGCCACTCCAGCTGTGACTAAAAAGAGCCAAGGTACAGCCCAAGCTGTTGCTTCAGAGGATGTAAACCCCAAGCCTTGGCAGCTTCCATGTGGTGTTGAGCCTGCAAGTTCACAGAAGTCGAGGATTGAGGTTTGGGAACCTCTGTCTAGATTTCAGAAAATGTATGGAAATGCCTGAATGTCCAGGCAGAAGTTTGCTGCAGGGGTGGGGTCCTCATGGAGAACCTCTGCTAGGGCAGTGAAGAAGGGAAATGTGGGGTTGAAGCCCCCACAGAGTCCCTACTGGAGTACTGCCTAATGGAGCTGTGAAAAAAGGGCCACTGTTCAGCCAGGTGCAGTGGCTCACACCTGTAATCACAGCACTTTGGAAGGCCAAGGCAGGCAGATCACCTGTGGTCAGAAGTTCGAGACCAACCTGCCCAACATGGCAAAACCCTGTATCTACTAAAAATACAAAAAATTAGCCAAGCATGGTGGCAGGCACCTGTAATCCCAGCTACTCAGGAAGCTGAGGCAGGAGAATCTCTTGAACCCAGGAGGCAGAGGTTGCAGTGAGCCAAAATCACACTACTGTACTCCAGCCTGGATGACAAGAGTGAAACTCCATGTCAAAAAAAATGAAAGGAAAGGAAAGGAAGGGAAAGGAAGGGAAGGGAAGGGAGAGGGAGAGAGAGAGAGAGAGAGAGAGAGAGAGAGAGAGAGAGAGAGAGAAGGAGAGAGAGAAGAAAAGGAAAGGAAAGGAAAAGAAAAGAAAAGAAAAGAAAAGAAAAGAAAAGAAAAGAAAAGAAAAGAAAAGAAAAGAAAAGAAACAAGGGCCACTGTTCTCCAGACCCAAGAATGGTAGATCCACCAACAGCTTGCACTGTGCCCCTGGAAAAGCCACAGACAATACCAGCCTGTGAAAGCAGTCAGGAGAGGGGCTATATCCAGCAAAACCACAGGGGTGGAGCTGCCCAAGGCCAGGGAATGCACCTCTTGCATCAGCGTGACCTGAATGTGAGACATGGGTCAAAGGAGCTCATTTTGGATCTTTAGGATTTGACTGCCCCACTGGATTTCGGACTTGTATGGGGCCTGTAGCTCCTTTGTTTTGGCCAATGTTTCCCATTTGGAATGGCTGTATTTACCCAATGCCTGTACCCACATTGTATCTAGGAAGTAACTAACTTGCTTTTGATGTTACAGGCTCATAGACAGAAGGGACTTGCCTTGTCTCAAATGAGACTTTGGACTGTGGACTTTTGAGTTAATGCTGAAATGAGTTATGACTTTGGGGAACTGTTGGGAAGGAATGATTGGCTTTGAAATGTGAGGACATGAGATTTGGGAGGAGCTTGGGTGGAATTACATGGTTTGGCTATGTCCCCACCCAAATCTCATCTTGGATTCCTACGTGTTCTGGGAGGGACCCAGAGGGAGGTAACTGAATCATGGGGGCATGTCTTTCCCATGCTGTTCTTGTGGTAGTGAATAAGTCTCAGGAGATCTGATGGTTTTATAAGGGGGAGTTTCCCTACATAAGCTCTCCCTCTTTGCCTGCCACCATCTATGTAAGATGTGACTTGCTCCTCCTTGCCTTCCACCATGATTGTGAGGCATCCCCAGCCCTGTGGAACTGTAAGTCCATTAAACCTCTTTCTTTTGTAAATTGCCCAGACTCGGGTATGTCTTTATCAGCAGTGTGAAAATGAACTAATACAGTGTCTATTTCTTTGATTATGCTGATAATATCACAGGTGTTTTCATATGCCCAAATTTATCAAATTGTATACATTAAACATGCATAGTTGATCCAGGTGCACTGGCTCACACCTGTAATCCCATAGTGTTGGGAGTCTGAGACAGGAGTATTGCTTGAGGCCAGGAGTTCAAGACCAGCCTGGCAACACAGGAAGAACCCATCTGTACAAAAAATTTAAAAATGACCTGGGTGACATAGTGTGCACATGTATTCCTAGCTACCCGAGCTGCCAAGGCAGGGGATCACTTGAGCTCAGGAGTTCAAGTACAGTGCAGTTCTTCATATATCAATTACATCTCAATAAAGCTCTTAAAAAATTAGTTACATTTGAAAGAATACCATTCAAAAATGTTAATCATAAACAACAGATCAGCAGAAATTCTTTGGAATGCACATAACGACAAATAATAAACATCAAAAGGT
The DNA here is from genome assembly GCF_000001405.40 of Homo sapiens. NCBI lineage: Eukaryota > Metazoa > Chordata > Mammalia > Primates > Hominidae > Homo > Homo sapiens. The sequence goes on along the minus strand of NC_000004.12, from coordinate 186,986,024 downwards.
TAAAGCTTCTGCAATCATTAAGAAAAAATGAATGAAAAAAGGTAATGTACAAGGAAAGGCAATTCATAGGAAAAGTACACGACTATAAACACATTAAAATATTTAACTTTGTTAGTAATCATAAATGCAAATTAGAACAATGAGATATAGCTAGGATTTTTACCCTTTAACTTGACAAAACTTGAAGATTTATAATATCTGCTGATATTGAGAATTACAAAACAAGAACTCTTACAATTGCAGCTGGCTCACATGTAATTTGGTACATCAACTTTTAAAGTTAATTCGAGATTATCTCTCAAAATCAAAATTGTGTCATCCCTTCAACTCAATCATTCCTCTTATAGGAATTTATCTTACAAAAATACCTGCATGGGTGGCCAGATAAGGTCTGGGCAAGACTGAGATGGTCAATGATTCATTCTTTATGATTATAAAAAATTGGAAACAACCTAATTTGTCCATTTGCAATGAGAAGATTTAATAAATTATTGGTATTTCCACACAGTGCAATACTAGTCAGTCACTGAATGTCCCAATATAGGAAGATCTCTAAGATTTACTATGTTCAAAACAAAGTTATATATATAACACGGGGCACTGAGTAAAATGTATTTGTATATGCATCTGTGTATGTGTGTGTATTAATTTTTCCACCAACATTTACTTCAGGCAATATGAGGAAAAGTAGGACCACAACAGTATATAGAACAAGCATATCCTGCACTCCGCCTTCTTATGCTTACAATGCAGAAGGCAAGAATGTAAGGCAGACAGTGGAAAGAAGCAAAGCAAACAAACAGAATTACAACAGAGTTCTTTTTCTTCTTTCTTTTTTTAGAGATGGGGTCTCACTGTGTTTCCCAGGCTGGTCTCAAACTCCTGGCCTCAAGTGAGCCTCCTGCCTCAGCCTCCCAAAGTGCTGGGATTATAGGTGCAAGCCGCCCTGGCCAGTCATGATCCTGCATAGTTTTAGTAAGGATGCAAACAGCATACTCTGGTTTAAAATACCGTGGAGTAAGGTCAGGCAGACTTCCTCCCGTTGGGTGGACAAGGCCTCTCTGAGGAATCTACCCCTAAATGGAACAATCACCAAAAGGCCGCTGAGTTACTCAAAGACTTAGGAGCCAGGGAGGAGGAGGGAGGCAACAGCAGGAGCGGAGGTGAAACAGGACGAGGGAGGAAAAGCCACAGAGTTCATAGGCACGTCTGTTGGGCCAAGGATATTGAGTGAAGAACTCTTCCATTTAACTTTACAAAATTCCTTACCGTTTGAAGTATGTATCAAGAGCGTGCATTCATGCATTATGTTATCAAAATATTCATAATTCATAATTGCCATAATACAATAAAAGTTAAGACTGGAGGGAAAAATAGAACTCAGACTCACAGGGCTCAAGATGCTAGCCTGGGAACTAAAATGTGGTCTTACGGGTTTATCTCAACTTCCAGTTGTGAAAAGAAACAGTGATTTTATTATAACTTCAGGGCCAGTCCATAAAGTGAAAGAAAGTTTAAGGAGGTCAAGGAATAAAAGAATGGCTACTCCCTAAGCAGGGCAGCCCTGAGGACTGCTGGCTACGCATTTTTATGGCGATTTCTTGATGATATGCTAAATGAGGGGTGGATTATTCATGAGTTTTCCGGGAAAGGGCTGGGCAATTGCCCCAGAACAGAGGGCTCCTGCCCTTTTTAGACCGGTTTTTAGACCACATAGGGTAGCTTCCTGACGTTGGTTGCCATGGCATTTGTAAACTGCCATGGCACTGGCAGGAGTGTCTCTTAGCATGCTAATGCCTTATAATCAGCGTATAATGAGCAGTGAAGAGGACCAGATGTCACTCTTTCACCATCTTGGTTTTGGTGGGTATTGGCTGGCTTCTTTACTGTAACCTGTTTTATCAGCAAGGTCTTTATGACCTGTATTTTATGCTGACCTATGTCTCATCTTGTGACTAAGAACGCCTTAACTCCTGGGAATGCAGCCCACTAGGTCTCAGCATCATTTTACCCAGCCCCTATTCAAGATGGAGTCGCTCTGGTCCAAATGCCTCTGACACTCTCCTCGTAGAGGTGAGAACAGAGTCTCAATGGGATAAAGTAGCTTGTCCAAGGGCATATCGCTGGCTGTGGACAAGTCAGGAATTCAACCCAGATGTGTCGAATCAATACTGGATTGCATTTCTCATATACAAGATAGGTTTCTATTGCAAATGTAACTTGTGTCACAGAGGATCATTGTGGAGAACTCGATATTTCGGTCTGGAAAGGACAGATGTGTGGTTTTATACAACCTACAAAACATGCATCAAAGGTTCTGAGCATACAATCCCAAATTCTGAGAACGATGCCATCAGGAGACTCAACCACCCTCTTGCAGAGTATGCCCCCTCAGGAAAGAGATTTTTCACCCCAAAATACGGCTCCCTGGGATAATGAATATTTTTAATTAAAACCCTTAGAAAACAACAGGCCTTGGAAGACACTTTTCCCTAGCTTCATGAAGACCAGAGGGACCCACCAGAAGAAGAATTGCTTTTTCCTTGTTATCTCATTTTCTCTTTCAAGAATATTTCCTTTTCCCCTGTTATCTCATGATCTATTTCAGGAAAGGAGCGGAAGAATGTAACCAGATCTCACCCAATCTTTTTACAAGATAATGCCCATCTCTCAGATTCACTGAACTTCCAAAGACAACCATTTACAAATCAGTCTCTGCCTCTTCCCCTCTGCCGTTCCTTCTCTCAAGTACCCACTCATGTTTCCTTGGTCGTCATTTAATGCCCCTCAACAGAATTACCTATATTCTCTCTCTCCCCTTCCTCTGAAAGGAGTTTATGTAAGTGTGTGGGCCCCATTGGGAAATTAGGGAATCACTCTGTGATTCTCCCCAAGCACATGGTGAATGAATTTGTATGCCTTTCCTCTTCTTAATTTGCCTTACTGCGAGTTGATGTTTTTTTTCAACAAACCCTCCAAAGGCAAGGGGTGAGCTTCTCCTTTGCCCCTGCACCCTCCTCCCCACCCTACCTGATGACCTTGTCAGAAGCTGACTGCCAAGCTAGGGGAAAGGCTCTTAGAACACTATTATGCTTTATTTGTCCTCCATCCAAATCTGTGACCAGGTGCTGGGCAGGCAAAGAGGACGGAATCAGTGCTGTCGCCTTCAGGGCCCCTGATGTGATGGAAGCAGAAAGAGGAGCACGATGGAGGGAGGAGGCTCACATGATGGGCAAGGGAAACGTGGTGGCACCGAAACACGTGTGCTTTGGAAAACAACACTCAAGGTGAAATCCATCTGTTCTTTGTTGAATGGCCTCACAGTGGTCTGTGGTATTTTCACAAGGCTTGTGTATATGACACAAACCCACAGCACGGGTGATGGGGCCATTGCAGAAATGGGGTCAGTCGTAGGGTCTGGCCCAGAAGCTGAAACAGGGACAGCATTTCTCCTATTGCCCCTTTCCCAACTCTACCAAGCTGTTAAGAAGATAGTTGGCTGGTACAGAAACTTCACACGGAAACATTCTCTGTTTAGGCCACATGTTCACGCACTCATTCATTTTTCATCCAATAAAGAGATGTTGTCAACTATATGGCAGAAATGGCACCAGTACTCGGAACAAAGGACAGGTGTAGTACACGCCCTCACACAGTTTATGCATGGCCTAGGAAGGGAGGCAGGAAATCAGACAGGCAGCAATACGTGTGTGCAAAACATAATGACGAGGAAGTAAATGGTGGTTTATAGGATGGGAACCTAGAGCAGACGAATGTAACTCAGGGTTTTTTTATGGGGGTGGGGATGGGGAAGAGTTGAGGTGAAGAGGAGAAAAATATTTCAGACAAAACAGTAAACACAGAAGCCTAGAAGCTAGAAAAATAATGGCATAGTCAGAGCTAATAACAATATTGTTATATAATACCTTAAAAATATCTCTAGATCCGTGGGAATAATCACTCAATTGAACTTTGTAGGCAATATAGAAAAGTTACAGTCCTTACTGCTAATAAATATGTTATATTTATATAATACTGTCATATTCCTACTTTGAAAGACTATGTCATCCTAGGGTAGCCAGAGGAGGGAACTTTGCTCTAGTTTCAGACAGACTGTGCCACGTCTAGGGATGCCAGCTATATATATATATAGCTGTATATATACGTATATATACATATATATGCTGTATATACACATATATAGCTATATATACATATATATGCTATATATACACATATATGTATATATAGCTATATATACATATATATGCTATATATACATATATATGTATATATAGCTATATATATATATACACACACATATATGCCATATATATGCTATATATATATACTATATACATGCCATATATATGCTATATATATATATATAGCTATATATACATATATATGCCATATATATGCTATATATATTTCTGTTAAAACCAATTATAGGCTTAACGTCTGCCCAGGGTAACCCCAGATTCCAGTCAACTAGATTCACACCAAACTCTTTTGAAAAGATTGCAGCCAAGACCCCCAGATCAGTCAACAATGAGCAAAATCCACATAATAAATATTTATGGAAAGTCTATTCTACACGAGGATTGGTCCTTTCCAAGGATTTGCAGAGGACAATCACAAACCAGATGCAGAATCTTGGAACTGAGTCAAAACTAACAAGAGTTTTGAAGAGTCAAGAACTAAGACTGAGCTGACTAGAATTTTACCCTGCCTTCTCCTCTGGGTGGGTATCTTCAGGATGAAATGTTCCAAATATAATTCATTTACTTCCATGCTCCTGTTAGGCAACTGATCAACAAATAATGAAAGATTTACTATGTGCCACGTACATATGTGCTGGAAGAGGGGAACAAGAAGAAGAAGGTAGACCTAACTCCCCTGTCTGAAACTTACAAACTAGAGAAACAGACAATAAAGAAATTACACTTGTTATCAGTGCAATGAACGAAGACTGCAGGAACATATATCCGCAGGAAATAATCTGCTCATTGGGGAAAAGAAAGAATCCTGGTTTTAATCAAGTAAACCAGATTCCCCCAAAACGTTTAATAGTATCAACACAAATAATGATTATGCCACAGTTAGTTCACCGTCTGTATATAATTCTCAGAAATTGACTGTTTCCAATTTTCCTATAAATTTCATCGTTTTGCATAAAAATGCTCTAGGGTGAGAACGTTTTTTCCTTTTCTTTTAGGCTGTCTTCTTTAAGACTGCAAGTCAAAATTCCTAGGATGCCATTTTGACCACCCAGTTCTGAAAGTTTCTCTCCTTGACTGATTAGAGTTCAGATCTGACACTAAAAATCTTCCAGACCATCTGTCTTCCTCAGTTCTCCAAAAAGGATTTTAGACCAAATTTTTGGTTTTCATTGTTTTCCAACTCTTAACATTCGTGAATTTGCCTTACACATGAATAATGCAAAACTTCCAAAGCATCCCCTCTGGTGAGAATGCTTGTAACCCTCCAACACAAACAGGATTAATCCCGGAAGACAATTACAACAGTCAAGTTATTACTCACAACACCATGTGAACTCGGTGAAATGGGGTCTTGGAAACTAACAGAAGTAAATCATAATTAACCAAACGGAAGGGAAAATGCCGCGAGGAAGTGAAACTAAAGGCACAAGTCATTTGCCAAACACACTAAACTGCATAAATTTTGATGCAAAGTTATTAGTGTAAGGTGAGCACAGGATTCTAAATTGTTTACTCTAATTGCACATTTTAAAAAATACGGCCTGGATGCCCCATCACTACGGGATAGTTAAAAATTCATCTGGATGAATTGCCTAAGACAGGGTAGAAGAGCAAGTTAACGTGCATGTTTATTTCTTTTTCCTGCAAGAGTCCCTCACTCAGAGCCAAATCTCAACACATCCATCAGAGTTATATACACACACTTCAGAGCTATATACACGTAATGCACGAAGGTCTTTGACATCCTTTCATTATTCCATTTATTCCGTTCAATTATTCCATCAACCAGTTATTTTCATAATTTTTTCTTAATTATTTTGCTTTCCCCATTCTTACATCACCCCTTTTAAAAAACATGTATTCCAGAGATATGGGAATAAATTGGAAAGTATTTGGAACGTAATAAGTACCCAGTTTTGTCTACCTCTCATTGCTTTAAACTTTAATTTCATTACTAGATTCAGGCAGACACTGATGCCCACATCTTTGAATGTGGAGCAATTCAGCAAAGAAGTAGGGTTAGAGGAGAATTGCATTCTAGAGGCAGTGAGGATGCTTTCTCATTCCAGGGCAGTTGACCAGAGGTGCTGACTGGGTCCACGGCAGCTGCATTCTTCAGGACCTGCACTGGCCGTCATCATTCCAGGACACAAGAAAGACCCCGCCAGACTGTCCCCGATGGAAGTTTGGCTGTGGTCACCATGCATTGCCTCCTATAGAGCCTGCCTATTTTCCATGTCTGATTCTTCAGCTCTTCTGGCAATTCTGTAAATTACCCAAAATCCTTTCAATAAAATCTATTTATGATTAAACCAGCCAAAGTTGGTTTCTATTGCTAGCTACCAAGTACCCTGAGTAAAAGAGGAAAATTTAGTAAACTCTCACACCATTAGTGTGGTATTTCCTAGATGATGCTGAATGGTGCCCTAAATTTAAAACGTACTTAAATTTCTCAGAAACCAAGTGTAAGAAGTAAAATACAGCTGGACTCACCGTACTGCATAGATCAGTCCCATTCTAATACCAGATTTCAAGTTGTCACAGAAATTCCACTTAATAACCCTGGAAAAATCCTTGACCTTAAACACTAATAAAAGAGAGCCCTTTTGAGATATTACATGCCTGGATTGAGCTGGGTTGAGTTTGAAACTTACTGGAATCAGGTATAATTCAGTCCAGATTCACGGGATCTTCCACAAGTAAACCAACACCAAAGGAAAACTTAGGTCTTGAATACTCTTGATTAATTTCTCATCACTTTTTTATTTCATTAAATTTCTGCTAAAACAAAAATAGTGCCTGAAATGGACCTTCTTGAAATTCTCTTCATTTTACCTTTTTTTTTTTTTTTTTTTTGAGACGGACTTTCGCTCTTGTTGCCCAGGCTGGAGTGCAATGGTGCCATCTCGGCTCACTGCAACCTCTGCCTCCCACGTTCAAGCGATTCTCCTGCCTCAGCCATCCTAGTAGCTGGGATTGCAGGTATGCGCCACCACGCCCAGCTAATTTTGTATTTTTAGCAGCGATGGGGTTTCGCTATGTTGGTCAGGCTGGTCTCGAACTCCTGATCTCAAGTGATCTGCCTGCCTCTGCCTCCCAGAGTGCTGGGATTACAGGCGTGAGCCACCGCGCCCTGCCCATTTTACTCATTATTAACTGAGGTAATCTGATGGAATTTATGCTCTCCCACAAAGTTTAGATACAAAAATCAAAATTATTCTACTGGTTTCAGTTAGGAAATACTCAGCTGTGAACAGCAGAAATCCCCAACACTAACAAGAGTGTAGACTAGTCCTTCACCGCACAATGCCACCAGGAGCGCAGGATGCTCCCAGCTTCCCATGGTGCCATTCTTAGCAGACAGCTTTCCCCTCTGTGCTCATGACTGCAAGATGTCCTGCATTTCTAAATATCACTTTCACATTGCAAGCAGAAAGAATGTGCAGGGGGTGAAAGTAAAATGCCTTTTCTGGAGAATTCATTTTTAATATGAAAATGAAACTCTCCTTGGGAACTTCTGCTTTCATTTTCTAATCCAGACCTGTGTCCATGATCACAGTTAGCTGAAAGGCAGACTGGAAATTCAAGCATTTGCTTTCCAGAACCATGTACAGGAAAACAAGGATGAATGAGCTAAAATGAGTTTTAAGTGAGTGAATCTGAAGTATCTGTCATGCCTCATGACACAACTTTTTCCATTTTGATTATGTGGATTGATGATACCAAGGTCTTAATGGAAATGTGGCCAGATTTTTGGCTTGTATTTGTCGTTATTTACTTGGCCCATAAGTAAGCTACGTTAATCATAGTTCTCATTTTGAGGCACATAATCACCAACATTCCTCTTTAGCTAGTTGTCTACTTTATTTCAGATACTTGCCTATATTAGTTATCTATTGCTATATAACAAATTACATCAAAAGTTAGAAGCTCAAAAGAGTAAGCATTATCTCCGTGAGTCAGGAATCCAGATCGTGGCTTAGCTGAGTGTCTGCCTAAAGCCTCTGCCAAGGCTATAATCAAGGTGTCAGCAGGGGCTGCAGTCTCCTCTGAAGACTTGACTTGGGGAAGATGTTTTCAAACTCACTTACATGGTTGCAGGATTCAGTTGCCCACTGGCTACTGGCCTCCTTCATTTCCTTGCCATGTGGGTCTCTCCACAGCACAGCTCATAGCAAGGCCATTGAATTGCCACCAAGGAAGCTAGCAAGTGGGTAAGAGAGAATGACAGCAAGATGGAAAGCACAAACTCTTTGTAACCTCATCTTGGAAATGACATCTTATCCCCTTTGTCATATTCTATGCATTAGGCACTAGGTCCAGCCCATGGTCAAAAGGAGAGGATTTCGGGAAGTAGTAAATACAGCGAGGAGGGTTCAGTGGGAAACCATTTCAGAGGCTGCCTACCACATTATCTGTGCGATTTGGCACTAATTAGGTGTTATTATGAAAGTTAAACTTGGGCTGTACTCTAAGTAACTCATATGTTAACTGACTATAACTTGGATACACTGAGAAAAATCTAGAATTATTGTTGAAAATTGGTTTAGGAAAATATTATTGTAAGTTCTAAGCTCAGTTAAATTTTGCTAAAATAATTCTTTGAAAATCTACTAACTAGATTTACCCTAGTCCCTTTTCCAATCTCTAAATTGTAGGAATGATTGGATTATTTGTTACAATAATTCCTGAGAAATTTTAGAAATGTTGTCACTAAGAATAATGTCTTATTTTTATTATATTTTCAAAGTTGAAAATTAAGACATTATTCACAATTATATATTTATATAAAACATAAATTATATTTTCAACTTTGAAAATATAATAAACCAATGGTATTGATTTTAGATGTCTGTCCTGTATTAAACAACTTTCCTCAGTTTTATCATTACTAAATTTTCTTTTGATTTTACTTGGTTTTCTATTTAGAGGGTCCTATTACATGTAAATAAATAAGACTGTTTTTGCGACCCTTCTGATCCTTAGGCATCTTATTTTTTTCTTACTATCTTGCATTAACAAATACCTCCAATGTTATGTTAAGCATTTGTAGTAATAGGGTACATCTTTCTTTCCTTTTCCCATTTTTAAGTGAGTGAATTTGTAGTATCTGTCGTGACTCATGACACAACTTTTCCATTTTAATTATGTGGATTGATGATTCCAAGGCCTTAATGGAGATGTGGCCAGATTTTTGTTGTTATTTACTTGGCCCATAAGTAAACTAAACTAAACTAAGTAATTACAGCTTTCCCAATGAGTATGATTGTTACTTTAATAGAATATCTGTTATTAAAATACCATTATATTCCTTGGAAAAAATATATTCGTTATTACGAATTTTCACACATTATTAGATTTAATTGCATTTGGAAGAGTTCTCTTGTATAAGATCAAGATTATCTGTTCCTCTAAAGTTAGGTAGAACTCACATTTAAAACCATCTGGTGTTGAAGCTGTTTTAGGGGAGAAGTCTTTGATTAACTTTTAATTATTTCCCTGATGATTGTCTCATTCAAGGTTTTTGCTTAATCCTGTAACAATTTTGGTATTATATATAACTCCAGAAATTCATCAATTTTATCTAAGTTCTCCAATTTTTAGCCATTCTGTTGTTCATGATATACTTTGATCATACATTGATCCCTGTGTTATTCAAGGTCACCTGCAGATCCTTTAAAAGTAACTTTTTGTTTATTGATCTCTGATGTTTTATGCTTTTGATTTCATAAAATTTGAGGCTTTATAAATATTTACTATGTGCAGGTGTATTCTAGGTTTTGGAGTGTGAAAATCTATATGCATTTATGGGTTTGAGCTTATCAATCAGAGAGTTTTTTTCAAACCGTCTAAATCCTTCCTCTTTTTATTTTTTGTCTTTTGGATCAGTTTTTCTTCTTGAAAGTGTGTCCAAAACTCCAACTGCAATTGTTGATTTATGCACCTTTTTCTCAGAATGTATCTGTCTTCATCATAGAGGTGGATGTATACATTTCATTTTCTTTTTTATTTCCTCTTTCTTGTTTTTGTTCGTTTGTTTGTTTGTTTGTTTTGAGACGGAGTCTTGCTCTGTCGCCCAGGCTGGAGTGCAGTGGCGCTATCTCTGCAAGCTCCGCCTCCTGGGTTCACGCCATTCTCCTGCCTCAACCTCCTGAGTAGCTGGGACTACAGGCGCCCGCTAACACGCCTGGCTAACTTTTTGTATTTTTTAGTAGAGATGGGGTTTCACTGTGTTAGCCAGGATGTTCTCCATCTCCTGACCTCGTGATCTGCCCATCTTGTTCTCCCAAAGTGTTGGGATTACAGGCATGAGCCACTGCGCCCAGCATCTCCTTTCTTCATATGTATGTGTATATATACACATATATGGTATTCATATCTTTTACTTACATAGTTTAACAACTTATAATTTCTTTGTTATTAAAATTGATAATAAAAATGGATGTCTCATGTATTTTCAACTAGCTGTTTTCTTTTGTTTCAAATATCTCTAATAGACAATGTATTACAGCATCTTATTTCCTGAGAGTCTCTGTGATTTGATGTGCATGTTTAACCTATTTACATTTACTTAAATTACTGTCATACTATGATTTATTCTTGTCATCCTATTGCATATTTTCTATGTATCAACCTTTCTTCTTGTTTATTTTTTCTCCATTCTTGCATTTTATTGAAGAGAGCAATTTTTTTTCTTCTGTTTTGAAAGCCAAATTTTAACGTCTATCTTTCAGTTGGTTTCTGCTAATACCTTAAATTTCAGACTTAATTTTTTAGAGCTCATTATTATTTCTTCCCTGTGTAAAAGACAAGAACCTGAACATACTGTCCAAATCCTCTGATTTCTGCATGTTCCTGACCCTCAGCATATATTGGTATAATCTGGAACATTTCATCTGTGTTAGTACAGGGCTCTGCTGTACAATGTAGTAGCCACTAACCACACATGGCTATTCAAATTTAAATTTATTAAGGTTAAATAAAATTTAAAACTCAGTTCCTTGGCCACACTAGCCATACTTTTCATCCAACAGCCACACATGGCTATGGTCTATCATATTGAACAGTACAAATAGAATATCTCCATCAAAACAGAAAGGCCCATTGGACGACACTCTTATACACATATACAAATAATCACACACAATATTTCTTTTTTGCCATTGCTTATTTGGTTGACCTTAAACTTTCTTTTTGGAATTATTTGTTTTCTCTGTAGAAGTACTCCCTGTAGAATGTTTTCTGTAAGATTTTATGTGCCCTCGCCTTCTATGTGTCTCTTGAAATGCCTTTATTTTATTCAACCTAGTGTTTAAATAATAGTTTATCTGTATATAAAACTCTAGGTCTAAGTTTATTTTTCTTCAATATTTTTCAAATGTCACTTTAATATTCTAGTGTTACCATTCAAAAATTTGATGCTAATTATCTTAATTTACAATGAAATATTATTTCTTATTCAGATGCTTTTAGAATTTTGCCTTTGTTATTTTAAATTAAGTGTAATGTGTCAAGATTTGAGGTTTTGCTTATCAATGTGGTCTGTTGTTTTATGGAGCCATTTTGATCTGACTTTCTATCTTTCTTTAATTCTCAATTATATCTCAACAACAATGAAAACAATTCTATACTCTATTTAGTTTTATGTAGTAAATCAAAATTGACCTTTCCACTTTTAGTTTCTCTTTATTTTAGTTCTTAGATATTTTCCATCTTTTATGCCTTTATTTAAACTTGGGGAAAATTTTCCAACCAGATTCTTTATCTTACTGATTTATTCTTTGTCTATATACATTTTGCTATTATATGTTTTATTCCCATCCTCATTTGATTCTTTGTCTTCACTGATTGTTCCTGCTTCATATTTGCAATATCCTTTCCTGCTCTCTGAAGATATTTATTTTATTTCCAGTTCTTGTTTTATCTGGACCATTAATTCAGCTCTCTCTGATAAGATTCTTCAGTATCTATTTTTCTTTTAAAGGGCTAGTACTCCTCCTCAGATATATTTTTTTCTCTCTTCCTATGAGCTCAAATTCTGCTGGGAGTATGGACTACCTCAGCTAGTAGTATTCCTTTAGGAGTAGAGATGGAAGCTTAGACCTAGTATGTGCCCTCCTGCTCCTCTTTTTAGGATATACGGAAATGACGTAAGGAAATAACCTGTATTATTGCAAACCTGGAATGCTCTATTTCTACCTCAGTTCCCAACACTGCCACCCAGTGAACTTCCCATTTCTTCTGCTCAGGCGCTGCGCTTTCTGGGGTTGGCTTGATTCTGTTGTAATTATCTCATTCATTAGCAAAGAGGAAGCCGGCCTTCCCATGTGAAATGGTGGCGTCCGGGGTTCCTCCACAGCACTCGCATGTCGCCTGCCTCTTCCATGTGAAATGGTGGCGTCCAGGGTTCCTCCTCAGCACACGCATGTCGCCTGCCTCTTCATGTGAAATGGTGGCGTCCGGGGTTCCTCTACAGCACTCGCATGTCGCCTGCCTCTTCCATGTGAAATGGTGGCGTCCAGGGTTCCTCTCCAGCACTCGCATGTCACCTGCCACTTCCATGTGAAATGGTGGCATCCAGGGTTCCTCCTCAGCAATCGCATGTCGCCTGCCTCTTCATGTGAAATGGTGGCGTCCAGGGTTCCTCCTCAGCACTCGCACGTCGCCTGCCTCTTCCATGTGAAATGGTGGCGTCCAGGGTTCCTCCTCAGCACTCGCATGTCGCCTGCCTCTTCATGTGAAATGGTGGCGTCCGGGGTTCCTCTCCAGCACTCGCATGTCGCCTGCCTCTTCCATGTGAAATGGTGGCGTCCGGAGTTCCTCTTCAGCACTCGCATGTCGCCTGCCTCTTCATGTGAAATGGTGCGGTCCGGGGCTCCTCCTCAGCACTCGCATGTCGCCTGCCTCTTCATGTGAAATGGTGGCGTCCAGGGTTCCTCCACAACACTCGCATGTCGCCTGCCTCTTCCATGTGAAATGGTGGCGTCCGGGGTTCCTCCTCAGCACTCGCATGTCGCCTGCCTCTTCATGTGAAATGGTGGCGTCCGGGGTTCCTCTCCAGCACTCGCATGTCGCCTGCCTCTTCCATGTGAAATAGTGGCGTCAAGGGTTCCTCCTCAGCACTCGCATGTCGCCTGCCTCTTCCATGTGAAATGGTGGCGTCCGGGGTTCCTCTCCAGCACTCGCATGTCGCCTGCCTCTTCCATGAGAAATGGTGGCGTCCAGGGTTCCTCCTCAGCACTCGCATGTTGCCTGCCTCTTCATGTGAAATGGTGGCGTCCAGGGTTCCTCCACAGCACTCGTATGTCGCCTGCCTCTTCCATGTGAAATGGTGGCGTCCAGGGTTCCTCCTCAGCACTCGCATGTCGCCTGCCTCTTCCATGTGAAATGGTGGCGTCCGGGGTTCCTCTCCAGCACTCGCATGTCGCCTGCCTCTTCCATGTGAAATGGTGGCGTCCGGGGTTCCTCTCCAGCACTCCCATGTCGCCTGCCTCTTCCATGTGAAATGGTGGCGTCCGGGGTTCCTCCTCAGCACTCGCATGTCGCCTGCCTCTTCATGTGAAATGGTGGCGTCCGGGGTTCCTCTCCAGCACTCGCATGTCGCCTGCCTCTTCCATGTGAAATGGTGGCGCCCAGGGTTCCTCCTCAGCACTCGCATGTCGCCTGCCTCTTCATGTGAAATGGTGGCGTCCGGGGTTCCTCTCCAGCACTCGCATGTCGCCTGCCTCTTCATGTGAAATGGTGGCGTCCGGGGTTCCTCTCCAGCACTCGCATGTCGCCTGCCTCTTCCATGTGAAATAGTGGCGTCAAGGGTTCCTCCTCAGCACTTGCATGTCGCCTGCCTCTTCCATGTGAAATGGTGGCGTCCAGGGTTCCTCTCCAGCACTCGCATGTCGCCTGCCTCTTCCATGTGAAATGGTGGCGTCCAGGGTTCCTCTCCAGCACTCGCATGTCACCTGCCACTTCCATGTGAAATGGTGGCATCCAGGGTTCCTCCTCAGCAATCGCATGTCGCCTGCCTCTTCATGTGAAATGGTGGCGTCCAGGGTTCCTCCTCAGCACTCGCACGTCGCCTGCCTCTTCCATGTGAAATGGTGGCGTCCAGGGTTCCTCCTCAGCACTCGCATGTCGCCTGCCTCTTCATGTGAAATGGTGGCGTCCGGGGTTCCTCTCCAACACTCGCATGTCGCCTGCCTCTTCCATGTGAAATGGTGGCGTCCGGGGTTCCTCTCCAGCACTCGCATGTCGCCTGCCTCTTCCATGTGAAATGGTGGCGTCCGGGGTTCCTCTCCAGCACTCGCATGTCGCCTGCCTCTTCATGTGAAATGGTGGCGTCCGGGGTTCCTCTCCAGCACTCGCATGTCGCCTCCCTCTTCCATGTGAAATGGTGGCGTCCGGGGTTCCTCTTCAGCACTCGCATGTCGCCTGCCACTTCATGTGAAATGGTGCGGTCCGGGGTTCCTCCTCACCACTCGCATGTCGCCTGCCTCTTCATGTGAAATGGTGGCGTCCGGGGTTCCTCCACAACACTCGCATGTCGCCTGCCTCTTCCATGTGAAATGGTGGCGTCCAGGGTTCCTCCTCAGCACTCGCATGTCGCCTGCCTCTTCCATGTGAAATGGTGGCGTCCAGGGTTCCTCCTCAGCACTCGCATGTCGCCTGCCTCTTCATGTGAAATGGTGGCGTCCAGGGTTCCTCCTCAGCACTCGCACGTCGCCTGCCTCTTCCATGTGAAATGGTGGCGTCCAGGGTTCCTCCTCAGCACTCGCATGTCGCCTGCCTCTTCATGTGAAATGGTGGCGTCTGGGGTTCCTCTCCAGCACTCGCATGTCGCCTGCCTCTTCATGTGAAATGGTGGCGTCCGGGGTTCCTCCTCAGCACTCGCATGTCGCCTGCCTCTTCATGTGAAATGGTGGCGTCCAGGGTTCCTCTCCAGCACTCGCATGTCGCCTGCCTCTTCCATGTGAAATAGTGGCGTCAAGGGTTCCTCCTCAGCACTCGCATGTCGCCTGCCTCTTCCATGTGAAATGGTGGCGTCCGGGGTTCCACTCCAGCACTCGCATGTCGCCTGCCTCTTCCATGTGAAATGGTGGCGTCCAGGGTTCCTCCTCAGCACTCGCATGTCGCCTGCCTCTTCATGTGAAATGGTGGCGTCCGGGGTTCCTCCACAGCACTCGTATGTCGCCTGCCTCTTCCATGTGAAATGGTGGCGTCCAGGGTTCCTCCTCAGCACTCGCATGTCGCCTGCCTCTTCCATGTGAAATGGTGGCGTCCGGGGTTCCTCTCCAGCACTCGCATGTCGCCTGCCTCTTCCATGTGAAATGGTGGCGTCCGGGTTCCTCTCCAGCACTCGCATGTTGCCTGCCTCTTCCATGTGAAATGGTGGCGTCCGGGGTTCCTCCTCAGCACTCGCATGTCGCCTGCCTCTTCATGTGAAATGGTGGTGTCCGGGGTTCCTCTCCAGCACTCGCATGTCGCCTGCCTCTTCCATGTGAAATGGTGGCGTCCAGGGTTCCTCCTCAGCACTCGCATGTCGCCTGCCTCTTCCATGTGAAATGGTGGCGTCCGGGGTTCCTCTCCAGCACTCGCATGTCACCTCCCTCTTCCATGTGAAATGGTGGCGTCTGGGGTTCCTCTCCAGCACTCGCATGTCGCCTGCCTCTTCATGTGAAATGGTGGCGTCCGGGGTTCCTCCTCAGCACTCGCATGTCGCCTGCCTCTTCATGTGAAATGGTGGCGTCCGGGGTTCCTCCACAACACTCGCATGTCGCCTGCCTCTTCCATGTGAAATGGTGGTGTCCAGGGTTCCTCCTCAGCACTCGCATGTCGCCTGCCTCTTCATGTGAAATGGTGGCGTCCAGGGTTCCTCCTCAGCACTCGCATGTCGCCTGCCTCTTCATGTGAAATGGTGGCGTCCAGGGTTCCTCCTCAGCACTCGCATGTCGCCTGCCTCTTCCATGTGAAATGGTGGCGTCCAGGGTTCCTCCTCAGCACTCGCATGTCGCCTGCCTCTTCATGTGAAATGGTGGCGTCTGGGGTTCCTCTCCAGCACTCGCATGTCGCCTGCCTCTTCATGTGAAATGGTGGCGTCCGGGGTTCCTCCTCAGCACTCGCATGTCGCCTGCCTCTTCATGTGAAATGGTGGCGTCCGGGGTTCCTCTCCAGCACTCGCATGTCGCCTGCCTCTTCATGTGAAATGGTGGCGTCCAGGGTTCCTCCTCAGCACTCGCATGTCGCCTGCCTCTTCATGTGAAATGGTGGCGTCCGGGGTTCCTCTCCAGCACTCGCATGTCGCCTGCCTCTTCCATGTGAAATGGTGGCGTCCGGGGTTCCTCCTCAGCACTCGCATGTCGCCTGCCTCTTCATGTGAAATGGTGGCGTCTGGGGTTCCTCTCCAGCACTCCCATGTCGCCTGCCTCTTCATGTGAAATGGTGGCGTCCGGGGTTCCTCTCCAGCACTCGCATGTCGCCTGCCTCTTCCATGTGAAATGGTGGCGTCCGGGGTTCCTCTCCAGCACTCGCATGTCGCCTGCCTCTTCATGTGAAATGGTGGCATCCGGGGTTCCTCCTCAGCACTCGCATGTCGCCTGCCTCTTCCATGTGAAATAGTGGCGTCCAGGGTTCCTCCTCAGCACTCGCATGTCGCCTGCCTCTTCCATGTGAAATGGTGGCGTCCGGGGTTCCTCTCCAGCACTCGCATGTCGCCTGCCTCTTCCATGTGAAATGGTGGCGTCCGGGGTTCCTCTCCGGCACTCGCATGTCGCCTGCCTCTTCATGTGAAATGGTGGCGTCCGGGGTTCCTCCTCAGCACTCACATGTCGCCTGCCTCTTCCATGTGAAATGGTGGCGTCCAGGGTTCCTCCTCAGCACTCGCATGTCGCCTGCCTCTTCATGTGAAATGGTGGCATCCCGGGTTCCTCTCCAGCACTCGCATGTCGCCTGCCTCTTCCATGTGAAATGTTGGCGTCCAGGATTCCTCCTCAGCACTCGCATGTCGCCTGCCTCTTCATGTGAAATGGTGGCGTCCGGGGTTCCTCTCCAGCACTCGCATGTCGCCTGCCTCTTCCATGTGAAATGGTGGCGTCCAGGGTTCCTCCTCAGCACTCGCATGTCGCCTGCCTCTTCATGTGAAATGGTGGCGTCCGGGGTTCCTCTCCAGCACTCGCATGTCGCCTGCCTCTTCCATGTGAAATGGTGGCGTCCGGGGTTCCTCTCCAGCACTCACATGTCGCCTGCCTCTTCGATGTGAAATGGTGGCGTCCGGGGTTCCTCTCCAGCACTCGCATGTCGCCTGCCTCTTCCAGGTGAAATGGTGGCGTCCAGGGTTCCTCCTCAGCACTCGCATGTCGCCTGCCTCTTCATGTGAAATGGTGGTGTCCGGGGTTCCTCTCCAGCACTCGCATGTCGCCTGCCTCTTCATGTGAAATGGTGGTGTCCGGGGTTCCTCCTCAGCACTCGCATGTCGCCTGCCTCTTCCATGTGAAATGGTGGCATCCGGGGTTCCTCCTCAGCACTCGCATGTCGCCTGCCTCTTCATGTGAAATGGTGGTGTCCGGGGTTCCTCCTCAGCACTCGCATGTCGCCTGCCTCTTCCATGTGAAATGGTGGCGTCCGGGGTTCCTCTCCAGCACTCGCATGTCGCCTGCCTCTTCATGTGAAATGGTGGCGTCCGCGGTTCCTCCACAGCACTCGCATGTCGCCTGCCTCTTCCATGTGAAATGGTGGCATCCAGGGTTCCTCCTCAGCACTCGCATGTCGCCTGCCTCTTCATGTGAAATGGTGGCGTCCAGGGTTCCTCCTCAGCACTCCCATGTCTCCTGCCTCTTCCATGTGAAATGGTGGCGTCCAGGGTTCCTCCTCAGCACTCGCATGTCGCCTGCCTCTTCATGTGAAATGGTGGCGTCTGGGGTTCCTCTCCAGCACTTGCATGTCGCCTGCCTCTTCATGTGAAATGGTGGCGTCCGGGGTTCCTCTCCAGCACTCGCATGTCGCCTGCCTCTTCCATGTGAAATAGTGGCGTCCGGGGTTCCTCTCCAGCACTCGCATGTCGCCTGCCTCTTCATGTGAAATGGTGGCGTCCGGGGTTCCTCCTCAGCACTCTCATGTCGCCTGCCTCTTCCATGTGAAATGGTGGCGTCCAGGGTTCCTCCTCAGCACTCGCATGTCGCCTGCCTCTTCATGTGAAATGGTGGCGTCCGGGGTTCCTCTCCAGCACTCGCATGTCGCCTGCCTCTTCCATGTGAAATAGTGGCGTCCAGGGTTCCTCCTCAGCACTCGTATGTCTCCTGCCTCTTCCATGTGAAATGGTGGCGTCCAGGGTTCCTCTCCAGCACTCGCATGTCGCCTGCCTCTTCCATGTGAAATGGTGGCGTCCAGGGTTCCTCCTCAGCACTCGCATGTCGCCTGCCTCTTCCATGTGAAATGGTGGCGTCCGGGGTTCCTCTCCAGCACTCGCATGTCGCCTGCCTCTTCCATGTGAAATGGTGGCGTCCGGGGTTCCTCTCCAGCACTTGCATGTCGCCTGCCTCTTCCATGTGAAATGGTGGCGTCCGGGGTTCCTCCTCAGCACTCGCATGTCGCCTGCCTCTTCATGTGAAATGGTGGTGTCCGGGGTTCCTCTCCAGCACTCGCATGTCGCCTGCCTCTTCCATGTGAAATGGTGGCATCCGGGGTTCCTCTCCAGCACTCGCATGTCGCCTGCCTCTTCCATGTGAAATGGTGGCGCCCGGGGTTCCTCCTCAGCACTCGCATGTCGCCTGCCTCTTCATGTGAAATGGTGGCGTCCGGGGTTCCTCTCCAGCACTCGCATGTCGCCTGCCTCTTCATGTGAAATGGTGGCGTCCGGGGTTCCTCTCCAGCACTCGCATGTCGCCTGCCTCTTCATGTGAAATGGTGGCGTCTGGGGTTCCTCTCCAGCACTCCCATGTCGCCTGCCTCTTCCATGTGAAATGGTGGCGTCCAGGGTTCCTCCTCAGCACTCGCATGTCGCCTGCCTCTTCATGTGAAATGGTGGCGTCTGGGGTTCCTCTCCAGCACTCGCATGTCGCCTGCCTCTTCATGTGAAATGGTGGCGTCCGGGGTTCCTCCTCAGCACTCGCATGTCGCCTGCCTCTTCATGTGAAATGGTGGCGTCCGGGGTTCCTCTCCAGCACTCGCATGTCGCCTGCCTCTTCCATGTGAAATAGTGGCGTCAAGCGTTCCTCCTCAGCACTCGCATGTCGCCTGCATCTTCCATGTGAAATGGTGGCGTCCGGGGTTCCTCTCCAGCACTCGCATGTCGCCTGCCTCTTCCATGTGAAATGGTGGGGTCCAGGGTTCCTCCTCAGCACTCGCATGTCGCCTGCCTCTTCCATGTGAAATAGTGGCGTCCAGGGTTCCTCCTCAGCACTCGCATGTCGCCTGCCTCTTCCATGTGAAATGGTGGCGTCCGGGGTTCCTCTCCAGCACTCGCATGTCGCCTGCCTCTTCCATGTGAAATGGTGGCGTCCGGGGTTCCTCTCCGGCACTCGCATGTCGCCTGCCTCTTCATGTGAAATGGTGGCGTCCGGGGTTCCTCCTCAGCACTCGCATGTCGCCTGCCTCTTCCATGTGAAATGGTGGAGTCCGGGGTTCCTCCTCAGCACTCGCATGTCGCCTGCCTCTTCATGTGAAATGGTGGCGTCCGGGGTTCCTCTCCAGCACTCGCATGTCGCCTGCCTCTTCATGTGAAATGGTGGCATCCAGGGTTCCTCCTCAGCACTCGCATGTCGCCTGCCTCTTCATGTGAAATGGTGGCGTCCAGGGTTCCTCCTCAGCACTCGCATGTCGCCTGCCTCTTCATGTGAAATGGTGGCGTCCAGGGTTCCTCCTCAGCACTCGCATGTCGCCTGCCTCTTCCATGTGAAATGGTGGCGTCCAGGGTTCCTCCTCAGCACTTGCATGTCGCCTGCCTCTTCATGTGAAATGGTGGCGTCTGGGGTTCCTCTCCAGCACTCGCATGTCGCCTGCCTCTTCATGTGAAATGGTGGCGTCCGGGGTTCCTCCTCAGCACTCGCATGTCGCCTGCCTCTTCATGTGAAATGGTGGCGTCCGGGGTTCCTCTCCAGCACTCGCATGTCGCCTCCCTCTTCATGTGAAATGGTGGCGTCCGGGGTTCGTCTCCAGCACTCGCATGTCGCCTGCCTCTTCCATGTGAAATGGTGGCGTCCGGGGTTCCTCTCCGGCACTCGCATGTCGCCTGCCTCTTCATGTGAAATGGTGGCGTCCGGGGTTCCTCCTCAGCACTCGCATGTCGCCTGCCTCTTCATGTGAAATGGTGGCGTCCAGGGTTCCTCCTCAGCACTCGCATGTCGCCTGCCTCTTCCATGTGAAATGGTGGCGTCCAGGGTTCCTCCTCAGCACTCGCATGTCGCCTGCCTCTTCATGTGAAATGGTGGCGTCCGGGGTTCCTCTCCAGCACTCGCATGTCGCCTGCCTCTTCCATGTGAAATGGTGGCGCCCAGGGTTCCTCCTCAGCACTCGCATGTCGCCTGCCTCTTCATGTGAAATGGTGGCGTCCGGGGTTCCTCTCCAGCACTCGCATGTCGCCTGCCTCTTCATGTGAAATGGTGGCGTCCGGGGTTCCTCTCCAGCACTCGCATGTCGCCTGCCTCTTCATGTGAAATGGTGGCGTCCGGGGTTCCTCTCCAGCACTCGCATGTCGCCTGCCTCTTCCATGTGAAATGGTGGCGTCCAGGGTTCCTCCTCAGCACTCGCATGTCGCCTGACTCTTCCATGTGAAATAGTGGCGTCCAGGGTTCCTCCTCAGCACTCGCATGTCGCCTGCCTCTTCATGTGAAATGGTGGCGTCCGGGGTTCCTCTCCAGCACTCGCATGTCGCCTGCCTCTTCCATGTGAAATAGTGGCGTCAAGGGTTCCTCCTCAGCACTCGCATGTCGCCTGCCTCTTCCATGTGAAATGGTGGCGTCCGGGGTTCCTCTCCAGCACTCGCATGTCACCTCCCTCTTCCATGTGAAATGGTGGCGTCCGGGGTTCCTCTCCAGCACTCGCATGTCGCCTGCCTCTTCCA
This sequence comes from Homo sapiens, assembly GCF_000001405.40. Taxonomy (NCBI): domain Eukaryota; kingdom Metazoa; phylum Chordata; class Mammalia; order Primates; family Hominidae; genus Homo; species Homo sapiens. The sequence continues at coordinate 186,964,754 of NC_000004.12, read as the reverse complement.
TGTGAAATGGTGGTGTCCGGGGTTCCTCTCCAGCACTCGCATGTCGCCTGCCTCTTCATGTGAAATGGTGGTGTCCGGGGTTCCTCCTCGGCACTCGCATGTCGCCTGCCTCTTCCATGTGAAATGGTGGCGTCCGGGGTTCCTCTCCAGCACTCGCATGTCGCCTGCCTCTTCATGTGAAATGGTGGCGTCCGGGGTTCCTCCACAGCACTCGCATGTCGCCTGCCTCTTCCATGTGAAATGGTGGCATCCAGGGTTCCTCCTCAGCACTCGCACGTCGCCTGCCTCTTCATGTGAAATGGTGGTGTCCGGGGTTCCTCCTCAGCACTCGCATGTCGCCTGCCTCTTCCATGTGAAATGGTGGCGTCCGGGGTTCCTCTCCAGCACTCGCATGTCGCCTGCCTCTTCATGTGAAATGGTGGCGTCTGGGGTTCCTCCACAGCACTCGCATGTCGCCTGCCTCTTCCATGTGAAATGGTGGCATCCAGGGTTCCTCCTCAGCACTCGCATGTCGCCTGCCTCTTCATGTGAAATGGTGGCGTCCAGGGTTCCTCCTCAGCACTCCCATGTCTCCTGCCTCTTCCATGTGAAATGGTGGCGTCCAGGGTTCCTCCTCAGCACTCGCATGTCGCCTGCCTCTTCATGTGAAATGGTGGCATCTGGGGTTCCTCTCCAGCACTTGCATGTCGCCTGCCTCTTCATGTGAAATGGTGGCGTCCGGGGTTCCTCTCCAGCACTCGCATGTCGCCTGCCTCTTCCATGTGAAATAGTGGCGTCCGGGGTTCCTCTCCAGCGCTCGCATGTCGCCTGCCTCTTCATGTGAAATGGTGGCGTCCGGGGTTCCTCCTCAGCACTCTCATGTCGCCTGCCTCTTCCATGTGAAATGGTGGCGTCCAGGGTTCCTCCTCAGCACTCGCATGTCGCCTGCCTCTTCATGTGAAATGGTGGCGTCCGGGGTTCCTCTCCAGCACTCGCATGTCGCCTGCCTCTTCCATGTGAAATAGTGGCGTCCAGGGTTCCTCCTCAGCACTCGTATGTCGCCTGCCTCTTCCATGTGAAATGGTTGCGTCCAGGGTTCCTCTCCAGCACTCGCATGTCGCCTGCCTCTTCCATGTGAAATGGTGGCGTCCAGGGTTCCTCCTCAGCACTCGCATGTCGCCTGCCTCTTCCATGTGAAATAGTGGCGTCCGGGGTTCCTCTCCAGCAGTCGCATGTCGCCTGCCTCTTCCATGTGAAATGGTGGCGTCCGGGGTTCCTCTCCAGCACTCGCATGTCGCCTGCCTCTTCCATGTGAAATGGTGGCGTCCAGGGTTCCTCCTCAGCACTCGCATGTCGCCTGCCTCTTCATGTGAAATGGTGGCGTCCGGGGTTCCTCTCTAGCACTCGCATGTCGCCTGCCTCTTCCATGTGAAATGGTGGCGTCCGGGGTTCCTCTCCAGCACTCGCATGTCGCCTGCCTCTTCATGTGAAATGGTGGCGTCCGGGGTTCCTCCTCAGCACTCGTATGTCGCCTGCCTCTTCATGTGAAATGGTGGTGTCCGGGGTTCCTCCACAGCACTCGCATGTCGCCTGCCTCTTCTTGTGAAATGGTGGCGTCCAGGGTTCCTCCTCAGCACTCGCATGTCGCCTGCCTCTTCATGTGAAATGGTGGCGTCCGGGGTTCCTCTCCAGCACTCGCATGTCGCCTGCCTCTTCCATGTGAAATGGTGGCGTCCATGGTTCCTCTCCAGCACTCGCATGTCGCCTGCCTCTTCCATGTGAAATAGTGGCGTCAAGGGTTCCTCCTCAGCACTCGTATGTCGCCTGCCTCTTCCATGTGAAATAGTGGCGTCCGGGGTTCCTCTCCAGCACTCGCATGTCGCCTGCCTCTTCCATGTGAAATGGTGGCGTCCGGGGTTCCTCTCCAGCACTCGCATGTCGCCTGCCTCTTCCATGTGAAATGGTGGCGTCCAGGGTTCCTCCTCAGCACTCGCATGTCGCCTGCCTCTTCATGTGAAATAGTGGCGTCCAGGGTTCCTCCTCAGCACTCGCATGTCGCCTGCCTCTTCCATGTGAAATGGTGGCGTCCGGGGTTCCTCTCCAGCACTCGCATGTCGCCTGCCTCTTCCATGTGAAATGGTGGCGTCCGGGGTTCCTCTCCGGCACTCGCATGTCGCCTGCCTCTTCATGTGAAATGGTGGCGTCCGGGGTTCCTCCTCAGCACTCGCATGTCGCCTGCCTCTTCATGTGAAATGGTGGCGTCCGGGGTTCCTCTCCAGCACTCGCATGTCGCCTGCCTCTTCATGTGAAATGGTGGCGTCCGGGGTTCCTCTCCAGCACTCGCATGTCGCCTGCCTCTTCCATGTGAAATGGTGGCGTCCGGGGTTCCTCCTCAGCACTCGCATGTCGCCTGCCTCTTCATGTGAAATGGTGGCGTCTGGGGTTCCTCTCCAGCACTCCCATGTCGCCTGCCTCTTCATGTGAAATGGTGGCATCCGGGGTTCCTCTCCAGCACTCGCATGTCGCCTGCCTCTTCCATGTGAAATGGTGGCGTCCGGGGTTCCTCTCCAGCACTCGCATGTCGCCTGCCTCTTCATGTGAAATGGTGGCGTCCGGGGTTCCTCCTCAGCACTCGCATGTCGCCTGCCTCTTCCATGTGAAATAGTGGCGTCCAGGGTTCCTCCTCAGCACTCGCATGTCGCCTGCCTCTTCCATGTGAAATGGTGGCGTCCGGGGTTCCTCTCCAGCACTCGCATGTCGCCTGCCTCTTCCATGTGAAATGGTGGCGTCCGGGGTTCCTCTCCGGCACTCGCATGTCGCCTGCCTCTTCCATGTGAAATGGTGGCGTCCAGGGTTCCTCCTCAGCACTCGCATGTCGCCTGCCTCTTCCATGTGAAATAGTGGCGTCCGGGGTTCCTCTCCAGCACTCGCATGTCGCCTGCCTCTTCCATGTGTAATGGTGGCGTCCGGGGTTCCTCTCCAGCACTTGCATGTCGCCTGCCTCTTCCATGTGAAATGGTGGCGTCCAGGGTTCCTCCTCAGCACTCGCATGTCGCCTGCCTCTTCATGTGAAATGGTGGCGTCCGGGGTTCCTCTCTAGCACTCGCATGTCGCCTGCCTCTTCCATGTGAAATGGTGGCGTCCGGGGTTCCTCTCCAGCACTCGCATGTCGCCTGCCTCTTCATGTGAAATGGTGGCGTCCGGGGTTCCTCCTCAGCACTCGCATGTCGCCTGCCTCTTCATGTGAAATGGTGGTGTCCGGGGTTCCTCCACGGCACTCGCATGTCGCCTGCCTCTTCATGTGAAATGGTGGCGTCTGGGGTTCCTCTCCAGCACTCCCATGTCGCCTGCCTCTTCATGTGAAATGGTGGCGTCCGGGGTTCCTCTCCAGCACTCGCATGTCGCCTGCCTCTTCCATGTGAAATGGTGGCGTCCGGGGTTCCTCTCCAGCACTCGCATGTCGCCTGCCTCTTCATGTGAAATGGTGGCGTCCGGGGTTCCTCCTCAGCACTCGCATGTCGCCTGCCTCTTCCATGTGAAATAGTGGCGTCCAGGGTTCCTCCTCAGCACTCGCATGTCGCCTGCCTCTTCCATGTGAAATGGTGGCGTCCGGGGTTCCTCTCCGGCACTCGCATGTCGCCTGCCTCTTCATGTGAAATGGTGGCGTCCGGGGTTCCTCCTCAGCACTCGCATGTCGCCTGCCTCTTCCATGTGAAATGGTGGCGTCCAGGGTTCCTCCTCAGCACTCGCATGTCTCCTGCCTCTTCATGTGAAATGGTGGCATCCCGGGTTCCTCTCCAGCACTCGCATGTCGCCTGCCTCTTCCATGTGAAATCTTGGCGTCCAGGATTCCTCCTCAGCACTCGCATGTCGCCTGCCTCTTCATGTGAAATGGTGGCGTCCGCGGTTCCTCCACAGCACTCGTATGTCGCCTGCCTCTTCCATGTGAAATGGTGGCGTCCAGGGTTCCTCCTCAGCACTCGCATGTCGCCTGCCTCTTCCATGTGAAATGGTGGCTTCCGGGGTTCCTCTCCAGCACTCGCATGTCGCCTGCCTCTTCCATGTGAAATGGTGGCGTCCGGGGTTCCTCTCCAGCACTCGCATGTCGCCTGCCTCTTCCATGTGAAATGGTGGCGTCCAGGGTTCCTCCTCAGCACTCGCATGTCGCCTGCCTCTTCATGTGAAATGGTGGTGTCCGGGGTTCCTCTCCAGCACTCGCATGTCGACTGCCTCTTCCATGTGAAATGGTGGCATCCGGGGTTCCTCTCCAGCACTCGCATGTCGCCTGCCTCTTCATGTGAAATGGTGGCGTCCGGGGTTCCTCTCCAGCACTCGCATGTCGCCTGCCTCTTCCATGTGAAATGGTGGCGTCCGGGGTTCCTCTCCAGCACTCGCATGTCGCCTGCCTCTTCATGTGAAATGGTGGCGTCCGGGGTTCCTCTCCAGCACTCGCATGTCGCCTGCCTCTTCCATGTGAAATGGTGGCGTCCGGAGTTCCTCTTCAGCACTCGCATGTCGCCTGCCTCTTCATGTGAAATGGTGCGGTCCGGGGCTCCTCCTCAGCACTCGCATGTCGCCTGCCTCTTCATGTGAAATGGTGGCGTCCAGGGTTCCTCCACAACACTCGCATGTCGCCTGCCTCTTCCATGTGAAATGGTGGCGTCCAGGGTTCCTCCTCAGCACTCGCATGTCGCCTGCCTCTTCATGTGAAATAGTGGCGTCCGGGGTTCCTCTCCAGCACTCGCATGTCGCCTGCCTCTTCCATGTGAAATGGTGGCGTCCGGGGTTCCTCTCCAGCACTCGCATGTCGCCTGCCTCTTCCATGTGAAATGGTGGCGTCCAGGGTTCCTCCTCAGCACTCGCATGTCGCCTGCCTCTTCATGTGAAATGGTGGCGTCCGGGGTTCCTCTCTAGCACTCGCATGTCGCCTGCCTCTTCCATGTGAAATGGTGGCGTCCGGGGTTCCTCTCCAGCACTCGCATGTCGCCTGCCTCTTCATGTGAAATGGTGGCGTCCGGGGTTCCTCCTCAGCACTCGCATGTCGCCTGCCTCTTCATGTGAAATGGTGGCGTCCAGGGTTCCTCCTCAGCACTCCCATGTCGCCTGCCTCTTCATGTGAAATGGTGGCGTCCAGGGTTCCTCCTCAGCACTCGCATGTCGCCTGCCTCTTCCATGTGAAATGGTGGCGTCCATGGTTCCTCTCCAGCACTCGCATGTCGCCTGCCTCTTCATGTGAAATGGTGGCGTCCGGGGTTCCTCTCCAGCACTCTCATGTCGCCTGCCTCTTCCATGTGAAATAGTGGCGTCCAGGGTTCCTCCTCAGCACTCGCATATCACCTGCCTCTTCCATGTGAAATGGTGGCGTCCGGGGTTCCTCTCCAGCACTCGCATGGTGCCTGCCTTTTCCATGTGAAATGGTGGCGTCCGGGGTTCCTCCTCAGCACTCGCATGTCGCCTCCCTCTTCCTCATGTGCCGTCCTGGGGATGCTGTGTTTCCCCACCTGCAGGGATGGGGGAAAACAATGCTCCCTCTGAGGCAACGAAGGATGAAAACCTTAGGACAACTAGAAAGCTCCTTCCCACAGTGTCCCCTCATTAGTGACAGCTGGTTCTCTTCGGGTATGGGCTGCTCTCTCCCAGAAAATCACCTAACACCTTCTGCTACCGCAAGAGCTGTACTGATTCTGTTAGCAGTCATTCTCCCAGTTGCTTATGTAGCATTTCAGGTTGAGTTTAAGGAAGGGGGTCAGACTCCCAAGCTAGTGTGCTGTCTTTTCCAGAAGTCTCAGTACACGAGTCAAAGTTTACACTGATCTGATTCAAATGTGGCCGTAGGCCCACCTAAATAAAGAACAAGTGATGACTTCATGTGAAAAAGTTCCAGGAAATAAAGCACTCCACAACCTGGAGGGAAACTTATTTATCCCCAAATCCACTGAAAACTGGACCAGGAAGAACTCCACTTGGAAAAATCTAAAATGGCCTATCAATTCCTGGCCTCTGTTATTCCAGATTTTGAAAGCAAAAACATTTGTAATTTTTCCCAAATTATAAATAGAGAATACTATTGCAGCCCCTCAAAAAAAAAAAAAATCACGCCTTTACCATCAAGATAGTAGAAATAAATTACTGGCAATTGAAGACAGCAGTAATAATCACTAAGTCATCAGCAAGTTTTATACTTTTACTAATCAGTTTCAACCAATGTTTATGTGCCAGGCAGATGTTTTGTACTGAGTATGTTTTCCTACATATTTGTTGGCAGTCAGCCTGAGAAGCGTCCTCAGAGATAAGGAAAATTGAAAAGAAACTGTGACTTGTTCAAGATCACCCAGGTAGTAAATGCTGGAGACGTTGAAGTCCAGGTGGAAGTCTCTTTCATCCTGACTCACTTGCATTTTTTTATGGAAATGGCTGTGAGATACACATCATAAGATCAGCAAAATTGCTCAGGAAATATTTACATCTGTCAAAAAGCTGTCTTGGATGCACACCTGGAATCCATGTGTTTTGGCTTGATTTTTTATTCATTTCTTTTTTTGTCCTGAAAGCTTTTTTTTAACCTGCATATCATTGCAGAAACATATTGTTACCTCTCTGGGAGTAAATGTGTGGTTTCAGGATGAGTTCATACAAAGGGAGAATCTGGGCTCTGTGGTTTCTCTTGTGTGGGCATTCTTCAGGAATCTTTTATTTAAGAAATAAATAAAAGCCTTTTCTATAGTTTAGATATTGGAACAGGAACTAGGGCGAATCCAGTTAGTAGCTTTCAATGAATTATTTTAGCAAAACTTAACTGAGCTTAGAATTAAAATCTTTTATTAGCCCAGTTTTCAACTATTATATCCGATTTTTCTTAGTGTATCCTAGTTATAGTCAGGTAATAAATGAGTTATCAGAGTAAAGCCAAGTGAAAGTCTCATAATAACATTAATGAATCAAAATAGAAAAATATACAATTACATATTTTGCATATTCAAACATTAAGGTGGGAGTTTTTCATCTGAAACAAAAATGTACCTCAGAAAAGAGTAATTGTCTTCCATTTGTGATCTTACAAAATGATTTACCTTAAAGGATGCCATCTTAGATACTTTATTATGAACAACAAAATATGGCTTATGAAAGACAAATCCTGAAATGACCTCAGTCTTTGCTAGTTGATTGTTGCTTATAAAAGTCACCCTTCAGAATTCGCTAAACAGATATAATCATTATAATCATTATTCCTCCAGATATTTAACCTCACACATGTAAGTGAATGTTGCAAACAGGCATGTAAAAAGATGAATGAAAAAGTAATTTTTAATGTTGTGTGAATGGGCAGCTACAGCATGGGATACAATTTCCAATGACATCACATATATTATTTAAAAAACTACTTCTCAAAAAAATCAATGGATTATGACGTGGGAAAAATGTCATAGGAGAGAGCTCAGAAAGTAGTTCTGGTGATGATGAAGATCCCCTATTTAGAGCCACACATCATGAGCCAAACTAAATTGTTTTACCAAAGTGAGAAGTCGAAAAAAATACTGTTCAAATGTTATCTTAGATAATAAAGGAATTTTAAATTATGGATACAACTAAATTTATTAAATATTAAATTAATTAACTGTATTGATTATTTTATCTAAATCTCAATATTCATATGTTCAAGATGGCCCAAAAAAAGAAAAAAACTTCAGGAACTTCTCATCAAGAGTGTTTTATATTCGAGGTCAACTAATATTTGGGCATCTGCACTAAATCTCCAGATTTCTGTCATATCTCAAGTCATGCAGCACAGCCCAGCAGAAGAAGCCATCATGCCATCTGCCCCAGAAGCAGTAGTTAGTTACCCCGAGAGATCAGAAAGGAAGATAAACACAATCAGATGGAGAGCATGCTGCAGGCTTCACATCAAAACTTTTGTTGGCTTTTGCCCATTCAATGAGAACACTTGGACACAGGAAGGGGAACATCACACACCGGGGCCTGTTGTGGGGTGGGGGGAGGGGGGAGGGATAGCACTAGGAGAAATACCTAATGTAAATGACGAGTTAATGGGTGCAGCACACCAACATGGCACATGTATACATATGTAACAAACCTGCACGTTGTGCACATGTACCCTAGAACTTAAAGTATAATAAAAAAAACTATATATATATATATATATAAATTAAAAAATAAAAAAACCTTTTGTTGGTTCACACGACTGAACCAATGTATTCGCCATGTTAATAGTTGAGTTCTAAATAAGATTATCTTAATTAAATTCAAATAAATTAAAAGAGAATGAACATCAAACCAGTGGCCATGCAAAGTATGTTGTTGTTTCTCACTGGGTATGTAAATGTCCTCAAGAGCAAAAAAGATCATTAGACAACAAGATCCTACCCACTTAGGAAAAACAAGAGAATGTAGATTAGAAGGTAGGTAGGAAATCTCACCTTTCCCCCAAAGTCAGCAACTGACAGAATGAAGATGTGATTCACAAGTGTGATCTGCAACATGTTATAAAAAGGAAATCCATCATCAGGGCTGTTAGAAGAGCACTGATGACAAAAACATCACTAAAACTGCCTGCTAATATTTAATGGCCAATGAAATAAAGTCTAAAATCAACTTTATAAAATTAGATCCACCATCACAACTTGATCCGACTCCATTCAACCTTTCCAGTTTTTCTCAGCAAAATTCACATCTTATCTTGGACCAGGGTTTCCGGTTTTGTTTTGCTTTTTTCTAGATGGAGTTTCGCTCTTGTTGCCCAGGCTGGAGTGCAATGGCATGATCTCGGCTCACCGCAACCTCCGCCGCTGGGGTTCAAGCAATTCTCCTGCCTCAGACTCCTGAGCAGCTGTGATTACAGTCATGTGCCACCACGCCCGGCTAATTTTGTATATTTAGTAGAGATGGGTTTGCTCCATGTTGGTCAGGCTGGTCTCAAACTCCTGACCTCAGGTGATCCACCCGCCTCGGCCTCCCAAAGTGCTGGGATTACAGGCATGAGCCACTGCGTCTGGCCTTAGACCAGGGTTTCTTAACTATGACACTATTGACATTGTGGGCCCAATAATTCTTAAATGTTGGGGCTGTCTTGTGCCTTGTAGGATATTTAGCTGCATGGCTGGCCTCTCCCCACTACATGCCAGTAGCATCCCCCTCCTCAGTTGTGACAACCCCAGTTATCTCTAGCTACCAATAAATGTCCTCTGGGAAGTAAAATCACACTTGGCTGAGAATTGACCTAGACATTACATGTCAATATGAAAATGTCAGTTATGGCTGCTACTATATTTTCTGGCTAATGAATTCTGAATAAGAAAAGTATGGGATGTGGGAAGAGAAGGCTGGCATGAGTAAGGTTAGGGGTGGGAGTGAAGATGGTAGAGGCAATTATAGACTGCCTCTCCTTCTCCCTTCTCCCTTATGGTCTTGTAAAGCCTTCTGCAGAAAGAGAACCTGAGTTAGATTTAGTTCTAAGCAACAAACTAGTTCACCCCAACGCTGGGTACACCTGGGTCCTGGCATCTTCCTACATTTGGCCTCACGATGTTTCTGGATGGCTGCATCCTAAATGTTACCCAAGAGCTCTGGAGTCCACTGTGGAAGCAGGGCTCAGCTGCCCTTCCGTCCATCTGTTCTGCTAACCGTGGAAACTTGTTCCCACCCTCGAAGGTGTCCTGACAAACATCTCTAAACAGGAAATAATCACTGCTGCATCTGCCCTTTCTTCACGTACATGCCCACAATTATTAAGGCCTCCTTCTATGATCTGATGCCTCTCAAATACTCATACTCATGCCCAGCAATCAGAAAACGACCCTCCTTAGGAAAGGGAATTGCAACATAGGTCCCATGTTTGGTGACAGTGGACTTCACTTGTTATTTATCTAGGTGTTAAAGAAACAGAATTGATGTCACGTGGACTTTATTAGTTCTGCTGGCCTTTTCTTTTCCAAGTTCACAAAATTGAAAGCTGTTTAAGTAAAATCAAGTGGTCTGAGCTAACCTCCCACTTCCCTCTCCATCTGTGGAGTATTTGCTTCCAGATATACTCAGGCTGTTCCAATTTCTGTGGGCTGACATTGGCCCAGTTCACCGACTGCGGTGTCAAACACACAGAAGCAAGCAGCACTTGTAGTTGTCTCTTTGATAGGAGAGACCCGACTTTTCCCCAGCTCTCCATTTTAAGAGAGGATTTCTTGTCTACATCTTTTCCCTCTTTCATCGGCAACATACATCTAAGAAAGTGCCAGTTCCTATGTTTCTGCTGCCTATCTTTTTCTGAAAGTCACTAATGTTAAATTTGTAAATTATAATTTTGCAAGCAAGGTAGGGTGAAGGCTTGACAGCAAACGTGGCTTCCTTCTTTCTGCCTCTCTTCCCTTTTTCAGTGAAGAACACATCTGATTACCAGGTCTTTGAAGCCAGAGCCATGCCTTCCTTCTCTGTCTCCCCCGCAATCCCCAGTTCACTGTGGTGGACATAATAAAAATGCAATATGACTGTTTTGGATTGAGCTGAATTTTATTTCTAAAGGGAAGTTTGGCTGGTCCTATTCTTATTCTCCCAGAGAGGTCTTCCTGCAATCGGCTCCACTGCTGAACATGCAGTGGCTGATTGGTTCCGTCGTGAGGGCTGCTGAGTGGCTGGTGGTTTTCAAAAGCGGACATTTGTCCCTCAGGGCCAGAGCCGAATCACCACACAAGTTCACAGACTCCTCCCGGGCACCGAGGCGCTGACTCTGAGTCATGATCAACGTGAGCAGCATTCTTTCTGGTAATTTAGTGGCAAAGAGGACAAATCCCACATTTGTCTTCTTATTGGCCAATGCCCCTTGGACTTTGGGTGTTCTCCATATCCTTCTGTGATCCTAACAACACTGTATCATTTTTTCAGATGGCTAGAAAGTGACAGGAACAGCAAGAACTGCCTTTCCCGGTGACCCAAATTTGCTACCACTATAGAGACCGGTGAAGTCCAGCACCTGCTACACGAAGCAGTCACAGCTGTTCCGCATCCAGGAAAACCCCCAGTGATGACACAGCTGAAATTTTACTGTACTTGAAGACAGTCAAAGATTTTTGTGTTTGTCTTCTCTCATTAACTCAGCCTTTGAGCATCTCTCCACTTTTATTTTGATATACCAACTTCATTATTTATATGAACATTGCATTATGCTTTTTAGCCATTAAACCCATTATTATAAACCCACACAAAAATCCTATATGACAGACTGGAATTATGTGTATTTCAGAGAAGACAGAATGCATGCAAGCCTTTTAAGGATTTTTAAAAACACACAAACCAGGTAGAAAGGCAATTTCATGGGCTAGAATTTCATAACTCAGTAAATATGAATGTACGGGGTGCAGCATTCTATGAGGTATTTTGGTACCAAAAAATGATGTATAAGCCAAGTTCCTTCCTGAAGATCCCTGATGCTGATTCTGTACAGATTCTATAATGTTGCATTTATTTAACTCTCCTATCACATCCCAAATTGACTCACAAGGGATCCATTCATTCACTGCCACCAGAAAGAGCACCCTGTTGTGGGACTGGACAGCAACAGGTCTTACTTACATACTGCTGGTGGGAGTGTGGACTCACACAAGTCTTTTTAGAAACAATTTAGCATTATCTAAGAAACTTGATGACCCACGTACACGGTGGCCCAAATATTCCACTCCTGGGAATATTTTCTTGAGAGAGATCCCCAAGTGCTCCAAGGAGACATGTCCAAAGTGTTTATAGCTGCATTATTTTTAATAGCAAAAAAAAAAAAATGGAAACAACACAAATGTCCATTGGCAAAGGGAATGGATAATTTGATCATGTGTTAAAAAGAACCTTTGCCCAGCTATGTTCATGGGCAAACAGATTTGACTGTTGCCTAACTCTGAGCCTGCTTGAGCCTCTACCACTCATCCTACACCTTGTAGAGAACTGGGCCAGCTTTAATGCCCACGCAGAAGACATTAGGCTGCAATGATGATCCTTGCCAAGAGCGACTTCTCAATTCCTTATCACAGTCAATCCAAAAGTGCCTTTTACAATCTCACCGTATTTGGAAGGAGCTTTCAGAGAGACTCACTGAACTTACTCCAGGGTATTGCTGCTCTAAAAATTAAACTCTGACTTGGCATATACTGTTCTTGGTCCTTGGTTACTCTTCAAGAGGTATTATGTTAAATCAATGAATATTATATAGCAGTGCAAATAAATGAACTTCAGAACACATAATATTATCTTGCTTAGGGGTTGTATATAAACTGATTAACAGAAAATAAAGAATGAGCAATGCTAGTCAGCCCTCAGATTTTCGGCCATCTCAGGCCAGGCCAGACATGTGAGTGAAGGAGTTTTCTGGGACATTCCAGTTTCAGTTTCCTCAATGTAAAACCAGGACACTAATCATTATAATATCAGACTATTATGAAGACAAAAAAATACTGTATGTAAATACCCTAGAAAAATATGTTGCACATAGTTGGCTGCTCAATAAATGACAGGTAAGTGGCAAATGATGAGAAACCAAAGGCTCATGTATTCAGGGAATTTCACATGTTGGGTCTTATTTTTCAAATTGTGATCAGCCTGTCTGGATCAAAAAAACCTGAGGTGCTTCTTAACAATGCAGTGCTGGGCCTCACCAAAAACCTACATTTAGAACCTCTCCAGGTAGTGCCAGGAGGTATGCATTTTAACACACAATCCAGGGGATTCTTCGACATAAAAAACTTAAGAACCACAAGCTTCGAGATTCAAATCCAGGCATGTATGAAGTAGCCTGAGAGAGGATATAAACAGACTGGAATGACATTTTTCTCAGTAATAGAAAAAACAGTCTTAAAATTTGTTTGGAATCAAAAAGGAGCCCAAATAGCCAAAGCAATCCTGAGCAAAAAGAACAAAGCTGGAAGCATCACCCTGCCTGGCTTCAAAATATGCTATAAGGCTACTGCAAACAAAACAGCATGGTATTGGTATAAAAAGACACATAGACCAGTGGAACAGAATAGAGAACCCAGAACTAAATCCATGTACTTATAGCCAACTGACTTTTGAAAAAAGGCATCAAGAATATATGCTGGGGAAAGGACATTCTGTCCAACAAATGGTGCTGGAAAAACTGGACATTCATATGCAGAAGAATGAAACTAGACCCCTATCTCTCACCATATGCAAAAATCAACTCAAAATGAATTAAAAACTTAAATATAAGACCCAACAGGATGAAACTACTAGAAGAAAATACAGGAGAAACACTCAAGGACCTTGATTTAGGCAAAGATTTTATGGCTAAGACCTTAAAAGTACAGGAAACAAAAAATAGACAAACGAAACTATGTTAAACTAAACTTCTGCACAACAAAGGAAACTACCAACAGAGTGAAGACACAACCTCTTGAGTGGAAGAAAATATATGCAAACTATTCATCTGACAAAGGTCTGATATCCAAAATATACAAGAAACTCAAATTACTCAACAACAAAACAACAACAAATAATCCCACTAAAAATGGGCAAGGGATCTAAACAGACATTTCTTTAAAGAAGACATACAAATGACAAACAGGTATATGAAAAAATGCTCAAAATCACTAGTCACCAGGAAAATGCAAATCAAAGCCGCAATGAGGATTGTCTTGCCCCAGTAAGATTGGCTACTAACAGGAAGCCAAAAAATAGATACCGGCAAGGATGCTGTTGGTGGGATTGTAAATTAGTACAGTCATTATGTAAAATGGAGATTTCTCAAAAAAAAACTGAAAGTAAAACTACGATACAATATAGCAATTTCATTAGTGGGTAATTTATCCAAAGGAAAGGAAATCAGTATAAGAGAGAGATACCTGCACCCCCATGCTTATTGCCGCATTATTCACAATAGCAAAGACATGGAATCAACCTAAGTATCCATCAACGAACAAGTGGATAAAGAAAATGGAGTATACATACACAATTAAATATTATTCAGCCATAATAAAGAATGAAATCCTGTCATTTTCAGCACCATGGGTGGAACTGGAGGTCATTATGTTCAGAGAAATAGGCCAGGCACAGAAAGACAAATACCACATGTTCTTACTTATATATGGGAGCAAAAAAAGATGATCTCATGGAGGTGGAGAGTGGAATGACACAAGAAGCTGGGAAAGGGGGTGGCAGGAGAGATGAAGGGAGGCTGGTTAAGGGGTACAAACATACAGTTAGAGAGAAGAAATACATTCTAGCGTCCAGTAACACAGTAGGGTGACTATAGTTAACAATAATTTATTGTACATTTCAAAATAACTAGAAGAGAAGATATGAAATATCCTCAACATAAAGAAATGATAAATGCTCAGGGAGATGGTTATCTTAAATACCCTGATCATTACACATTCTATGCATGTATCCAAATATCACACGTCCCATGTGAATATGTACAAATATTAGCAATCAATTTTTAAAAAGATTGGGAACTACGGAAACGGAAGCCTCCCTAGTAATGATTAACAGGAGTAAATTACAGGAGCACCTGAGATTTAATTAATAATAATTAATTGTGTATACTGCTTGCATACCTGCTACACGGTAAACATAATAGCACATTGCTTGATTTCTAATAAAACTCTTGAATGGTGTGCTACTCCTATATTCACAGGTGGGGACACAGTGGCTCAGAAACATTAAGTGACTGCCCAAGGACATACAGCCAGTAAGCACTAACCTGCTATTTATATAAAGATATGAGCCACAAAATCACACGGCTGTTACAGGTGAAACAGGATTATACAGTCACGCGCCACATAACGACATTTTGGTCAGCAATGGATCGACATAGGATGGTGGTCCCATAAGATGATGATACTGTATTTTTACTCTACCTTTTCTATGTTTAGATATATTTAGATACACAAATACTTACCATTGTGTTACAGTATTCAGTACGGTAACGTGCCGTAGAGGTTTGTAACCCAGGATCTACAGGCTGTACCATACAGCCTCCGTGTGTAGTAGGCTATGCCATCTAAGTTTGTATAAGTGCACTCTATGATGTTTGCATGACAAAATCACCTAATGACACATTTCTCAGAGTATTCTTGTTAAGCAGTACATAGCTGTATTTACAATTATGTATGCCCTAAAGGGCCACTAGTTAGCATTAATACATGTAAGCCAAGAGGCTTCAGCAGGGAATTCTTCCCCTCCTACAACAATTCTCCTTAGAGCCATAATAATTGAACAAGCTATCCTCTTATTTTCAGAAGGCTACAACTACAGGGGACTGAAAACAAACTAACACGACGTTTGAATTTAAAAAGACAGTAATACTTAGCCACAGCTCTCTCCAAACCACTTGGAATGGTGTTTCCAGTTGTCTGATTAGCAGGGCAGGTGGTTCCACTGCTAGGACTCACTGGGTGTCGGTTCTATCATCCCAGCACCCAACACAGGACCGTTTCAGACACACTGAGACCCAGAAGGAGCCTCAGCTCCCATCACAGGTCCAGTCTGGATGTGGTAGGGTACGAAAGGGAAGCGAGTACAATGATGAAAATCCTGATGGTGACCCCTGAGGCAGAGGAAGGCACAGCTAATGTCTGCCCACTCATGGCTTCCCACTTAACTCTGGGCTCCGCTGCCCACCTGTGGCCTGAGATGGGACGACAGGGAGCGAGAGAAACCCCTCTCTGTTTGGAGACTGCCATCACTCCCAGCCACAGACAGCCCTGATCTGTCTCTATCTCTAGACACAATAGGATCTCACCCACTACGTAGGAAAGGGTGATGTCAATTTGGAAGAGGAAGGCTACAAAAATGCAGCAACAGCCAAACATCTCCTAAGAGCAATTAACCTCAAAATAATTCGTAAGCTGGACATTTCCCATTCTAAGATATACAAAACGAGCAATTCCAGGCATATCTCATTGGTGACAGGAAAAGGAAAGCATATCTTCTGAGATCTTTCCAAATACTCCAACCCCCACAAGATGTGCTCCACTTGATGAACACTGCTTCCTGCAGCTGTTGGTTTTCTCACTGGCCTCCCTGAATCTCCCTCAGTCTGGCCTCGCCCCACAGCCACGCATTTCAAAGGCTAATGAGGTTCCTAATCTGATTTCTCCATCAATCGAGCCCTGGCTTTGCTGCGAGGAAAACGATGCCTTCGCAGCCACCAACACAGTCTGTAGACTGTATATTTAGCCTGGAGATTGAGTAGTTAGTGTACAAACATGTTTTTATCATCTGTAAGCATTCCCAAAATAAGTACCTCTGGGGACGGAATGGAAGTCTGATAGATTCCAGTCCCTAATGTGCTTTGAAATTTTCTTATCACAGAAGGGAGATCGCAGGGCTCTCTTTTTCCCATGCTCAAGATATCTTTTTGGTGACTTCACATTCTATAAGCTATTTTTAGTGGTTAAATACTCGCTTCTTAAGAGCAAAGCTGCCTCTGTCCATTTGTGGTCTGGGAATAAAAAGAATCTCAAAATATCGACAAAGTGTACAGCCCTGTTCTATTGATCTCGTCTGGCTAGAAATTACCTAAATATTTCATCAGAGCAGAAAATATACCTGGCACCTTAAAATACTGGCATAACAGTAGTTCTATATAAACTGGCTTTCTTTAGGGGATAAAAAGTCCTCTTAAAATTTGTTACTGTTCAAAAATTTTTTTTAACATTTTCAAACTGGAAATGATCAATAATTATTTTAAAAAATCAAAATCCTAATGTAAATATTGAAACCAAAAATGTTCCCAAGGCCAATTAACTTAGAGTTTTTTTAAGGATGGGAGAGGTGTGAAGAAGGATAAGATTATACCTAGGATAGGATCAATTTTGGAGTTTTATTGGAAAAATGTATACCAGTGGAATCATGTTTTTAAAAACGTGTAGAGCTTTTTTACCATAAGACACTCCCCTTTGATATCTCTAATGTCATATGTAAAAATCGCTTCATAAGGCTGGGTGAGGTGGCACATGCCTGTAATCCCAGCTACTCGGGAGGCTGAGGCAAGAGAATCACTTGAATGCTGAAGGCAGAGGTTGCTGTGAGCGGAGATCGCGCCACTGCACTCCAGCCTGGGCCACACAGCAGGACTCTTTCTCAGGAAAAAAAAAAATCAATAACATTTGTCCTTCTTTTATTTGCCATATCTGTTTGTTCAACAAGTAGAAAGCCAAATTGTGTTTTAGGGAAAGAAAAAGTGTGGTACAGACAGGACTATATGCCAACCAGATTACAACAGTTTATCAGTTATATCTGAGATTTTGCATAGCCAGTTCTTAAAACACATTTGGACTCTTAATCCTCAAGCAAGAATTTTACATGCATCCATATTGCCTGTTCCCTGCAAAGCAGCACATCTCTGCTGAAAAATGCTCACATCCGCTCCTCTGTTCACTCAACGACAAAACAGGGACATTCGGGCAGTTTTTCAAGTAAAGCTACCCACTGGCTTAGGTGGAATGCGATACCTTATTTCTTTCATTTAACTTCCATTTTGTCTCTGGAAAAATACCTAAGCAAACTGACTGCTTTTTCTGGTAAAGTAGCCATTTCTTTGTGATTGAAAATCATGAACTTTAATGAATGGGGGCCGGAAGGCTGAGCCCTCAAGACCATGGAGCAAGGGAGAGGTGAAGGCAGCTGGAGAGAAATGTGGGAGACTCCACAGAGCCTTCCCAGAAGGACGGGGCGACTTGGGCTTAACCCTGGTCCAGTTCAGGTCAGTGTCAGGGCCCAGAGAGTGCTTATCAGATGGCGGAGAACGGCGGCAGGAGCACAGGTGGCAAGGAATCTTGGAGTCTAGGTAGGAAAAGAGAGCAAAACGCGCTGAAGACAGACACTAAAGGCTGTGGGTATCAGACAGGCCCAGGCCCCACCTGCAGGAGGCTGACTCCCTGTGCCCAAGGCTCACCCGCAGCCAGAGGGAACCTTGCATCTCAGGCCAGCAGGTGGCCTGGGCTCCATCCCATCCCGTCAGCGCTGCTCAGTGGGATCTGCAGCTGCTGGTATACTCAGTGACTTCAGCTGGGAGGGGCAGATAAACATTGCAGAAAATCACTTATTTGCATTCATGACTCTTCCAGATCCTTTAAATTATCTCACTTAGCCATTAAATTATTTTGGTTAGACAGTAATTGTATTCTCTCATTAGCAAAGTGGGAGGTTTAACATTTTGCATTTCATAAGCCTGGAAAAACTGCAGTTCTTAAATCTCTTAGATAGTTAGGTTGTTAAAATTCAGAGTTAAAAAAAAAGCCTACTGCAAAAAAAAAAGAAAAAGAAAAAAAGAAATTAAAAAGTCCCCAGACTTGAGAATATGTACAGTGTTTAACAAATCCCTAAAAGCCTTTCCTGGCCATCAAGGCTGTGGACAGTGGCTCCCCCCGCACCCCCCTGCCCCGCCACCGCAGGTGACCTCTGCTCAGTGGCTCCCAAACCCAGTGCCTCTGGCCAGCCTGGGCTGTTGCGCCTTAGAGCCTGGCACGCCTTGTGCCAGAGTCCAGCATGGCCTTGAAACGTCTTAATCCACCTCTTACATTCATTGACTGTGCTGCACCATTTGACTCTTTCTTTTGAAACCACACTTTTTTCTCTGATGCTGCTCTGCTGGCTTTGTTCTCCAATTCACCCCTTCTCAGCCTTTTCTGCCCGCTCCTTGAGGAATGCCTTCTTCCCAGCTCTGTTTTAGACTTTTGTGTTCCACATTCCACTTGCTCCTCACAGGCAATCACTTTCACACCCATTGTTTCAACGCCCATTTGCATGTGGCAGCCCAGAACTTTCCTTGGAGCCTATAACTCCATAAGAATATCCTGTATGTGCCTCAATGTCTCTGAAATGAATCTCATTTTTTTCACTTGCACATCTCTTTCCTTCTAAAGTTTTACCACGTCTACCAATATGCCAGTCCCACAAGCGAGCCAATACCCACCCAACCTGTAGCCTCGGCAACACTCATTCACAAGTCCTTCAGCTGGGGCTCTCTAGATGTCCTTAGATCTAGACTCTCTCTTCCCCCAGGCCTCTCCTCAGCTGAGGGATGTGTCAGGCTTTGTCCAGATTGTTCCCATGGCCTCCTAGCGTTTTCCTCTCCTGATTTTGCTCCTCTCTGAACTATTCTTCAAGTTGCAGTCAAGTTAATTTATAAGACAACACAATGAATCTATGTTAACCCTGCTTAATATTTTTCATGGATTCCCCATACTGACAGGATAAAATCCAAACTCTTTAGAATGGCATGTATTTTACAGCAGTGCATTTGTTTGCAAAGAACGCAAATGGAGTCTCCCTAAAAGGGGTATTTATGAAAGTCTACAGAGCTATCCTATGGCACACAAAGCAGGAAGTGCACCACCAACGCCCCACTCATGACTCGCATGGCCTCGTCTCCACTTTCCCTGAGTGCCTGTGCTTCTCTCTACAGACCTGCTCAGCTGTACTTCAGGAGGTGGAGAAGAGCTGCTTCAGCCCCTGCTCTCGGTACCTCTGCTCACACATCCATCACACACCAATCAGACCTTTAGTTCATATTTTGGAAGACAAGTCTTACGCTTGTTTCAGCCAAGTCTATTGTTAGATTCCTCCAAGATCACAGAACCAACCCTTGTCCAATCAGCTCTAGCCAGGGACAGCCAGAGACAGGCATGTTAACTTGGCTCACATCTCCAGCAAGGTTGTGAATGATGGGCAGCCCCTGTAAAAAGGCATGTCTTGGGCAGGCGCCCCTAAATTTGAGTACATTGCAACAAGCAGAGCCTTTATTACCCTCTCACTCCCCAACCTTTCAGCCTGATTTCTGCCTGTAGCTCTCCCTTTCCATACCACAGTCCCGCAGTGTCCTGGGTTCCCGATGCATTTCCACTCTTGTTTACATGCACATGTGCTATTTATCTGCTTAGAATGCTTTCTCCTCTCTCCAAAGCTACCCTTGAACCCCAGGAACCATATACTTGGCAAACTACTAGTTGTCCTTCAAAATTCTGCGTAAATGTCACCTTCTCTTTGAACATCCTTAAAATCCACCCCCCTAGAATTAGACGTTCCATCTCAAGGATCCCGTCATGCTTTAAACATCTTCCAGTAGTACTTAAATGCACTGTACTGACATCTTTCATTTCCATCTCTCTTCTTAACAAAGAGCATCCCCTTTTAAAAATATTTTCTTTTATTTTTTTAATTGGCACATAATGTTCATGGGATACATAGTGATGATACATACAATGTATAGTGATCAGATCAGGGTAATTAGTGTATTTATCTTCTCAAACATTTGTCATTTCTCTGTGTTGGGAACATTCAATATCCTCCTTCTAGCTATTTGAAAGCATATCATGTATTATTGTTAACTATAGTCATCCTACAGACCTGCGGAACACCAGGACTACTCATCCTATCTAGCTGTAATTTTTTATCCTTTAAAGAATGTCTCCCTATCTCCCTTTTCCCTTCCTCTTCCCAGCCTCTAGTACCCTCTAAAGAACATCTGTTTTAATAGCAAAGTCCATATTTCTTGGTTACTGCTTAGGCACCAAGCATGGCTCTTGAGACACGACGAGCCTCAAATCTGAGCGGGAAATAAGAGATGAGAAGAGAAATGAAGAGGATTAAGGAGAGGTGTGGTACAGCCAGACTTGTTCTTTGTGTTTTCAGAATCAAACCCTCACTGTCTGTTTGCATGCACAGTATGCCTCTACGGGGCTGGAGGTGTTGACCTAAAGTAAATGTCTGGCCGGTGGGTGGGTTTTGAGCTGCCCTCCCCTCTCCCGCCAGGTTGGCCACTTTCCCCACCCCTTTGTCTCTCCCTTGCTTCATTCTGCAAGACCTCGGTATATCACATCCACTGAGAGACATCTGCACCCCTACTTGAAAGAAGCCTTCTTGGCTGCAGAAGAAATAGCTTTTCTTTCAAGATTCCCATAGCAATTCCTCTGTTGTTTGTTTTTCTGACATTTTGTCTTGTCTGACGTCTTGAAGCACTGGCTTTACCTTCAGTGCCTGTCAATTCCCTGGTTCATGGTGGATTTGCATCAGACTAAGCTTGAGGGCAGGGACCAAAGTTACTTGGCGTGACTCTATATTTCCATATCCTAGCACTGAGCCTGGCAGATAGCAATCAAGCAATAAATGCTATCTGTTACTTTTATTATACTTGCACAATTTCCTGTGACATTCAGGTTTTGTGCCTTCCCCTGCTCTCCTAACCATCACTAACTACCACGTTCCTGCATTTCTCACTGTTCAGGCATCCAACAGGCACATATATTCAAAGAAAGATCAGTGCCTGACCCAAAATCCTTTCAACCAAAGAAAAGAGTAACACATTGATAACTACATGGAATAGAGACATCCTGCCACCAGCAGTCAGGAGGTCCTCTGGTTCAAAAACCACATTTGATGTGTGTACTCCTGGGACCCTCTCTCATGATAGCCGGTTCCCTGCAATTCACTGTGTGCTGGCAACATTTGAATTGAGTTTTGTTCTTTCCTGCCACTCTTCCTCTGCTTATAGTCTTACTGTTTCAGCTCCCTCTGCTGACCCCCTGCTCTGTCTCCTTGCACAGCTGGCCAAGCAGAAAGCAGCCTCTGCTAACTGTCACGTGGCTCAATGCCAGGAGCTCTTTGCCAGTGATTTCTATGCTTTTTAAAAGAGCTCCATAACACTGGCTAAGGAGCCTAAAGTTCTGTTGAGGAGGGTTTTTGTCTCAATCCATTCAGGCTGCTATAACAATAATAGCATAGACTGCATGGCTTATAATCAACGAGCCTTCATTTCTCATAGTTCTGGAAGTTGGGAAGTCTAAGAGTAAGGTGCAGCAGACACAGTGCCTGCTGAGGGCCTGCTTCTTGCATCATAGACAGCTGTCCTCTCGCTGTGTTCTCATGTGGCAGGAGTTAGAAATCTCCCAGGGGTCTCTTATAAGGACGCTAATTCCATTCATGAGGGCTTCACCTTCATGACATAATCAACTCACAAAGGCCCCACCTCCTAATACCATCACCTTGGGGATTAGGGTTTCGAAATATGAATTTGGGGTGACACAAATAGTCCACAGCAGTCCTATTTCTCATTTTTGTGTCACCATTGCTATTTGCCTGGAGTGTGACAGATTTGGATCTGTTCACCAGTGTTCCTTTCAACAATCAGCCTACACGGTTAGGTTGGACATTGTACACAAACTTAAGAATTAGCAGGGAAAGCCAAGAGTAGTCTAGATGATTAAAAAAAAAAATCCCCTATCTGGAAATCAAAATCTCCTAACATTAAGTATGAGTTTATCCATGGAACTAATGTTTTAATTCATTTCTCCAAAGCCATTGATCATTCTAGTGGTAATTATCTGCCTCTGGAAAAGGCTAAAAAAAAAACACTCAGTGATAAAAATGAGTTTTCAGAAACTATTAAATGAAGGGAAAAAAAGGGAGAATAAGAAAATAGTGGATAGAAAGGCAAAGGAAATAAATAGTGAAGAAGTAAATGTTTAAACACAAAAAGTAATATGAAAATAGGAGTATAGGAAGTAGGTCTAGACAGCTAGCATTTAGGAGGAGGTTAAGGTGTCATAAGAGAAAAAGTCAAGCATATTGAATGCTGAAAAAGAAGTTAATATTGATATAGGCATTTTTTTCTACTGATTTCTTCCCTTTTTCTTTCTGGCTATATTGGCTAATGCCGTGTTCCAAACCACTTCAGTGTTTAACCAAGTTGCAGACACTACTGGAACATTAAGAACACATGTAATTGATTTAGTTCCCCCGTTAATGTGAAATTACACTTCCAACTGAACTAAACCAATGAAAAAATACAAACATAAATTTAGGAGAAAACAACACATTCAATTAATATTAGTGTTCCAAGGCTGAAATAAGAAACTGAACATTCTTAATTCCATTCTTGGCCGGGTGCAGTGGCTCATACCTGCAATCTCAGCACTTTGGGAGACTGAGGCAGGAGGATTACTTGAGGTCAGGAGTTCGAGACCAGCCTGGCCAACATGGTGAAACCTTGTCTCTACTAAAAATACAAAAAAATTAGCCAGGCATGATAGCACATGCCTGTAGTCCCAGCTGCTTGGGAGGCTGAGGCAGGAGAATTGCTTGAACCCAGGATGCAGAGGTTGCAATGAGCCCAGATCATGCCACTGCACTCCAGCCTGGTGACAGAGCAAGACTCCATCTCAAAAAAATAAAAAATATAATAAAATAAATTCCATTCCATGCCCTGCCTTCCTTGTGGATCGTTTCATCTTCATATGCTCACTTATTCACCAGTGATACAGAATGGACACTCCTCCCTCATAAGGACCTATTGAGCAAAGTTAAATCTACAATAGGATGTGTCTCTCTGCTTACAGGTAAATTAGATTTGGTGTCTTTGAAGTTGTTAGAAAAATATGACAGCTACACAATGATTAGTATGTATTGTACTCAAACTTTACCAAGAAGCAAAAGCATTCTGTGGACACTCTAAACTTCCTCTCCTACTTTGAAGAGATCTCTAGATTCCATCACACTTGGGACTGCATCAGACCAATACTATCTGCTGTGGCTTGAATGCCCCCTCCAAAACTCATGTTGAAATTTAATTGCCATTGTGATGGTATTAAGAGGTGGGACCTTTAAGAGGTGATTACGTCATGAGGCTCCTGTCCCCCTGAGTGGATTAATGCTGTTACCATAGAAGTGAGCTCCTGATAAAAGGATGAGTTTGAATGATTTCCTATCTCTGTCTTGCACCCTCGCTTGCCATGTGATGCTTTCCACCATGTTATGATGCAGCAAGAAGGCCCTCACCAGATGCAGCCTCTTGACCATGGACTTCCCAGCCTCCAGAACCATACAGCAAATCAATCTTTTTTCTTTATAAATTATCCATTCTGTGGTACTCTGTCGCAGCAGCATAAATGGTCTAACACACCACTCTGTGGTAAATCTGAAACATAAATCCACATCATGATCCTACCTATGTGTCCACAGCTTATCCTGGGATGGAGCAAATTTTCTGGAACATTTGTAAAACTAGATAAACTCCAAAGCCTAACAGGCTCCTGTTGTTTCATAAGAGGTACAGGGAAGCCGCTGGGATGGGCAATAGTCCAGATAGCAAAGCCAAGGACACATCTACAGGCCATCCTAGGGAAGGCCATTTGTCACTGCTGCCCAACAGGCGCACCCACACCCTGGTGGTTGTGATTTCACCAAATACTTGATCAAGGAGCTGAACACTGAAATCAGTGTTCCAAACTGCTTACTACTCCTATTTGTTTGTACTTTCACTGCCTACATGAAAAATTTGTTGATCTTACATTGAATATATAAGTAAACATACAATACTTTTAAAATAAAGAATATTTTTAAGTACTTACGTACTGAAGATTACATATGAAATTACATATGAGATTACCTCTTACATATGAAATATTTGTTTTTTTGAAATATTTCTTTATGGTAGAAATTTATTTAGATTTTTATTTTGACCATTTCTTGCACACTGAAGTCATATTTTAAAATTAGTTTTGGGGAGACAATTCGTGGGTCTCTCACATTTCTGCATGTCTTACAAACAGAAGCACTAGCTATCTTTGCTCTCAGCTGTCTTTTCAAGGAGGCCTTGTATAGCATGGGAAGACAGTGATAGGATCTCCTTCTGGACCAATGGATAAAATTGCTTACAGCCTTGAAAGACAAAGATAGTATCTCCCTCCACAACAAGAGACATATACATGCATGCTGTACAGTATAATAAAAATGACATTTCCTTCCTAGCAAATAGCAAGCATGCCAAGTGCCAATTACAAAAGATTCAGGTTTCCCAAGGTCAACTTCCTCTTTTCTAACACAACCCACTGTATGTTCAGATGTCACTTGGTCACCTTCTCATTGCCTTGGTGGATTAGGGCTGGGGAACTGGCCCAAGAGTGCTTATATTCTGAATACTACTATTGCTATGAATAATAAAATCCTTTGTC
This sequence comes from Homo sapiens, assembly GCF_000001405.40. NCBI lineage: Eukaryota > Metazoa > Chordata > Mammalia > Primates > Hominidae > Homo > Homo sapiens. The sequence continues at coordinate 186,939,813 of NC_000004.12, read as the reverse complement.
TTTGATACAGAAGTCTCATGTCTTCTTCCAGCAATCATAGCAAACTAATTTGTTAGCTTGCAATTTGAGTAAAACATCAGACCCTTCTCAGTTCATAACATGAGTTTTGCTAAAAGTGCATTAAATATGAAGAGGCAAGTGACATATGCATTTTTAAAATATTTTATTCAAAAAAATTAAAATTTCTTTTAAAATCAGGCTCATAGCATGCTGCATTCCCTAACAGCAGATTTATTCAAGAGTTACAGAGTGGTTTTATTTCATATTGTATAAGAAAAAAAGGAATCACACTCTGATTCATATAAACTCTTTTATGACTTCTCCTTTAAGAGATGAGCTTTTTTCAGTCTATGCTAATTGAAGGTTTTCAGCCTGAACTTTCTCCAATTGCTTCCTCTTAATTCAGAAGTGTTCTAAATCTACACTAATCCTTTCTCCTTCTCTTTTGTTCTAGAAGCATTGTGGCAAATCCTTGCAAACTGGCCCCAATGTGTTATGCGGCCACATCTTTGTGCTTTTCCTAGTTCTCTTTCTTATTGAATCTGCCCTGCCCTGTGACCTGCAGAGTACCTTCACTTGATCTTGGAATATGGCAGAAATGATGCGTGAGTCTCAGTGCCTAGGCCTTAAGAGACTCTGCAGCCTTCTCTCACTTGAACCACCATGTGAGAGGTCTGGGCCATGCTGCTGGAAAGGCCACACGGGAAGAGACACACTACGGGATGAAAGAGCATCCACGGCGTTTCAGCCACCCAAGCTAACACAGTCAAGGAGTCAGACCAACCACCTTAGATCCTCTGCTCCAAACTGTGCCACTCGAGATGTGCTCAGCTGAGACGAGTAGAGCAGAGAGAAGACATCTCAGGGGAGCGCAGCCAACACACAGAACTGTGAAAAATAATAAAATGGTGTTGTTTAAGCCTCTAAGTTTTGTGGGGCTTCTGTTTTGTTTTGAGACAGGTCTCACTTTGTCACCCAGGCTAGAGTGCACTGGCGTGAACACAGCTCACTGCAGCCTAGAGCTCCCAGGCTCAAACAATCCTCCTGCCTCAGCCCCTCAAGCAGCTGGGACTACAGGCATGTGCTCCCATATCCAACTAATTTTTTTTTTTTTGTAGAGACAGTGTTTCGCCATGTTACCCACACTGGTCTCAAACTCGTGGGCTCAAGCAATCCCCCTGCCTTGGCCTCCCAAAGTGCTGGGATTATAGTCACTGTGCACCTATAAACTATGAACCACAGCGTCCGGCCATGCCTCCAAGTTTCTGAGGATATTTGTCATATGACAATGCATAAGTGAAACAGACACAACTGTCCCTCTTCTTTTCCGAGACTTGCTCCTTCTGAACTGTTGAGACCCCTCTTTATCTTTCCCTAAAGTCATCATTACCCTGTTTCTCTACTTGCTCCTTTCACTTGTCCTATAATGTACTGTAGTTTCCTCATCCAAAGAAATAAAAGCACCCCTGTAAACGATATTTTCAGGGAACTATTTATCTACATGCTTCCATACACCAATAATTGTCGAGAAAAAATACACTCTACGCTCATTTTACTTCATCTTTACTTCCCATTCAATTCTATCCTCTGGCTGTGCTCTTCTCTTTCTACAGAAAGTAATGGCTTAAAAGCCACATAAAACTTGCTAATCGCCAGTCCTGATCCCAACCCTCACGCATTCGGAACCGTTTAGCATTTGACTCTTGTAACCGCTATATTTTTCAAATTATCTTATTGGCTTCTATGATGATAAGCACCCCTTATTTTCTTGTAACATCTCCAGCTACTCCTTCTTAACATTTTTTTCCAGCTCTTCTTTCTCATCCGACACTCCCCCGAACCCTCTGCTTGAGGCACATCTGCTGACTCTGTCCCCTCCCACTTCTCTGTTTCTTCTAAACTCTGTGATGTCCCTGTCTATGAGTGGCTCAATTCTGTAACGTCAATGACTAAAGTCTGTAATGTTGGGTCCCATGACTGTATTTATTTATTCATTTATTTATTTATTTTTTATTATTATTCTGAGATGGAGTTTCACTCTTGTTGCCCAGGCTGGAGTGCAATGGCATGATCTCGGCTCACCCCAACCTCCACCTCCTGAGTTCAAGTGATTTTCCTGCCTCAGCCTCCTGAGTAGCTTGGACTACAGGTGTGCACCACCATGCCCGGATAATTTTATATTTTTAGTAGAGACAGGGTTTCTCCATGTTGGTCAGGCTGGTCTCGAGCTCCTGACCTCAGGTGATCCACCCTCCTCGGCCTCCCAAAGTGCTGGGACTACAGGCGTGAGCCACTGTGCCTAGCCTAAGTTTGTTGAACTAATTATTGAGTGGATTTAGATCGTCCCCTGAGTTCAGCACTCTTGCTAACTTATACCTATTTGTAAACACTAAATTTAAAATAGGTTTTAAAGAATAGAAATTTCCACATCAGTTTGTTTCATTATGGCTGTGATCACTGGTAGATTTCCTCCCACAGATTCCTTTGGAAATCCTGATAAACCTTGGACCATATCACCACAAGTGGACATAATTACAATTACATTCTGGGTGTTCTTTGTACACCCAGGTTAGCCAAAGTCCATGTTTCTTCTTCCCTTTGCTTATAAATAAAACTACTGTTGCTACGGATGTGTCATCAGAAATATGCTACCAGGAAGTAAAGGAACAACCATAAAAAATGCAACCCAGTGAAAATTGAGCAGCTCCATTCCTGCAGTATATAATTCTGTTTAAAAGAAGATTTCCTGCAGGAATGTGGGATGGAGCCTAAAGTTAAATGACAATGATAGTTGAGTTTGTTGAGAGAAAAGAAAGAAAGAAAATATGAGCTTAGAAGCCACCAAGCCCTTACACGGTGGAATTCTATCGTGATGAGTACTTGAGTACACGAGATAGTCTAAACACTTTCAACTAAAATGATCAGACTTACAGGGAAGACCTTTCACTACATCAAGGAGCAGGAAGGAAGGAAAGATATTGTCAGCTTTTGAAATTCCAATGTAAACAAAACATGGGAAAGTCTTTTACAGGCCGTGGCATACGTTCTTTCTTTTTCCTCTTTAAAAAGTAAAGACGCTGCTTTCCTTAATAGTTAACTAAACCTGGAATGTTTATGACTGATTATTCTGAAGCGATTGTACTCCCCAATCCCTGAATGTTACAATCTAGCATAGAGCGACTGGAAATGGAAAAATAAATAGCCAGGGAAAAAATAACTTGCTGCATTAGCTTTTCTCCCAGAGAAGAATTTGAAACCTGCAACAAAACTAAATGGGGGCCTTCTTCTTCCTTTCTAGGAAGAAAATTCAGGATACCCAAAGACAACAGCCACTCCGACAATACTCTGGACATGCTGGGCTCATAGATAGAACTGAGGGTTTTTTGTTTTTTCCTTTATTTTTTTTAGCCAACTTTAGAAGTTAATCATGTATATGACATTATTATTTCCCCTATTGCCTCAAATATCAAGGGGCTAATTATGTGTTATTCAGACTCGATTTTTTTTCCTGTTCTTTTCCTCTGGTTGCTATTTAACTGGTTTCTGTTTATTAGCCTTTTTATCAGAAAAGACTGACAGGCTGGGGAAAAGGAGGCAATAAAATAAACCAGTTAACTTAGTTACTCAGAATTGTAAGACTTTTTGTAGGAAGCATCTTCTGTTCCATGAGGGAGGGCAAGGATTGACTTTCACACTATCTTCCCAGCATCTAGAACTGCCCGGCGCATGCTAGATATGCAACAGATGTTTCTCAAAGTAAGGGAGAAAGGTGAGTTAAATCAGACCTGGGGATTTGTAGATTACCTAAGATATTCTTGTCTTCCATTTGTATGAATCCTGAGAGTTGGCATCGGTAACAGCCACGAGACATACCTCAGTCTGTGCCCAGCAGTGTCACAGGTTAGCTGTTTGGCTTTACAGCATGGTTGTGACTCCCTGATCCACATCCAAACCCCAGGCTGCTTCAGAGTTTCCAAGGTAGGAGCTTTCAAACTGCTTTTACTGCAACCCAGAGTAAGAAATAAATTTTCTATCAGTACCCAGTACACACACCACACCACAGAGAGAGAGGTGTGTTTTGAAAACCAAAAAAAAACTTTCATGAAATAACACTTAGCCTTACTATGTAAAATATACTGGTCTGTTCTAGTCTATCTCCTTTTTGAGTGCTGTTTGCAACCTACTAGATTAATTTCAGACCAATGAAGAGGTTGTGACCAACAGTTTGAAAATGACCCCTGAGGACCACCTTAGCCAGGCATGAGGAAGGAGGAATGATTGCAGAGTGTGGCAGAGAGGTCTTAAGTCGTATTTCTGGTGCAGAAGATCCATGGAGGAACAGCATCTCAACATCTCTCAGCAAGTGACTGACTTCTAGACCTTCCAGGGCTAGGTAAAAGAATAAAGATTACAATGGTTTCACCAGTTCTGGGTAAAAGAATAAAGGTTGTGATGGCTTCAGATGGGTTTGAAGTTCACACGGCAGCTCTGTAACCAGCCAGAGCCCACGGTTCTTCACAGCAGGGCATCGCTCGGCTTTCGGCACCCCTTGTCACGCACATCAGTCACTCATAGCTAGTGACATGCAGTCTTCGCAGGGCACACATACTTGGGTTTTGAAGGTTATATACAAGTTTCTCAGCAAGTTTCACAATGGTGAAGACAATGTAGCAATATCATTAGCAATGAGAAGAAAAAAATAGTCTTGATGTTGGTATTCGATAGGACTGATGTTAAACACAATTGAGTCACTCTAAGGACTGAAAAATCCCTCTAGGGAACTAAAGCAAATACCTCAAGATGTGGGTGGAGCAGTGGTGCTTTCATTTTCATTATCCAGGTACTGTTTATTCTTGGCTTTCATGCAACCATTCATCAAATACTGTGTGTCTCCTCCATGGCAGGCACTGATCTAACAAGAAGAGGCTCTGTCCTGATGGGGCTGCTTGGAATCTGGGTGATGACACTCTATAGATCATATCAGAAACTCAATGTGCGCCTTTCCTTCATAGAGCATTGTTGCACATCTTTCATAGAGAAAGATAAAACTCACCCTGAAAACTATTTCCAGGACACTCAAATTTGCTAGATGTGAGCACAAGAAGAAATGAGACACGGCGTCGAGTCTACTATAGTAAAAGTGGTGCTGATAAAACCAAAATCATTTTCAGCCCACCTAACCTTCCTGCTGTTTCTCTAGACACACTTTATTCCTTCACCAAAATTGCATTGAGTGTCCTCCCTATGCAAAATGCTGTGTTAGGACTGGCACCCAAAGATGCAAGACACAGCCCCTGCCCTGACAGTGCTCACAGGGGAGTGTGGAGACAGGCACACACACGATTTCCAGTGTCACTTCATGAGAGCTATAAGGAAATGCGAGAGAGTGCCATAAACGCGTAAAGAGAGGAACGCTTAAATCAGCAAAAGGAAGTCAGAGGCTTTTGCAGAGGACATGGTGCTTGAGCACGGAAGGATGAGCAGCAATGTGCCAGATGGACAAGAAGTAGGGGTACTAATGACGGCGGGAACAGCACATGCAAAGTTACGGAGCATGAAACGAACATTCCAGCTGCAGAAAGGGCCAGTAGTTCAGTGAGAAGAGCTGAAGGTTAGGCTGGTAGTGGCCTTGTAGGCCTTGCTCAGAGAGAGATCTAGAGGAAGGACATTGATTTGAGAGTCATCAAGAAACAACTGTCACTTAAAGCCTTGGACATAGCTGCGGATTTCTAGGAAGATGAAAGAACATGAGATGCTCATAATTCCCAGTGTTTAACTTACACCGGAGCGATTGCGCCCTTGTTATACTATTCCCTAGTCCTAGCCAACCACATCCTCATCACGCTAATATTTATCAAGACTCTACCAGGACTTTCACATGTAGCATCCTCTTTAATCCTCACAACAGCCCAATTAAACAGGTCCTATAATTTGTCTCGTTTATCCAAGAGCACAGATCCAGTGATACAGTCTGGCTCTAAACCACCAGGCAGTCTGACTCCAGAGCCCCTGGGCATGCAGCCACTATGCAATCCTGATATATCTGTAGAGGGGTGGCCTGTACCACGTCCCCAGGCTTTTTCACCTAGATAATAAATGCTGTCTACAGAGCGCTGACTTGCAGTGCCCTAAAGGAGAGGAGTAGCATTCTGCCTGCCTGAGCTCTCTTCACTTGAGTGTTTATTATCGGAACTCTCTTGTTTCTAGAATTATTTCTCACTGTTTCTCCTAGGCTACCTTTGAAACTTCTTTAAATCTTTTAACCTAGATCAGCTGTTGCTATTTGGCATTTATTGTTGCATAATTTGCAAGGTGCAGAATTAGGACTTAGTAGGATCCTCTGAAAACCTACAGGAAGAAATCACTTCCAGTGCATTCTGCAGTGGGAACCACCGTGACAACGCTGGTGCTTGTCTAAGCTATAAATTTCCTGGGAAATGGAGCTTAGTTTTTACTTACAACAACTGTTGAGTATAAATCAAACGAAAACTTCTGAAGCCAGATGCCTCATTTGTTATTTTAACATGCATTTTATTTTCTAAAACGTCCATGTTATCTTCTCCACTAGGAAACTGAGTCGCTGAAATAATTTCTGTGTATTTGTGGGTAGAAGCCTTCATGGTCAATCAACACTCACTTGTCCTGTGAACTTGAACTCTTGTGTGATTTTACTGGTGACTGGATTCAAAAGTTATATCTAGCTAGCTGTGGGACAGTGCCAAATTCAATAGCTCTCACAGAAGTCACAAAAATGCTCAGCAGAATGGGTAATAAAGTAGTTCCTTTAAAGTTAAATGAGTCATAATTCAGCATGAAGTAGACTGATTAGGGAAACACAAGTTGGCGGTTGGTTGGGGTCCTGGAGTCATCTCAGCAATCAAGACGGTTCTGATGGCCGTTGGCACTAATACACAGTAGGATGGCTCATGTCAAGAGTCCATTCAAACACTTATGGGTTCAGAGATTCAAACCCAACTTCAACCTTTTGGTGTTTGAGTTTGTTAACTGTTGGCTAAATGCCACTTCCTGTTCCTAAGAAAAGAGGCTTGAAAAAGTCTCATAAAAAATGACTTAAAAGGCTTCCCTGACTTCAAAGTGTTCTTACAAAACAACATTTTGATGAGTTAAGTGTAAGGGAATCAGAAACATACGGATTAAATTTCCCTTAATAGAGTCATGTGTCTAAAAATGGAGGAAGGCAAAAATGGCAAGTTTGTCATGCTCAACGTGTTTCAAAAAATGTCCAGAGTAGCTATTGATCCCTGAGTAATCAAATCCTTCCATTCCAATATAACACCAACATCATAATATCTAGAAGAGCATGTCAAAGGGCCCAAGTGAATAAAGACAAACACATTTGTGCAGGTCAAGCTATACCAGGTCACCCTCTCTAAGGCCCATTATCCCAGCCTCCACTCGAAAGGATAATGGCAGTGTCACAGGACAGAGCCGCAAAGAACAAAGAGAATTTCCAAACCATGCCTCTCACTCAGCTCAGCAATTGTCATCAACTCGCCACACTGACGCATTTAAAGCTGACTTTACTGTCTGAATGAAGAGAATACAAACCAGCACTCATTAACCATGAAGTGTCTTGCAAAAGGCAACAGTACCTGTATGTATTTAATTTCCACATCATTAATCATGATTCTGTGGGTTTCTAACCTTTGAAAATAAATAAACTAATTATGATTTTCCAAGAGAGGAAAATGTCTTTGGGCAAGAATATAAGTGCAGAATATAGAAAGAAATAAAAAACATTTGAACCAGTGATGAACAAATACAAACTCTGGTCAAGAATTACTGCTTGTCAATTTTGCCACTAATTTAACTGACAGCTAATACCTGATTTATTCTGTGTTTGAACACTTTATTAGAACAAAGCATTTAACCTTGGAGGGCAAATGAAAACAAGACCATACATGTTTGGCAGAGAGCATTCGATATCAATGGATATAAGTTTTGCTAACTATTAAATACTCAATGTAACTCAAGTTAATATTTTGTATTTGGCCAAATATAATTGAATGAATTTTTAAAACAGTATTGCACAAGATGGATCCTCTGTGGTTATGGCTGACTCAGACCATAAAAGAAAAATTTCTAGAAGTGGACATTTTTTATTTTAATTTGCTTGTGACACGAACTGCTACATCACCACATAAATGAGCTGCCTTCTTAAAAAAAAAACTGGTGGGAAGAATAGAGCCAAATCAATTGAATCCATAAGTACTTTTTCTAAATAGCACAGTTTTATTTATGTCAATACATTTCTTAGAAAAGAAAATGAATAGAACCTTCGAATATTGGCTTAAGGAATTTATTTATGTTTATATGTAATTCCAATGAAAGTAGATTGGGAAATGAATATATAAAATTAACTAAATATTACTATTTTATTATTTTTCTTTCAGTATATCTTTAAATTTTATTCAGGTAGACATGCACTATTTTAGCAGCTACCTTGCGATTGAAAAATCAACTGCAGATTTTTCTTTCTTTCTGTGTCAAAAATCACACTATCCCTAAACATATCCCATGACCCAAAGACCCCAGACTAAGGACCAACCTGGCCATGTTTCTATACCTCAGCAGAGTCTGGGGGTCCAGGGAGTATTGCCAATGATGTCACCTAATTTTAGCGTTAGCTACTAGGACAGAATTTTGAATGCTCCATGAGAGAAGAGATTTAGGAGACCTGCTGAACCAATTGCTAAAGACGAATATAATGTCAAGAGGACCAAGAAATCGCTAATATTACATAAGTGCTCAAAGCAGTGATTTTGCTTAATTGCTTACTAAATCCCTGGAGGGAAATATTTGCCTTGATGGATCTTGATTATCACTGAATTTACTGTGTCGTGCTTGAGAAGAGGCGATAGGCATAGAGCATTCCCACAGCGGACACAACAAATACCCTTTCTTTCAATAAAGCTGATATGCAATTTCCTGTCCCTCATTCTTCTCTAAGTCTTGCAGTTATCTCCCCAATTTCCTTTTCGTACATCTTGAATATTTTTTCAAGGTGTCTTTATACGTATTGAGTAGGTATGCTCTCATATAACACAATTGCAGGCCAGGAAGCCTTTAATCCAGCAAATTCCTCCCCTTCCAGGAATGCGGCACTTGAAATTCCGCTCTTAGAGAACCACTGACGTGGGTTAAATATTGTACCCTGAGGTTTTCCTTCTGAAATTTATACCCTTCCCGAAGGGCTGGGAATGGAGCCACTAAAACCTCGGCGTTAATTAACTCATCAAGAGCTCTCGGTCTAGTTGGGGAATACAGAGTGTCTGTGAGGATGAGAAGGAGAAGAAGGGGCAAGGTGATTCTAAGACAAGTTTTGCCAAATGTGCAGCTTTGCCTCCAACTAGTCCCACCGCATATCCCCCAGGCTGTCATCTTCTACCACCAAAATCACGTTTCTTCCATATTGTAGAACAATTTTTACATGTATCTTTAAAACTTGTGTTATCTGAACATCAAATTCAAATAACGCAACGTCATGGAGGAGTCCCCCGAAAAGGGGCGGCAGCAGCCACACCTCTCGCCGGGGCTGAGCGCTCCTTCCGCACAGCTAGACTGCGTTGATGGCCGCTGTGTTTCCTTTACTGAGAGCCTGTTTCCTAGACTCGCAAAGCCGTAACTGGAAGGAAAGTGGGGTGATGAATAAACCTGTAAGGAGTTGGTTTTAACATGGGTCTGGGTCACGTCTGGGATCAAAGCAGCAGGCAACATTGAGAATATGTTCGCAATTCATACAGCAAAGTGTCTCACCCTCTTCAAGGATCTTCCAGCGGTGGTGAGATAATCTTTTTCTCACAGAGGAAGTTCAGTTCACTTTAAAAAATTGTAATTTTTTTTTGTTTTGAGACGGAGTCTCGCTCTGTCGCCCAGGCTGGAGTGCAGGGGCGCGATCTCAGCTCACTGCAAGCTCCGCCTCCCGGGTTCCCACCATTCTCCTGCCTCAGCCTCCCGAGTAGCTGGGACTACAGGCCCCGCCACCACGCCCGGCTAATTTTTTGTATTTTTAGTAGAGACGGGGTTTCACCATTTTAGCCGGGATGGTCTCGATCTCCTGACCTCGTGATCCGCCCGCCTCGGCCTCCCAAAGTGCTGGGACTACAGGCCCCGCCACCGCGCCCGGCTAATTTTTTTGTATTTTTAGTAGAGACGGGGTTTCACCGTGTTAGCCAGAAGGGTCTCGATCTCCTGACCTCGTGATCCGCCCGCCTCGGCCTCCCAAAGTGCTGGGATGACAGGCGTGAGCCACCGCGCCCGGCTGTATTTTCTCTTTAGAGTAGATCTGGTATACTAATTTGAATCTCTGCTTTGGTTATAGCTAAGTGAAAATGATATATTTGTATGGGTATAAACTAAAAAAAGAGAATAGAGAAATGAAGAAATTTGATGTGTTAGGATAGTGAACATTGGGAGTTATTTTTCCAGCTATAATTGTTGCAATTGTGTGGAGTTGTTTTTGGTTAAGAAGAATTCTAACGTGAATCCTTTATTTTAAGCCTTGTCTTTGTTATACACTGTATAATATATGGGATTGCTGAAACTTCTGAACTATTCTAGCAGGAGATGACTCAGTAAGTTCCACAAGCTTCTTTCTTGTATCTGGATCAAAGTGCCCTCAATATTCAGCCAACATTCTGTGGTTATCATCTCCGCCTATAAAATAGTCATCTAGGCCAGGCACAGTGGCTCACACCTGTAATCCCAGCACTTTGGGAGGCCAAGGTGGGCGGATCACAAGGTCAGGAGTTCGAGATCAGCCTGACCAATATGGTGAAACCCCGTCTCTACTAAAAATACAAAAGTTAGCCAGGCGTGGTGGCAGGCGCCTGTAGTCCCAGCTACTCGGGAGGCTGAGGCAGGAGAATTGCTTGAACCCGGGAGGCGGAGGTTGCCGTGAGCCGAGATCACGCCACTGCACTCCAGCCTGGGTGACAGGGAGAGACTCTGTCTCAAAAAAAAAAGAAAAAAGAAAAACAAAAAAAAAATCATCTAACACCCATGCAGAAGAGAAACTGAGGCTCAGCCCAAATCCCCAGAAAGCATAGGAGGGCTCAGTCAGACAGGGAGCAATGGGCCAGAGACCTGGAAAAACACAGACCCAGTCACCATAGTAGTCACAAGACAGAAACTCCCTGACACAGAGTAAGAAATATTTAATATTGGAGCCATCAGTAAAGCAGGCTCACAACCGATTTATTTTGGTCAAATGCTAATAAATTCCCTGAATTCTGGAAACTAGAACAGTGCCAGGACCTGGGTTGGGCTAAACATCCGAGGTCCGGGTGAGGAGACACTAAGTGACTGCAGTTGAGAAGCTGGATGGGAGTCAACCAAACCAGGCATCCTTGCTGGTTAGTCCTTCCTCGTCCTCCTCTTCCTCCCTTGGAGTAGAGACTTGTAAGAGTATGCTCCTACCTCCAACCCTTCACTCAGTTATTCCTAGCTAGAATGTTCTAGGCCTTCCCTCTTATGCTTTATTTTTTCTCTATTTGAAAGGCTCAAAGCCACTTCCATTTGTTGCAGAAGGAAATTCCAAGCTTTCTACCCAACATCAATACTGCGCACCCCATGTATCCCATCATGGTAGTGCCCAGAAAATGTTTTTGTTACTCTTAGGATATTTATTTAACATACTGTAACTGGAAGGAAAAAAAATATTATATTTACATTTGGTATATATTTATATGTTATTGTGTTTATTTAAAATGTTATTTTTATTTATATTAATCACACTAATAATAATGGCACAATTATAATTAACTCTGAAAAACGGGAATAATAATATGACTGGTCTTCACAAATTTAAATTGCATTCCCTTGTTTAATAAACTGGGGTCTGTGTTTGATGTGCAATGGGATCTTAAATTGCTATTACATTCTGTCATTTTAGGGCAGTTGGTCACCCTGGCAGGAAACTATCTGGGGGCAGAACTCCTTCAAACCTGCAGGTGGCTGAGTCCCGAGCCTCTGTTTACAGCACCCAGGCTCTCCTCCACATCACTGAGGCCTGCCACAGATCCCTGGCTTGAGTTCTGAACCACCCTTTGATGGATTCTATTCTTCCTTCAGTCCTTTTCAAATCACCCTCCTCTCTGACCTCCTGAATCATATCTCCCTTTAGTTTTCCATCAAATCTTGCTGCTGCTTCAAACTTTTGTTTCCTTCTCAAGCATGATTCAGCCTCTTCTCACTGACTATAAAACAATTAAGTATAGATATCATCTATCCACATTAGCACCCAGGGCCCATACCTCAGCTGGGCCCAGACTATGGCATGCCCTCCAGGTGGAATCAAAGGGAAGTGATGTCCTGCCCCACCAGAGAGAACCTGATTCCCACCCCAAAATAATAACAGCAATAATAATCATTCAAGATTATCCGCAAAGAAAAGAACGTGAAAAGTAAATTTGGAATAAAATTAAAATTGCAATACTTTTATTAACATATATGATAAAGGGGGAAGTTTTCATATTGTGTTTAGATTTTATTGTTCATTTTCAATTTTTATTTTATCACTAAATAATAATGTTTTAACAGAAGAATTTTGGGGGCTTGTTCTGTTTTGTTAATGTTACTTAATTTCTCATACCCTTCTCTAAACTCTACTTGTTATTCAATAAATAGGTAAATAACTTCCTGTAGAGAATTGAAAGGGCAGTTCAACATGCTGAGTTCAATGACTGAAATCATTTGACTTTAAGGTACTAAAATACTATTAAATGAAACTCTTCGTTCAACTACTTAATATGGAAAGAATTAAGCTTCAAAACTGGCTTTATGATGCCACATGTGATCTTCCCCCAAAATTAAAACCTTAGTGCGGTGACTTGTCATAGCATTGAGAAAGAACAGACACCTATTTTGCATTCTGAAATAAATATAATTCACAAATGCATGAGTGGGTGTGTACTTAGACTAATGAAGACAGTTAAATCCATTGTTATTGAAAAAATGCATGGGATTCTGCTGGCTGTATTCCCTTTTGGGTCTTGAGCAATGGATTTCATTTATACCTAAAAATTCCATCTTCTGGCCAGGTGCAGTGGTTCACGCCTGTAATCCCAGCACTTTGGGAGGCTGAGGCAGGCGGATCACTTGAGGTCAGGAGTTCGAAACCAGTCTGGCAAACATGGTGAAACCTCATCTCTACTTAAAATACAAAAAATTATCTGGGCATGGTGGTGGATGCCTGTAATCCCAGCTACTTGGGAGGCTGAGACAGGAAAATCGCTTGAACCTAGGAGGTGGAGGTTGCAGTGAGCTGAGATAGCGTCATTGCACTCCAGCCTAGGCAACAGAGACAGACTCCATCTCAAAAAAAAAAAATTCCATCTTCTACAGTACATAGTATTTCCTTTCAAAAAATATATATATAACTTATATGTAATATATATACATATATACAAAGATATATATTTATATTATATAGTAAATACATATATGTAATATATGTGTATGTATATATTATATATACATACACATATTACATATATTGCATATATGTATGTGTATGCTATTATATATTATATATGTGTGTATTATGTATATAAAATGTATGTATATATTATGTATATAATATACATAAACATAATATAAATATATAATATAATACATATAATTTTATTTAAGTATAAATATATAATATAATATATATAATTAAATATATATACATTATAATATAACATATATTTATACTAATTACATTAATGTAATTTATATATGTATTTTATATACATATGTGTATACATATATTTATTAATATGTATTATATATTGACATATTTATATAATTGTATAGTATATTAATGAAAAATTAATATAAAAATAATTGATAAATGATATTAATACAATATGTTATATATTATCTATTATAATACATATTATATATTATAAAATTTATATAATATATATAATATTCATGAACTCATGAATCATATCTCCCTTTAGTTTTCCATCAAACCTTTGCTGCTGCTTCAAAGTTTTGCTTCCGTCTCAAGCACAATTCAGTCTCTTCTCACTACACATATTGTTTATATATAATACATATGTTGTATATTATATATGACATATTATATATTATGTAATTATATGTTTTGCATATATAATATGTATGTAGTACAGATACAAAATATATATATATTTCCAGTTGACCCTTGAACAAAGCAGGCGCTGGCGCCCCAACCCCCATGCAGTCAGAAATCAGCCTATCACTTTGGACTCCCAAAAAAGTTACTTACTAATAACCTACTATTGACTGGAAGCCTTACCAATAATGTAATTGATTAACACATAAATAGATTAGTATGTACATATATTTTATGCATTAATGATGTAACTTTTTCTTAATTTTTTCAGTATTCCTAGGCTACATGATTCATCTGCAAGTTTTTTTCAAATTGTCACAAATCTCCAAAAAACTTTCCAATATATTTATTGAAAATGTCTGCCTATGAGTGCACCCACACAGTTCACATCTGTGTTGTTCAATCGTCAACTGCATCTGGATAAACAATCAGGATCATATTCCACTTTTCTACTGGTAGGTACCAAATCAATCATAGAATAGAGAAAGTGAATTTTCCTGTTCTAAGGCCTAGAAGCTTGTAAAGAGAGAGAGATGTGCCAGTGTCCAAAAGTACACACACACACAAACATGCACACACACACACGCACAGACACACAAACATGCACACACACAAACATGCACACACACAAACATGCACACACACAAACATGCACACACATGCACACACAAACATGCACACACACATGCACATACACACAAACATGCACACACACAAACATGCACAAACATGCACACACACATGCAGACACACAAACATGCAAACATACACATGCACATACACAAACATGCACACACAAACACGCACACACAAACGCACACAAACATGCACACAAACATGCACACACACACAAACATGCACACACACAAACATGCACAAACTTTTTTCAATAATGAGTCAGCCAAGTAACAATCTTTTCTGTTCAAACGAGGATCTAAAAATAGTATGTGTAATTCAGCCCAAAGTCTTTTTGCAGAGACAAAAACTGCATTCTAAATCCCATCGAAAACTTCATACCAAAATTTAAAATTTATTCTAACTACCTATATTCCTTTCTGTCAATAAAAATTACGCTCTTGCAATCAATAATTTGAATAAAAATTGGAATTGTTTCCAACACTGGCATTGTACTTCTTTGGCTTTTATCAGAAGTTTCACCAAAATGAAACAGGCATTTTTAAAAAGCGGAATGACACATTTGTGGCCTGAGATAAAAGGTGGAATCTGCTGCCTTGTTGCCTGCTCCCTCTCTCTCTCTCAGGTTCACTATCTGTCAAGTCACAAACCTAAGTAAAAGGTGATGTAAACTATAAAGGCAGGTCAGCAACTACCAAATAAAAGTATTCTACTCTACTCAGAAGGCTGTTTTCTTTTTTGCCATTTTTGTTGAGACAAATTGCACTAACATATCATCCACATAGTTGGAAGTAACCAGGGTTTTCTTCACCTATAGAAAAATCAGCTAATTGGATTTGTCATTGCATGTCATAAGCACAAGATTTAAATACAAACTGGAAAGAAACACGTTCAATTGATAAATAGCAGAAATCACTTTTGAGAGTGATTATATGGGAAGCAGTTATAAGTTTCATTTTTTGGCCTAGAAACTTAAATTTTTACATGGAATAAACTGGGCATAAATCATATATTAAAGTAAAAAGGTTTATCCTAGTGGCTGATTTAAAAAACATTAATTTGAACTCAACTTATTAAATTTACTTACAATTTAAAGTGGATAATTCAGATAATTATCTGGAAAGTAGAATTTTGTTGAAAACATCCTCACACTGAAGTAAAGGTATTAGCAGATTTGATTTATTTCCACCCTTCTTCATCTTCCTCTTTATCATTGTCATCATCTTCTTTTGCTTTGGTAAATACAATGAAATTACTATACTTCCAACTCCATAGTGTAAAAACTCATAGCACCCTCTCTCTGGCAACATACAAACATAAGCTCTAATCCTAGTACGAACCAAATACATAACCTTCATAAGAGTGTTCTTCAAGATAGAATATTAGTAAGTTGGCTACATTTTTGTACACTTTCTACATATACTTTGATTGGAAATAATTAATCCTAAAAAATATACAAAACTGCACAACCTATAGGATGTTTTTACAGAGAACTTTAAAATTCCACAGTCATAAGGTGAAAATCTCACCTCCAAAGGAATTATTCCTTTGGGTGTACCTGGAAGACAAAGTTAAATGAAGAATTGTTGGAGTTTATTACATGACATTATCAAGTCTAGAAGTACAATATAGGGTAAAATATGAAGTAACTGATTCTTAAAAGTTCTTTCTCAGCCAGGCGCAGTGGCTCACGCCTGTAATCCCAGCACTTTGGGAGGCCGAGGCAGGCAGATCACCTGAGGTCAGGAGTTCGAGACCTGCCTGGCCAACATGGTGAAACCCCGTCTCTACTAAAAATACAAAAAGTAGTCAGGCGTGGTGCAGGTGTCTATAGTCCCAGCTACTTGGGAGGCTGAGACAGGAGAATTGCTTGAACCTGAAAGGCAGAGGTTGCAGTGAGCCGAGATCATGCCACTGCACTCTAGTCTGGGGGACAGAGTGAGACTCCATCTCAGAAAAAAAAAAAAAAAAGTTATTTCTTTATTCTGAAGTCCAGTCTCACAGCAGTAGGAAGTATATGCTTGACTCTGGTGAATCGCGTTCCTATATTTAATGGTCTGCCAAAATGTGAAATCAGGAAGGAATTTTTCCTGAGAGCACTTTAGAGTAGACATTGGGTAGTTCCAATTTTTTTTCCCGCTGCTCTGAGTTAGGATCTGTGAATGGGGATTGATGTTAGTGAAGACTCAAATCAATATGAAGAGGCGATTGTCTGCATCGTCCTTCCTGTCCAGCTCTGTGCCTCCCTCTAAGACATAGCATGTGCAATATCATTTCATCTGCAAGCTCCTCAGTGGGTGAATGAGTGTTCACTAAGTTATAGCTTCCTCGGTGCTGGAAAATTGGTGTCACATGCTTTGTAGAAGCTGGTAGTTAGACCATGAGGACCTGCTGTGCTTACAGAGGCTGTGTAAAGAAAGTAGAATGTAACAAAAGGAAGGAAAGGTAGCAAAAGGAGCTGGAAATTGCATGATAGCCTGCAACTTCTTTTCCTAGTCCAGACTACTGTGAAATATATATTAAAACTGAACTTCTTGGGGGAAGCTGTCTAGCATAAAATTTAAGGTCTTCAAATTAAAGAATTGTCCAGAAGATGATTTTGTAAAAATAAAGAGAAACTAGTAATGTAATTTGAAATTATTATAAGGTTAAAGCATAAACAAATACACAACAAAAGTGGGAAGTCCCTGAGTATTCTATTGTTTTTCTGTTCCGTTAAAAGTACTAACAGAAAAAATTACAAATGTGTTTGCAAGTGTATAAAAATCTGACAAGATAAATATTTCATACTAATAGTCAGTCTTATTTGCCTATAAATATATATATATATATATATATATATATATATAATCTCAAAAGCAAATCAAACATATTATTTTATAAATTTTTGTTTAAATCCAAGGTTCAAAATTTACTGTAGGGAAGAAAAAGTAGTATCTTTTCCTTACCCATTGTAAGGTTCATGACTGAGACCCCTGTAACAAAACACAGATCAACAACAGAAACACGTAAAAAACGTATCTAACCAAAGTTGTATGTTACAGGGACACCTTCAGAAGTAAAGACCCAGAGACCCAGGGAAAACTGTATTTTTATGCTTAGGTTTGATGGAGAATAGACGGCCTGTAGGAGGATGACGGAACAAATAGTGGGTATGAGCAAACAGTCATTAACTGGGGGGTTTAGCAAGGGCTATTTATTCAGATTCCTCTTGGCCTCTGAGGATAGGGCAGGACCCATCTGGAGTGAGGGTCTTATCGGCCTTCTTCCAGGGGACGTAGGTCAGAGAACTCTCTTCATGGCCTCAGAGGAGAAAGGCAGGAGAAGGTAAGAGAGTGACCTTCCTAGAATCTGGGGTTTCTCATTATCCTTCAGCTTAAAACACTCAGGATCCCAAGGTGCCATATTTTGGGGAAGCATTTCCTGCACTCGATCACTACAAACCAAGGAAAGTAGTATAACTTTTTCAAAGTCATTTATTCCCTACCCTAAAATGTATCTCTTGCTGACAGTATTCGTGATGCATGTCATTTTTCCTTGATTTTATAACAAAAGAAAATAAACTTATGAATCTTAACAGATTAATTCTCATATTTACAGATGACTACATTTTATGATTTCTTCTTGTGTAGGAAAACCATTCCTTGAGAAGCTGGATGATGTTATGAAGTTCCTAGAAGCCGTAAGATGCTTAACCTTTTGGACCTCTGTGCATGTGCACATAAGTTGATACTTAAAACCAACAAACCTGAACAGAGCTGCCTTTTAAAAATGGCTTCAGAGTAGTTTGAGTGATTTCAGTGATGCAATTTTACCTGAATTCATCAGGGATGAAAATCAATGGCTGATACAGCACATCTGGTGTTGTTTCCTGTTAGTTGCTCACACGGTCTGGAGTCCCTGAGGATCCATACTGCGGCACATAACAAAAAGCAATTGCTGGATTGATTGATATTTCAATACGTTGACTTTTATGAAGGTGAGTTAGACTTCACAATAAAAAGGGGCATATTGTTTTGTCTATTTCTTAAGATATTTATGTTCCCACTCGAAATGTAAATAATCCCTATGATTGTTTGATGGGATGAAGCAAGCCAGCACAAATCTGGGTTAATTGTACTATCAGATTTCTATTATAGCTCAAAAGAAAAGCATTTAAATCATCAAAGTTTTGAAACCTTCCGATGAATGTCCGTGTAAAAATTGTTTTTAAAGCCCAACAAAATGTGCCTTTTATTTTTGCATTTCACTACAAAGTGCAATGTAATATAGCATTAACTAAATTGTGGTCCAGATGAAACCAGAGCTGTCTTTCAGGGTCTCATCACATTTCTTTCCATGTGAATTGTAAAATGAAAGGCCTTTGCCCGGGCATGTCCTCTGTGGACTCTTCCTGCAGCTGGATCATTTCATCATTAGACAAAAATGAATACACACTTTCTCAGTGATCCATAGTACTTTACAGTTGTTGTTGCTTTTAATTCTCAGATTTGAATTTTCTATGGATATAATTTCCAACTATTTTAGCCATGGCTCTACACTGAGCTGCTTCCAATATAGCACTTAATCAGAGCTAGTTCTAACTCAGAGAATAGATTCTAAGAAAATAAACTTACCGAGCTGAGGAAGGAGAGAAATTAACTGCATTCCATTTCAGAATGTGACAGGCATCATGAAAAGAATTCCCCCCTCACAGATGTATATTTTCCTTATCTGTTCTGCACTTGTTCCGTACACTAACACTAACAAATGGAAACCATGTGGTTATGAATCCATTATCTATGGTATATTTTTATTGTGGATGATTCCTTAATGTAACCAAAATGTCAGAGTCTAGTAAAATCAGATTTGACGATATATACAGAATGTGATTGTTAGGAATCTTTTAAAACATTTCTGAGTGTTTTTTAAAGTAAATTTCCTAGCATTCTTGGAAACACAGTATTGTTTTCAAACTCTGAGAAAAATCCCTTTAGAAGATTTCTAAAATGCCAGAAAAACAGGGGTATCTTGAAGCACCTACGCTAGTTGATCTCCCTCTCTGAGCAGTTTTTGCCTCTTCCTGCTTTGTTTCAGTTTGAACTGTGATGAAAAGTGATTTTAACATTTGACATCCTGGTGTATTTCCTTTTATAAATAGTAAAAGTCATGTAAATTGTTTTGTTTAACCTTTCTGTTTGGACCACCAAGAATCTGAGAAAACGCGGAAGTCCACCTTTAATTACGCTTAAGACATCGCGGCACACACATCTGCATCATTACTTTGCACGGCCTGCATAGCTACGTCCCTGCCGCCTCCTAACGCCACCCGAACCTTCTTTTGTAACTGCGAGCCCCTCTCTCCCTCTTTCTCGCTGTTCCCGCAGGATCCCCTGCGGCATTCCCAAAGACCCAGTACAATGTCTGTACATGATCTCCTTTTGGAAAGAGACTATTTGCTATTCGTGACCCATTCCTGTGTTGCTTCCACACCCTACCTCACCCCAACCCACTGAATCATGTGCAGCGCGGGGCAGGCCTGGGCAGAGCGGCTGGCGCCTGCCTCTCGCTGACATTCGGGAGGTTCCGGGTCTCCAAAGCCCCCTAGAACTTGGCCGCAAAGGCCTGGTTCACGCCCTGGGCGTGTACGGTATGTGACGCCAGCAAACCTAGATCTCAAATTGATACAATATTGGGCTTCCTACCAATACAGGAGACTCTATACTTTCAGCCTAAACTTAAAAGAAACATCCTTTGAACTAAGAAAAAACATAATTAAGTCACCCCTCTTAACACTAGGGACAACCTCCCACGTTTCGGGTCCTCTAGCTGCCTGTTTGTTCCCTGCTCCAGTAGAGAATGAGACACTTGCTCCCCTCTGCTTGGTTCCCTGGCCATCTCCCATCATCCAGAAGTGCCATCCTCATTCCCGTACTTCCAGCCCCTCCTCGCATCCCGTAAGTCTACACATCTTAGAGGTGCAGCTGAAGGAGTGTGTTCTTATTAACATATACTGCTTACCAAGGACAAGCACAAGAGAAAAGGTGACTTGGAGAATAACAAAGAGATCTAATGTGACTGAAAGAATAATTCTTTTTTAGAATAAAATTTCTAAAAAGAGAAGAGACTAGTAATGCCAAAAGATGACAGTGCGTGACCTTGTGCATACATTTCCTTTTATTTCCTCCAAGGGCCCTTATCACAGACCATAACTAATATCACCCCCACTAGGGAAGAGTTTTCCATTGGGCAAATATCACTATAAAACTCGAATGCTTTTATGCCTCTCTAACCAAAACCTTAAGGGTGGAAGAACTTGGTCTACTGTGACCTCATCATAACACTTTACAACGACTTCAACCAGGCCTCCTTTGAACCAATACATCTGAGCTCTGCTAGAGAAAGTTTATGTTGTTGTTCTTGGTTTCCTTGGTGTTGTTTTGCATTTGTGGTGGCCAGCATGCTTTGCCTCCCTACTCCATTTACAGAGTTACATAAATTTTGATTCTGCCACTTACAGCATCATCTCAAATATGTGAGGAGGGAGGCAAGAGACCTCATTTCTTGGATCCTCATTGGCCTTCCGTAAATTAAATAAATTAATAATAACTATTAATTGAGTGGTACTTATTAAAAGAGTGAGGATTTAAAAAATAATAAATAAAATGTTTAGGGCAGTATTTGCTACATAGCAAGGATTCAATAAATCTCAGTTACAACTCCCATTCAATAATAAAAGTCCTTTTCGTTTCTTTGTTTCTGCTGTGTCCAGTCATTGGCCACCCTTCTCTTTACTTTCGCTTTCTGTTTACATTACCTCCCTAAATGTGATTTTTAGAAAAATAAGATAACCTGTAGTCCCAGCTACTTAGGAGGCTGAGGCAGGAGAATGGCGTGAACCCAGGAGGCGGAGGTTGCAGTGAACCGAGATCGTGCCACTGCACTCCGGCCTGGGCGACACAGCGAGACTCTGTCTCAAAAAAAAAAAAAAAAAAAAGAAAAATAAGATAAGATGCGTATTCTTATCTCCCTTCTTGGTCTCATCTCTCTTGCTTGTGGAATGAAGAAAGGACAAAATTACTGTGCCACATTGACTTCCCAGGACACATCACAAACTTTCAAAAGTCCATGCTTTTGTACATCCTGTAAACCTCTCTTTGGATGAAATCCCCCGCCTGTTTTGTGTGTTTGCCAAATTCTTGTATATCCAAGAAGGTGAGGTCCAATGCAGTATCCAGTGTGAAGCCTTGCCTGGTTTCCCAAGGCCCAGTGAGCAGTATTGTCCTTGGTGCTCCCATAGATAGAGCTCAGAGTTGCCACCTCTCTGCCACATGCAATGGGTCTCTTATGTGCCTCTTTCTCTCATGATACGCTGAGCTCCTTGAAGACAGGAACTATGAACTATGGGTTCTTTAGTTGATGTCTGTACTTTCTAACACATGGATGCTCATAACTCAATAGATATTGAGTGTCTATTATGTGTTACTCAATATATTGAGTATACTCAATAAATACTTTGATACTCAATTAAAATATTTTGAATACATGAGAGTCTTCTACCTGCTTTGGAAAGAGGACAAATTATTCATAAAAGCACACAAAGGTGGCACTTTGGGGCAGCAGAATGCATAGAAAAGTTGAAAGAAGAAAAGAGAAAAATAGGAAAAGCAAAGCAAATGATGCAGGAAGTATACCACACAGAGGGATCCTTTCATTTCTTCTGTGTTCATTGATTTATTTTGACAAAAAGTGCTAGAGCCAGATTTCATAAAAGCTTTCCCTTTGAGCTCTACCATGCTTTATAAACAAACTTAGCTTGTTATGACATACAGCTATTCCCAGACAACTCCTCACCATCACTTAGAATCTTCATCATTGGCAAGATTAAGATTCTAAGATCAGATCTTACAGAATTTTTAATCCAACCAAATCATAACTATTTACTATAATTCTTAAATTTCTGTCTGAACAAAACTATCAATAGCTTTTACAAATTCCACCATGATACAAAGTTAAAGGTCGTTTTCTTATTAAAAAGTATGGACATGTTCATAGACATGTTCATATTTTATTCACGATAAAATATAAGGGCTAAAAATTGGAACAGATTGTTAAAACTACTGTAAATTGTTTTACTATGAATCTTTAAATTCCCATGTAATTAATTACGTTAAAATTATGCTATTAGACATAAATTACTTCAGAGATAACTGTAAAATACAAGATAACAATAAAATTTACAAAATTATTACCAGAAGTAAATTTGATAGCTATGACTAAATTACAGGCAGCTCTAATTCAAGCTTTGCTATCAGCAACTTACTGTATGATGATATAAAGTCACAGATGGGTGTCTCTGATCATGGGCTATTTCAGGAGGTGACAAGGTCTCTGACAGGCTTCTTCCCAGCTCACACTTGCTAGGAAATAGGTCTTACTCTGAGGACTGATAGCCGATTTATTCTCAAAAGTCTGTGTTTAATCCCCTAAATCCTTCCTCCAGAGTATATGGGATATCCTCTCATTCTTTCCCTATTGTAGAAGTCTTTATTTTAAGAAAAGAATTATTCTATGCCAAAAAATAGGAAATACAGAGAAAGAGATATTTCTGAAGGCTCCACAATTTTAAACCACAAAATTAAGTAAGGGACAGAGGGTCCCCTTTAGTTGGTTTATTCCTATCTTTGGCACAAGCAGCAGTTCTCAAACTTAGTATGCTAGAAACTTCTAAAGAAAAATAATCTAAAAAAACTTTTAAGTTATCTTTTAAAAAGATAAGAAAAGTATTGTAGAATTATTGAAATCTGCAAATGTAAACCAATTTCAATTACTGTTGGAATCTATTTTGAAAATAACATCTGAAATTAGTTTTTAATTCTTGCAGACATTAAAAAGAATGTCTAGTCCAGCAACAATTTCACCATCAAATCACTGAGGGAAATGAATAAATGCTAGTTATCGTTCATTCATATAATCCATAGATAATCTGAGCATGAGTCAAAATTTCTGGCCATTGCTTACTTTTGTCTTTAACTTGGAATATTCAGCCTGCTATGGAAACCTCATGCTCCATGACACCTGCCTGGCTTTCATTTGGTGTGACGGCATTCTTTACGAATTAGGTCAACTTGAATTATTTTCTTACTAGCTCATTAAGAATGAAGGTACTTCTAACTGCCAATTTTAATCCCAAAGAGGAGTTTACTTTTGTCTCGTCAACTACAAAAAGAATTTCCCATCAGGATAATGGTGGACCCTCATGGCTATTGTTATTTCATGCCACTTCAAAAGCAACCAGCATGCTTCCCAGCACAGCAAAAGCTACATGCTCTCATGTTAGCACCAGGTCAGTTTTAAACACAAACCCAGAAGCAGGTTGGAAATGCGGCTCAGTTATAAAGCGGCCATCAAGATCATGCAAAATATGCTTCTGCTAATTTGCTTAGGGTAACATCAAAACAAAAACATTGAAAAATGCTGGTAGAGAACTCTCAGATCCCAAAGAACACATCTAGGGAACTGCTGAAAATCTCCTTGAAAAGCACTGAATTAGAGGATCGAACACTCTTTCTTGGATCCTGGAGACCTGCCTAAGTCAAGTTCCTAGACATTCTCTAATTTGAAAGTCAGGTATTCTCAATAGGGTCATCATCGTAAGTGCATGCACTCAATGAAAATACCACTTTTTTCTGAGTGTGTGCTGTGAACAAGACAGATAAAGCCACCTACAACAGGAAGTCATGTAACAACGAAGTTCAAGGGACATTTACCAATGATGACCAGAGATGTGAGCGTGGAAGAGAAGCACACTGAGGTATCCCTGCAGCAAAGACGGCCACAGCAAAGACTTCCAGTGTTCAGCAGGACAGTGGGTTTGAGTAAACAACAGCTTCTACTAGCATAATAAAGGCCAGCAGATGAAAGATTTCTGGCAGGTAGGATCAGAATTTGCAGAAGAAAATCCTAGTAACATGCCCCACCTACCAAGGAAGACCTCAGATCTGCCTTGCACTGATGGCATGAACATAATTGGCTGCAAAATATAACACTGTCCTCTAGATGTCTCAAAACTGGTGTCTAGCTTTTAAACAATCTCCTAAATACCTGCAATGTCAGGGAAATCTGCTGAAAAGCAATTTAGTTAATTTAGAGAGTTTAACATAGTTAGAAATATTTATTTTTATAATAGGTGTCATCTTAAAAGTATAAACTAACAGCTCCTTCATTAGGATGTTTGTGTCCTGCGTGTCACTAATTTCTCACAGTGATGCTATGAGGTCATTGTTATTCCCAGTTTCTGGATGAAAAAACTGAGACTTAAAGAGGTTAAGTCAACCAAGGCGGTTTTCATCATAGCTATTAGTGAGTACTAAACTAGATAGTATACATATTACCCATTATAGAGCAGACACCTTCTTAAAATATAAACAGAAATTGTATTTTGTGCCCATTAAGTTCAAACTCTTCAGGTCAGTCCTTTCCTCCACTTCACAGCATGTCATACATGATATATGAAGTGCAACAGCTCTTTCCTCTTTTGTCCTATTTTTCTGTACCCACATATTTTCCTCCAGTTCATGCAAACATATTTATGGTGTACATTAGGGAAAAGATAACCTAACAGAAAACTTTTTTTTTTTTTCTTGAGACAGAGTCTTGCTCTTTCGCGCAAGCTGGAGTGCAGTGATGCCATTGCAGCTTACTGTAGCCTCAAACTCCTGGGATCAAGTGATTCTCTCATCTTGGCCTCCCTAGTAGCTGGGACTACAGACATACACCATCACACCTGGCTGATTTTTAATTTATTTTATTTGTTGAGACGGAGTCTTACTCTATCACCTAGGCTAGAGTGCAGTGGCGCTATCTCAGCTCACGGCAGCCTTAACCCCCCAGGCTCAAGCAATCCTCCCACCTCAGCCTCCCGAGTAGCTGGGATTACAGGCATGTGCCACCGCACTGGCTAATTTTTGTATTTTTAGTAGAGATGAGGTTTCATCATATTGCCCAGGCTGGTCTCGAACTCCTGACCTCAAACAATCATCCCACCTCAGCCTCCTCAAAGTGCTGGATGACAGGTGTGAGCCACTGCACCCACCCAGAAGACTTTTAAGGAAATAATTCACCAGCACTTTTACAAAAGATGAACATGGGCTTCTCAGGAAGTACAGGTGCAAACACAGCCCTGTGGTTTGTAGAAAGTCACCTGATGCAAGCAACAAACAAGAAAAACAAGTGAGCAGGCCAGGGGCAATATGAGGCCCCTTGTGTGGCCCTGGAGATTTCATCTCACATCAGACACCCTGTTTGTTCCCTTCCACGTGGAGTTCTTGGTATAAGGAGTCCCACAAGGAGACGGAACTTGACAACTGAGGGTGCTTTCTAGGGTATTTCTTAAAGAAAAAAATATGTAGCTTGTGGATATTTCTGTTAAAAAGTAGTTTTGAGGTCTGAATTCCCCAGATAATCACGTTCGTTCTGCCATCCTTTTTCTGTAGGCAAGTCCAAACTGCTTTATCATTTCACTGTATTAACTTTAGAGGAAAACACCAGATGAATAATTTGGTGATATTTTCATGTAGGTAGTTTGGTCAAACCTCGCTGACAAATACATAGTGCTTTAAGCAGCACAGTGCATGAAATAGTTCTTTGAAATGAATTGATATCTGTCCTTGATTGTCTTCATCTTGCAGATGAGGGCTCTAAAGGCATGTCGTAGCCTGCTCTCTCTAACCTCCCCTCAGGTACCTGTTCCCAAAGTCAGACACTGCTTAAGACACAAGGCCATTTTCGATACAAGACCTTAAGATAGTTTGGAGAGTTAGACATGACTTTCTCTTGGTCGGCATATCCTGTGAACTAACTTTGGTCACACTAACTATGCTGTACGCTGTGCAGAAATCTCAGAGGTAAACTAGAGACTCCAAGTCACACTTCTGGTTTTATTTATGAGCTACAGAAAATAATCTCTAACATTTCTATTGTGGTATTGAATGTAATTATTGTCTACAAGCCTCTTTCTAAGTGAAAATGTCATCCTGTCCCAACCACAGCACTTCAGTTGTCATGAAACTGAGTAAAGACAGTAAAAAAAAAAAAAAAAAAAACCCACTGACTGTTCCTAACACAGTGTTTTTGACCATTTTGTACATTTCCCTTTAAACTCCCTAATCATCACGATCTTGGCAATAAAAGCGTTCGAGGTACTCACACGTCAAGGAGAACATACCTACAGCATTGCCTTCCTTTCTCCCACCTCCAACATCTATTAGCCCAAGTTCCCACCCGTGTAAACATGAGTCACTTGGTTTTGGACACGTTTATAATCATCCATCTCAGAATACACTCGCCTTAGATCAGGCCTCAGCTCCTTAGAATACCCGCCACCCAGGGTCCGTGGTCAAACAAAAATATTACATAATACAATAAAAGAAAGAGAGCAGAATCTTTTTTCAAAAACACAAAAGAATGATGTAGAATATTCTGTGCGTTTTACAGTTATGGCTTGAGGAAAAAGGCAAATTAAGTTGTGATGAGGGGAGAAAAGTCAGCAAAAACCTAAATACATATGTAGTTTCATTATATTTTATAGAATCTTAGCCAATTGCTGATAGAAAGATTTACATAGCAATCCCACACTCAGTAAACATGTAATGAGTAAAAAATAAATGTCTTCTGTTGCTTTCTTAAGCTAAGAAAAAAGTTGGGTTGCTTATTTATTTAGCTGATATTGGTTTAAAAATAATGTTCAACTCCTACTAGTTGTAAACAGTGTACTGGACCGTAAAGATGCAAAAGTAGGCAAGAAAAGGGACAATCACAGCATGATATTAATGTAACAAGCCTCACTTAGGGGAGCACAGACGAAGAGTGCAACCCAGTAATCCAGGCAGGAGACATCAAGGAACTCTTTCCAGCAGTGTAGGGTTTCGAATGGCATCTGAATGGCTGAACACCAACAGTTCACCTGGTGAGGCAAGGAAGGGGGCATTGGCTGGGTGGAAAAAAGTTTTGCAGAAGAGAAAAAAGGAAGGAAAAGAGATGGAAGGAAAGAAGGAAGAAAGTGAGAGAAGGAACAAAGGAGGAGGAGGTTTGGGAAGTGGGGGCAGGCAGGAGGGAGAACCACTGTGAGAACACTTAGCTACAAATTTACAAATATACAGTGACACTTTACTTGTTTAGAAACAAAGTGGCTCATGCCTGTAATCCCAACACTTTGAGAGGCCCAGGCGGGCTGATCACCTGAGGTTGGGGGTTCGAAACCAGACTGATCAACACGGAGAAACCCCATCTCTACTAAAAATACAAAATTAGCCAGGCGTGTTGGCACATGCGTGTAATCCCAGCTACTCGGGAGGCTGAATCAGGAGAATCGCTTGAACCCAGGAGGCGGAGGTTGCGGTGAGCCAAGATCGTGCTATTGCACTCCAGCCTGGGCAACAACAGTGAAACTCTGTCTCAAAAAAAAAAAAAAACATAAACCAACAACAACGACAAATGCAACGTTTTCTAATATCTCACCCCTCTGAGAAAATAAATAGTAAATTTTTTATGTTTCTGGATTGTGTGACGTGCTTTTAATGTCATATGAATACTTACCTATATTTTAATCTAGAACAGTAAAAGCAGTAAAAGTCTGTATTCTCAGATTTTCCTTCCTGCAACCATAGATGTGTATCAGTCCCATGAGACCCTCATAAATTACAAACACACACTGAAAATGCCTTGACTTTCTCAATTATTTTTTCTTTAATTGATCAAGGTTTACTTGTAACATTTATTATCTTTCTAAAAATGAATTTTGATCTTTAAAAGATGTAAAGATGTTTCTTAGGAATTAAAATATCTGATACTGAAGTCTTTTAAGCTTTAATTCTTTAATTCTTTTGCTGAAACATCCATAGGATTAGCTATCCATCAAAACGACTTTGAGGGAAACATTTCACCATGTATTAGTATGATTTTATAGTTAACTAATGCTCTTAGCTAGAAAACTCTGCCTTTTTACATAACCAATGCATAATGTGTAGAGAATAAAAACCAGCCTAAACAAGCTTTATTTCTTTCCACTGAAACTATCATTCCAATAAACTAATTGCACTATAGGTGTTATTTAGATTGTATTGATTGTTCTGTGTTTATGGATTTGGATAATTTTTTAAATGTTCAAGTAATTTTTAAAAATCAATGGCAATATTATCTGGTATTGCTATTAGTACTTCATCTCAAAGAATACTAATGTGTTTTAATATGTATAAAATTATATTGACCATTTTATTAGTGCCTGCATAATAACTATTACAGGAAAACATTCCAAAACTGTTTATTATAAAAACAAGACATTACATAAGGTTTGAAAAATGTAGGAGATAAATCAGTCAAAAGTTGACCACTCTAGTAGAACAACTATTGGCATTTTACCTGTGGTAAGGTTTTCACAAGCTGGGTGTAAATCAGGTGTGCGGTAGAACCAGGCAAACAAATTGCCCAATAGCCTCTTCTGCCTCCAGCACTGACACCTTAATCTCTTTCTGTAACCCTCTCTCTGGCTTCCAGCCAGGGCTTGATACCAGGACAGGCAAATTTCTCCCTAGAACAATTTGCAATAGAGGCCCCAGAGTCACTCACAATCCTTGCATTTGTAGGAAGTGCCATGCTAGCTTCATAAACATCTGGATTAAGCTTCCTTGGAGATATCACACTTTATTAAAAAGAAGAAAAAGACAGAAGTAGAAAAACTCTGTCATTGCTAATACAACATTGAATAACTGAATCTTAATTCAAATACTTTCTATCATAATCACAATGTTGTGTGGTCACTGGTTCATTAGAAAATGAAATACAAATTCTAAAGTAACCACTCACTTATATAATAAAAGATTATTATATTAATCCTAGCATTTCCTCATGCTGAACACTACTTTTATTTAAACACATTGGAAAAAGAATTTTACCTTTAACATACAGAGAAGTGGGCATTTTTTCCTTTGCTATATTTATGATTATGCGTTTGATTTCTATTAATCTCTTTTTTAGATACCCCAAATCCCTCAGTTATAGAGAAAAATAAAAAAAACCTCACAACAGACCGTGATTAGGTGACTACTTTTTAGAGATATTTTCCGTCAATAAATATTACAAGTATTCGTTCTATGATTACTGAATGACTCCAAATGCGAATTCTATGGTGAGACATCCGTAGTTACGTTGGTCATTTTTTCTTGTTACCTAACTTGCCTTCACTCCTATCACCATCTGTTCTTTTTCTTCCTATCTATGAGAAAAACTTTTGGCCACCTCCTTGGCTCTGCTCTTAGTCTTTATTTCTTCCTCACCTCCTCTTTCTATCCCTGTCTCCTAAAAATTTCCAGGACACTGGAGAGCTAAATGGGCTCCTCGCTACTGCTCTACCACAAACAAATTCAGCTTTTTGGAGTATGATTTGGAAATATCACACGACCTTATTTCTAAGAATTTATTCTGCAGAAATATAGAGCACAAAAATATATAAAAGAAGGATTTCGAGGTTGTTGGGAATAGTAAAATATTATGAAAATCCTGAGGGATTTCAATAAGAAATTGGGTAAATTAAATTTAGGCATAGCTATACAATGACATACTCAGCTAAAAGCATATTGTGTATCTCTCTGCATTGACTTGGAAAACACACATGACAAATTGTTGAGTGAAAAACATTACAGATCAGGATATAATATGATTCCATTTGCATTATACATGTGTACACATACATATTGTGTGAAAGAATTCCAGAAAAATATCCACCAAACCGAGAGCAGTGTTCATCTCTAGGAAGCAGAATTACATGGAAGGCTTTCACGTCAGCTTTATTCACTTTTATATTGAGTATTTTTAAATCAGCAAGCATTTCTTGATAATAAAGCTCTTATTAATCTATAGTAATTTTAAAATTTGCCACAAGCTCAGGAATAGAAAGATAAAGTCAAAAATTATACCAGAGGATATATGGAATTTAGTGTATGGTACTGGCGACAACATAAAACAATAGGAACATAATTGGATTAGTTAGCAAATAGTATATTTGATTATCCATTGGAAAAACATCAAACTGAAAAATCATTTCTTTCCTTATGCTGAAGCAAACAAATGATTTCCAGATCCATCAGAATTTTAAATGTAAACAAATGAAATCATAGAAGTTCTAGATTACAACATAGGTAAATATTCATATGACATTAAAAGCATGTCACAAAATCCAGAAACATCAAAAATTCACTATTTATTTTCTCAGAGGGGTGAGATATTAGAAGACTTTACATTCGTTTATAAACAAGTAAAGTGTCACTGTATATTTGTAAATTCTTATGCCTTCACCTCAAAACTGAGTCATAGAAAGAACACATTTCATGTAAATATTATAGATATATACATTTCAATGGAAGGATCAATAGTTTTTCAATGATTCATGGTGCAACATTTCAGTTCATGCTTCTCTTTGTCACTAAATTCAGTTCTATTCACTTATGATCAGAAGACCTTTAACATTCCTATCAGGAAGTCTTCGCGATCTGTAAACACATTATCACATTGTATCCACCTCCCTCACAACCAAAAAAACTTTTATTTTCTGACCAAAAACCAGTACTGTTTTAGATATCTTTGTTTCATTCTTCATTGCTATTAAAGCACCCATCATTGACTTCTTTTCTGAGAACCTTCACTCAAAGAGTTAAATAAATGAACATTTTATGCCGTGTAATTGAGAAGGAACAGAGGATCACAAGCCTCATGAAGATGGGAAGTTCAAATTCTTAACTCCTATGACCTTTTCAAGGGGCAATCTGGCAATACCTAGAAGGCATTTAAATGCATGTAACTGTTCACATTTTTTTAAAGAGACAGTATGCTTGTATTTGAAAACAAAATTCCTCAAAGGGTATATATAAAACCATTTGTTGTGGTAAAATTAAGGACAAGTGGAATTGGAAGATGGGGTAGTTAGAGAACTTTTATTTTTCCTGAGCTTATGTAACTTTTATCATTAGAAAAGTCCTGCTTCA
This sequence comes from Homo sapiens, assembly GCF_000001405.40. Lineage (NCBI taxonomy): Eukaryota > Metazoa > Chordata > Mammalia > Primates > Hominidae > Homo > Homo sapiens. The sequence goes on along the minus strand of NC_000004.12, from coordinate 186,908,055 downwards.
CTGAAATTACAAATATTTACAAGTCATGTACTATCAGGTTGCCCATAAATAGGAAAAACTAAAATGTCTGCTGTGCCTGTTAAATACCTGTGGACCATCACACTAAAAAAAATAAGATCACCTGCCTATCCTCCAGGAGTCGACGATTTTATTGAGAAGGCAGGGTTTGCAAATAAGTCAATTTCGGGAAAAACGTAGCCTACTGCAAAGGTCTAAGCCAGCTGTAAGCAAACGCATTGGCTGGCATGCAAGAAGGGATGGTTGTATTTGTCTAGAAGGAAATACCAACATTAGAGGAACAGTGATTAGCATGGTATGTAAGACATAGTTTATGGGACCAAAGAAGGCAGAAGGGTGTTTTAGGGGAAGAAATTCAAACTACTGGAGATCTGGAGGTGAGAAAAATTGGGGTGTATGTGAGGCCAGGGGCCATGCATGGAGACAAGGAGAAGAGCTTGGCGGGCACAGAGCACAGGCCTGTGGGAACGAGCCTAAGGATACTTTTAGGAAGGATTTTTCCTCACAGCCGGTCTCCAAGGGTAGCTTTGTGACTTAAAAGCACTGATAGTTTCGGCCGGGCGCGGTGGCTCACGCCTGGAATCCCAGCACTTTGGGAGGCCGAGGCGGGCGGATCACGAGGTCAGGAGATCGACACCATCCTGGCTAACAAGGTGAAACCCCATCTCTACTAAAAAAAATACAAAAAAATTAGCCGGGCGTGGTGGAGGGCACCGGTAGTCCCAGCTACTCGGGAGGCTGAGGCAGGAGAATGGTGGGAACCTGGGAGGTGGAGCTTGTAGTGAGCCGAGATCGCGCCACTGCACTCCAGCCTGGGCGACAGAGCCAGACTCCGTCTCAAAAAAAAAAAAAAAAGCACCGATAGTTTCTATAAAAATTGCTCACAATAATGAAATCATGTGATATTATGAAATATAACAGCACTACTATGGTCTAAAAATTGTATCAGGAGCAACCAATCTAGAGATGTTTGGCTTGGAAGAAAGGTGTGGGATGAAGTTTGAGGAGGGAAGAGAGCATCGTAAAGATTTGGCGATGGCAGCACGGTGAAGGCACTGTGCCAAGACCTGGCAATCCCAAGGGCCAGCTCCGACCTGCGTCACAAGAACTCATTGGACCACTCCAGTGTAGACAGCTGTAAAATAGGTCTTCAGTGTAGACAGCGGTAAAATAGGTCTTCAGTGTAGACAGCGGTAAAATAGGTCTTCAGTGTAGACAGCGGTAAAATGTCATATCAGAGAAGACAATCTCTTTTTTTTTTTTTTTAGACGGAGTCTCGCTCTGTCGCCCAGGCTAGAGTGCAGTGGTGCGATCTCAGCTCACTGCAACCTCTGCCTCCTGGGTTCAAGCAATTCTCCTGCCTCAGCCTCCCAAGTAGCTGGGATTACAGGCAGGTGCCACCACACCTGGCTAATTTTTTGTATTTTTAGTAGAGACAGGGTTTCACCATGTTAGCCAGGATGGTCTTGATCTCCTGACCTCATGATCTTTCCACCTCGGCCTCCCAAAGTGCTGGGATTACAGGCATGAGCCACCACGCCTGGCCAGAGAAGACAATCTTTAGGATACTATCAATCAGTAGATTGCGTGACTTTTTGAGGGCTTTCTTATGTGCAAAACAAAGTAGGTATATTCTGCACAGCTTTAGGGAAAGGATTGAGATATTAGGCTGGCACACACAGAGACAGATTTTAGCAGTTCTTGGCTGTCAAGAACATAAGTTGTTGAAGTGTCCACGGAAAAACGTAGTATTGGAAATGATAGCTCACAGCACTTATGGGAAGACCAGACAACCAAGCAACTAGGCGAGGCCTGGGCAAAGCCCTGTCCAGGCATGGTTGGCTCCTAATACTACCAAGGGCACCGTTGCCACTGGACTCACTGACGAGGCTCATGCTGGGGATATACAACAGCTGCCACAATAATCTCCCACTTTGAGCTTTGCTGCACCCCTTGAGAGTCCCAGCCCCAGCGAGGGCATGAATGGCTCTGATTATGCCATGTGCTGCTCGTGCCCTAGAGTCCACAGTCTGGGAGGAAAAGAGCCTGTCCATTTCAGCTCCCAGTAGGAGGCAGAGCCCTACTTTGGAACTACCCCAAAAATAGTAAAGATACATAAACACTGTTCAAAACAATGCAAGGCCACCTAATGAGATCTGGCCAAAAATGTATGTCTTGCCTTTGGAGGTGGCAATGGCTAGATGGTGGCCCCCAGAAAGATATGTCCATGTCCTGATCCCTAGAACCTGTGAATGTGACCTTATTTTGAAAAGGGGTGTTTGGCTGGGCGATGTGGCTCACACCTGTAATCCCAGCACTTTGGGAGGCCGAGGTGGGTGGATCACCTGAGGTCGAGAATTCGAGACCAGCCTGACCAACATGGAGAAACCCCATCTCTACTAAAAAAAAAAAAAAAATACAAAAATTAGCCAGGCGTGGTGGCGCATGCCCATAGTCCCAGCTACTTGGGAGGCTGAGGCAGGAGAATCGCTTGAACCCAGGAGGCAGAGGTTGCCATGAGCTGAGATCACACCATTGCACTCCAAGCTCAGCAACAAGAGTGAAACTCCATCAAAAAAGAAAGAAAGAAAAAAAAAAAGAAAGAAAGAAAGAAAGAAAGAAAGAAAGGAAGGAAGGAAGGAAGGAAGGAAGGAAGGAAGAAAGAAAGGAAGGAAGAAAGAAAGAAGGAAAGAAGGAAAGAAAGGAGGGAAGGAAGGAGAAAGAAAGAAAAGAGAGAAAGGAAGGAGAGAAAGAAAAGAGAGAGAAAGAAAGAAAGAAAAATAAAGACAGAAAAAAAGAAAGAAAAGAAAAAAGAAAGGAAAGAAAGAAAAGGGGTCTTTGTAGATGTCATTAAGTTAAAAATCTTGAGATGAGAAACTCATTCTGTATTACCTGGGTGATCCCTAAATTTAGTAACAAGTCTCTTTTTAAGAGACACACAGAGGATAAGATAATGTGAAGACGGAGCAGAGATTGGAGCAATGTGGCACTAGCTAAGGAAGCCAGACGCCACGAAAAACTAGAAACAAATGGATTCTCCACTACAGGCCCTGTAGCGGGTGCAGCCCGGCCAAACACCTTTGAGCTTCTGGCCTTCAGAACTGTGAGATGATAAATCGCGATTTTCATGCCACTAAATTTGTGGCAATTTGTTACAGCAGCCCCGAAAACAAGACAGAGGCAGTGAGTGACCCATTACTGTAAGTATTTAACAGGCTAAATTCTACTTCTCGGAGGTCAGTTTTTGGAGACAATCCTTGCCCAAACAAAGTAGGAGGCCAAATTCAGGGATATTGCATGTTCTTTTTAACTCCAGAGTTCTAGAGTGCTACCCTTCACATAGATACCTCAGCAAGAATATAGCCTCATCTTGTTTATTGTATAACTTCTCCGCAATTAGGCTTAATGACTAAAATATTAATATTTGGCTACAGATAGAGTATTGAAGTTTTTACTTCCAAAGTTGTTAATATGCGAATTTGATCTACCATTTACACTCTTGCTTTTCCTTTATTCTTCCTCTCATTTTTTGACAAAAAGGTTGAATCAACTAACATGAAAAAATTAACTGTTGCGATTATGCAGCTGTCATTTTTTCATGCTCCTTGGGAATATTTGCTGGAAAAATAAATGGGAGTTGGGCTGCTACATTTGTTACCAAATCACTGGAAATTCCCCTATTGCACTTTGAATCATCCTGAGACACACATATTTTTAGCTATTTTCTTGATGTTGTCATAAATCAGGGTTCATCTCTGCATGCTTGTGACTCATGTCCCATTTGCATAAATAAATATTGAGAAGTGGTGTGGAGAAAAGTCTCTTTCTTTTTAAACAAGGAACTTAGGCAAGTGACAGGCATTCTGTAAATCTGGAAGTGAAAAAATCCGTTGTAGTGAATTTGATCAGACATATGTTCTTCTGCTCTTTCCCCAAATATTAAAAGTAAATGATTACATAGAAGTTTTTCAAGGGTTTTCTAGGTGTTTTAAACAGATTTAATTTTTAATATCCTGATTTTGAATAATGTCCTATGATATTTTGTGGGTATACCCTATTTATAGCCGGGCGTTACATCTTTCTAGATGCTATGGAATGGTGATTGCAGATGTAACCTTGGTTTTAAAGAATATGTATAAGCCTTATAGATACTGGATTGTACGTGTGCATGGCTGACATGAATTATAACACCAGCGTAGTGACATGAGAGATCTCTGTGTGATTGTTACCTTCCCGACTCCTGCTCCTAAGGCCGTGACTCCCCATCACCCCTTCATGCTAGTCTTCCCTCTCTGCTCTGTTCAAGGAGCTCACGGCATGAAGTGAGGTTCAGAGATGTGCACGGCATGAAGCCAACCATGGGCAGTGCGGTCGCAAAGCTACCAACACAGCGCTAGGGAGAGCAGGGCGGGAAGGGCTCGGCGCATGGTGAAGCATAAGGGAAGTCCCTCTGGAAAAGACGAACCTGAGGAAAGGCTTCAGGAGTGGGCAGGACTTCCCATAAACAACATGGGTTGGGGGAAAGTGGGTTTCATGAAGCAGAAGCCAGGGCCCAGGCAAGGGAGTGTATTGAGATGAGGTTGAGAGATCCCTGGGCAATGAGGCAGTGGGCAAGGGGCCGGCAAGGCAGGACGGATCCAATTTGGATTGTATTATACAAATAAAGAAAAGTGATGGAGAGCTTTTGCACACAGGAAAGCTTTGCTCCTGTAGAAAGTTGGATGACATGGATGTAAAGTTGAACTAGAGAGAAAAGAGCTGGACTTCAGATCATTCTTCTTTTCAGGCAGCAAGTGTGGGCAGTGGTATTCTGGAATGGCGATGGAGGAGAAGAGGGGTGGGAGTCCCCAGGAGAAGAGGCAATAGGACTGGCCTGACCCTGGCAGGGAGAGAAGGCAGCAGGTAAGGCCCACCAACGGCCTCAGGGTCTCCTCTACTTCCTCATCTCACACATGCCAGTTCCCGGGAACCGGTGAGTTGCCTATCCTAATGCTAAAAAATGGGACAAAATCTAGTAATATACTCTCCGATATAACACACATCACACAACTTGAAGCACCATTTGAATTGAATCCAAGTTGCTCAAAACTAAAAGCTAAATGCTAAAGCTAAAAGCTAAATTCCTAAAAGCTAAATGACAACTCCACTGCCTCATTTCATGTGGTTTGTAAGCAGGAGAAGCAAACTTTCCACCATCTGTTGTTTTCCTAGCTTGCTAGAGCAAACTCTAGAATGCACCCTTCTAGGCAATCACCTATTGCTTTATTAACTTTTTAATCCAAAGAGAAGACATTTTATCCTGCATGTATGTGCCTTGGTGCCTATGTGTTGGGGGCAGGGACCAGTGTTGAACGTGAGGTTTCAACTCTGCCTCCCGAGTCTGGACATAAAATGCAGCTGCCACCTTCCAGCCCAGACAGCCCAGGCTATTTATTCTACAGTGAACTTGTGTTTGCAGCACTTCACTGAGCCAGTCCTAAAATGCCTTTTATCCCCAGCTGGATGTCCTCTGACTACTTAGCTTTTACGGGTCCACTTCCTCCTGCTTTTCCCTTTTACAAGGGTGTGGTTTCTGCAGTACATTTCTGTACAGAGATGAACGCAGAGCAGGCTATAATCCCTAATCTTATTTACTGCTCCCAATGTGGGACTCTGAAATATTGGGGTGAGGTGTTTGGTGTGGTTCTATTTTCCTCTTATAGCCAGAGCGTTTATGAGAGAGTATTTTTACAATGACTTGTGACAATATTTGAAAAGTGGGTGTAGCTTGTTCACTTGGGAAGTTCTAGGCCTTTTTCCTGCCAGAAAGAAAATGCAAGCTCAAGATGCTTATTTTGGTAAGGAGATTCTTGCATGGCCAAATTGTGCTCAAAATGCAAAGCAACCCCTTCCCCCTAGAGTATCTGTGCCTTTCAGAGCAATGCAGCAACCTCGCTTGGCTATGTCAGGCCTCGGAATTATTGTTTACATTCTCTATCGCCTGGTGGCAGTGATTTGCAGGCCTAGACTTTGCTTTGTTGGCAGGGAGGACCACTCACCTGGTTCTCCAACTGCATTTGGGCAAGCTGTGTATTCCTTTGAGGATAACTTTGTCCCTTCCTTTAAGGCCTGCTTAGATGTGAAGGTGTAATGAAGAATCATCATTACTCTGGTTCCTTGTCTAGTCCTTGCTCTCACACCTATAGGATAAGGTCCTGGTTTGGAGAAATAATTCTCTGGAACTTGCAATAGCTGCTTGGTCCTGGAAGCCTTTTGGAAGTAAAGTGAGAGAGGAGAAGCCAGGACAACATCCCCAGCAGAACGATGTCATGGTCCTTAGAGCTGCTAGATCTGAAGAGTCAGGCTAAAGGTTTCTCTGGGGTCGGGCATGGTGGCTCATGTCTGTAAACCCAGCACTTTGGGAGGCTGAGGCAGACGGATCACAAGGTCAAGAGATTGAGACCTTCCTGGCCAACATGATGAAACCCCATCTCTACTAAAAATACAAAAATTACCTGGGCGTGGTCGTGCGCCTGTAGTCCCAGCTACTGGGGAGGCTGAGGCAGGAGAATCACTTGAACCCAGGAGGTGGAGGTTGCAGTGAGCCGAGATCACACCACTGCACTCCAGCCTGGCAACAGATCAAGACTCTGTCTCAAAAAAAAAAAAAAAAAGAGAAAAAAGATTTCTCTGGATTCTTCAAAGCTGAAGAGGCAGTTTCTAAAAGTCATCCAGGAAAGCAGTGCGTGTAGCAGAAGTGCTTTGCCAACAGCAGGAGAGGCGGAGGTTCCAGGACTGGCTTTGCCATTAACTAGCCCCATCACCCAGGACAAGTCAGTGAAACTTGAACTTTTTGAGCTATAGTTTCCTTGAAAACAAAAGCTACACTGAATCAATAGTTCTGAACTCAAAGAGAAAGGCAAAGGTAGAGGATATTATGATCACCGGAAAGTTGTTTTGTTTGCATGTGTATCTGTATGTGTAACACTCATGCCTGCCACCAAACTTACAAGAATTTCAGAGTTCAGGAGGGAGGAAACCAAGAAGCCAGGGATAAATGTTTTGGAAAAGTTTCTGATATGCTTTTTATCTTTTCTACATTTTTTTAACAGAACATTTATTAAAGTTGTTTGACATACAATTTCACATTTGTCATTTTGGAAGTCCTTTACTGTAAAAAAATTATTGGCTCTGATGATAAACAGCCGTCCCAGTGATGATTCTGGGCCTCCACATTGAGTACGTTCAATTTCTTCTTGAGACAGGAGTTTCCTTCTGTATTTCTAGGGTAATGTTTTTATTATTCTGCATTGTCTGCCAGACCCTGATATCTCAGAAAATCTGATGACTCACGTCCCTTAGAGTGTGTGAAACTGCAGAAGAGTGAGACAGTAGCTACAGATCTCAAAGCTCTGACATACTGGGTTGAGGATTGTCTTCTCTTTCAGGCAGCCTTATTAATGGGAGTATGGGGCCTGACGACCTGAATGACCCCACTGGCAGAGACCTTCTTGCTCCCATCGGCACCCCTTCTAATATGCATTTTTTTGAGACAGGGTCTTGCTCTGTCGCCCAGGCTGAAGTGCAGTGGCATGATCTCAGCTCACTGCAACCTCTACCTCCCAGGCTTAAGCAATCCTCCCACCTAGCCTCCCAAGTATCTGCGATTACAGGCACCCACCACCACACCCAGCTAATTTTTGTATTTTTAGTAGAGACAGCGTTTTGCCATGTTGGCCAGGCTGGTCTCAAACTCCTGACGTCAAGCAATCCCCTGCCTCAGCCTCCCAAAATGGTAAGATTACAGGTGTAAGCCACCATGCCTGGCCATGATATGCTTTTGATACTAACTATCCCATCTTCAAGCCCACTTCTTTCTGCTACAGAGTCTCTACATTACATGATATCTAGGAGCCTTCTATCTCCAACATTATATTGCACCGCCTAAAAAATATTAGGGTACCATGATTAGGATATATCAAATCGCTGAGAAGCTCCAATACCATATCTGAGGACTTGGAATTCAATTGAGGAAATCACAGGTCTCATTGTGAGATGCTTTATTATTGAAGAACTGAGAGAGAAACACCGCAAGAAGGTAAAGAACAAGTGATACCTTGTAAAGAAAAACATGATTAAACACAGAGAAAAAACTTTTACGTGGAAAATCAATGACAACTCAACTATTTGTAGTGTTATTGTACATGATTTTTACTATTCAATATGCTTTAAGAAGGTAATTTTATTTTATTTCATTAAAAATTTTCTTTTTCTGAGACAGGGTCTCACCTGTTGCCCAGGCTGGTATGCAGTGGCACCATCTCGGCTTACTGAAACCTCTACCTCCCAGGTTCAAGGGTTCCCCCTGCCTCAGCCTTCCAAGTAGCTGGAATTACAGGCACCCACCACCACACCTGGCAAATTTTCAAAATTTATTTTTTGGCACAGACGGGATTTCCCCATGTTGGCCAGGCTGGTCTCGAACTCCTGACCTCAAGCGATCTGCCCACCTTGGCCTCCCAAGGTGCTGAGATTATAGGCTGAGCCACCGCACCTGGCCTTAACAGGATAATTTTAAATGATATACTTTGTCTTATTGCCATATTGTGTAATTTGGCAAAATAATGCACCACAAACACAAACAATTACCTATTAAAGTACTTTTCTGACACTTGTCCTCTGCAACAGTTTCCCTGTGGAAACATGCACTACATTAGATTAGACTTCCAAATGAGCGGACTTCCCATCCCTTCCTACTTTTACACTTTGGTTTAATTCTAGTCTTATCCTAAAAACGGCTATGAGAAACCCAAAAGGGTAATTTGGAATAATCCTTTGTGGTGACCTATATAAACTTCTGTATTTCTTTCCCTCCTCCCTCACACCTATGCAATAATCTCTCTTCACACACTCATTACAAAAGTGTAAAGTAAAAAAGAACTGTCCTTGAAAATAGAGCATCCACATAAAAACTCAGAATGGGCAGCTATTCCTCCTGTAAACACTGAGAGTCTATCCTGTATCAAACCCTGGATTAGGTATTAGAAATACAATGTCAAGTAACTCACAGCCTCAACTCTGAAGATGGATGGATGGATAGATAGATAATAGATGATTGATAGATAGATTAGTGAAGGAACATCAAAGTAAATCATCATTTCAGTGATACGGTAGCTGATGGTGATATGGAAGCAGCTAGGAGAAGCTTCTAAATTAGACTAGGAAATAAAAGAGGGCCTCTTTGAATAAAGGACACTCATCTACATTTTGAAGAATGTGTAAAAATTAGCTACATAAGAAAGGGAAAAAGAGAAGAGAATGAAGAAAGTTTTGAAGGAAAGAAATGGCGTGATCTATTGTTCCCATAGTAAAGAGGTATGGGATGATGAAACCAGTAAAACTAGGAACAGAGGCCAGACATCTCTGAAAGACGCATGAAAGCCTTGAGTCCCAGGCTAAGGAATCGTAACTTTATTCGGCAAGCTATGGGGAGATGTTGAAGAATTTTTCAATAAAGGACATGATTCAGCAAGTGACATCATTGGGGAGCAGCATCAATTGCTCTGCCAGCATTCTGAGGAATAGTTCTAGGAGGTAGGGTTAGCTGCTAGGATTTTTTTTTTTTATACTTTAAGTTTTAGGGTACATGTGCACATTGTGCAGGTTAGTTACATATGTATACATGTGCCATGCTGGTGCACTGCACCCACTAACTCGTCATCTAGCATTAGGTAATTCTCCCAATGCTATCCCTCCCCCCTCCCCCCACCCCACAACAGTCCCCAGAGTGTGATATTCCCCTTCCTGTGTCCATGTGATCTCATTGTTCGATTCCCACCTATGAGTGAGAATATGCGGTGTTTGGTTTTTTGTTCTTGCGATAGTTTACTGAGAATGATGTTTTCCAATTTCATCCATGTCCCTACAAAGGACATGAACTCATCATTTTTTATGGCTGCATAGTATTCCATGGTGAATATGTGCCACATTTTCTTAATCCAGTCTATCATTGTTGGACATTTGGGTTGGTTCCAAGTCTTCGCTGAGGTTAATGCGATATTTCAGGCAAAAAGTGTGAAACCATAACCTGAAGTGATGTTCTTAGAAGAGGTGAATTAAAATTCTAAGGAGCCGGCCAGGTGCGGTGGCTCACGCCTGTAATCCCAGCACTTTGGGAGGCCAAGGCCGGTGGATCACCTGAGGTCAGGAGTTCGAGACCAGCCTGACCAACATGGAGAAACCCCGTCTCTACTAAAAAAAAAAAAAAAAAAATTAGCTGCGCGTGGTGGCAAGGGCCTATAATCCCAGCTACTAGGGAGGCTGAGGCAGGAGAACCGCTTGAACCTGGAAGGCAGAGGTTGTGGTGAGCCGATATTGCACCATTACATTCCAGTGTGGGCAACAAGAGTGAAACTCCATCTCAAAAAAACAAAAAATAGAATAAAATAAAAAACTCAAAGGAGCTGCAACTGGTTAGATCGCAGAAGTGAGGGAGAGGGAAAAGGTGAAGATGTGACACAGGTTTCTGGCTTTGTCAATTGGTTGACTAGTGATAGGATTCATTGTTCAGATGGGAAACTTAAAAGCAACCAATTTTCTGAAAAATCGCTTTAAAAATATTAAGTTTGAGAACATATAAGTGGAGTGATCCTTGAGATCATTGGATGTGGGGATATGGAGCCTTCCATAAAATCAGAACATGCCGCTCTATACAAACACATGTACATATAGATAATTATCCAGTTACGCAAATAGTATATTCTCAGCAAAAACTTGGGAAGGAAATGCATCCTGAGTTTAACAGGAGTTATCGCTGTTTGGTACATGTATGAATGGGATTTCCTCTTTCCTTCCTGTATTGTTTCTGTTTTCCAAATTTACATAATTAATATGCATTACTTTCAGTGTAGATAAACTTCCTTTTAATAATAACAAAAACAAGGGAAAAAGAGAATTCTGAATGTAGTCAAGATGGCCTTAAGCAGTAGAGTGAACTCAAGAGAGGAAAGTGTCTGTGGGGGTATCTGGGGACTTTCTAGGAAGTCCCCTTCCATGGGTAGAGTGGTGAATAAGTTCAGAGGAAGCAGAGACAGGGATACTTTCTAAAAGCTCGGCTGCAAAAGGAAGTAGAGATACAAAAGAGAAAATGAGGAAGATGCGGGTTCAAACGAATGTCTAAGATGGAATTATCGCAATGTGTTCATAGCTGAAAGGAAAAGGTAGTGTAGATTCAAAAGCACAAGACAGACCAGGGAGGAGATGCAAAGGCACTGAGTTCGAGTATCGCATGAAGTAACAACCTCAGACTAGAAAAAAAATTAGCGAAAATGAGAGGAAATGAAAGAATAGGTAGAAATAGAAATAAACAGACAAAAACTAAACTGCATTAGCCTCAATTCCTCCCAAATCCCATTTAAATAACAGTAAAGTTATATTAATACATAATTAATAGTTATATCAATATATAATACATAAAAAGTATTAAAAATCCCAAAGGAATGCAAACATCAGCAACGCAGTTTTAGAAACTGAAAACCAGCTAGTGAGTGGTGGCTGACTTGGCGGTGTGGAAGGATACAAAGTCATCAGTACACATCTCCTTTCCTGCTGGAGCCCCGCGTGCTGGCAGCTGGCAGTGTGGCGCCCGCCTTCAGGAAAGAGTTTGGAAGCTCTCCTGGGGGCATCTGGCCCACCTACAGGAAGAGACCAACCAGTGTAGGGGATCTGCGAGAAAATGCTCAGCCAACTCATCCCACAGGGAAGCCCGCCATCAATAAAACCCCACCCACAAGCCTAGAGTTTACCAAAAAGAGCACCAAAAACCAACCTTCAAATTAAAAATAGAACAGGAGAAATAAAACATTCAGTAGAAAGATTAGAAGATGAGGTAAAGAAATCTAGAAAGCTGATGATTAAAAACAGAAAATAGGAAAAAAAGGCCAGGTGCAGTGGCTGATGCCTGTAATCCCAGCACTTTGGGAGGCCAAGGTGGACGGATTACCTGAGGTCAGGATTTCAAGACCAGCCTGGCCAACATGGTGAAACCCCATCTCTACTAAAAATCCAAAAATTAGCATGGTGGCGTGGGCCTGTAGTTCCAACTACTCGGGAGGCTGAGGCAGAAGAATCACTTGAACCCGGGAGGCAGAGGTTGCAGTGAGCCGAGATTCAGCCATTGCACTCCTGGGTGGCACCATCTCAAACAAAAAAAAAAAAGGAAAGAAAAGAAAAATGATAATAAAATTAGAGAACTATTCAAGAAAGCCAATATCTATATCATATGAGTTTCAGAAAGTAGAAACAGGAAAAGAAAATGGAGTGGAGAAAACCATCAACTGACTCAGTCGTGAAAATGGTCCCAGAGCTCCAGGATGAATTTCTGGATTAGAAAGACCCATTCAAGTTCAACGAATGAAAATAGAACCACACTAGTGCATTTCATTGGTAAATTTATAAAGGGGGGGGCGGTGAGGGGAATGTTTTCCATATAGCAAAGGAAAAACAGATCACATATGAAGGATTAAGGATTTGAATGGCTTTGAACTTCTCAACAGCAATGTTGGAAACTAAAAGACATGAAAATGGCTTCTAAATTCTAAAGAAAAATAATTTCCAACCAGTAACTCCAGACCTGGCCGAACTATCAAGTAAGTGTAAGAATAACAACATTTTCAGACAGGCAAAATCTCCAAAAGGTGATGGCCACAGAGTGGGTGTAAGTGACCCACCAAGCTAGACCAGAGGTCAGAGTCACCAAGAAGAGGAACTCGACATTAAAGTTTGAAGGGATTGGGAGAGGATGTATACACTGGAAAACCGAGCAGATTCGGATCAACCCTAGAAACACAAAGTGACGTGTGTTTTACTCGCTTTCTATACACCTCTTCGTTGAGGGAGGAATGGCTGGACCCACAACGCCAGACACTGGCCAGGTAAGATCGATGGCCGTTGATTAACAGCAAGTGCTCACAGCCCAGGGGAGAAGAGCGATGCCCACCACTCAGGCCCTCAGGAGCAGAGTGAGCAACCAGGCGGCGGGAGCCAGGCTTTGTAGTACCACGGGGGTGAGGTGACCCCTGGTCCCCATGGGAGGGTGTGATTGGCTTGTCTGAATAAAACTCCAGGCTGGTAGGGAACCGAAACTTGTTACTCAGGAATAGGCAGGAACTGTGCCTGGTCCGCTCAGTAAGGAGGGGTGTTTAGCCAAGGGACCTTATCCACAGGTGCAGGCTTGAGGGGAACTTGAGGTTAGACCATTTGATGCCTTCCTGGTTTCACCAAAGGTCAGGGCAGCATATACCACAGGGCCTTAATTTTAGGCCTCACACCAATGTTCAGAAGAGGAAAAGTAATGATAACATACCTGTGCGTAGTCATGATTAGCATTTATATCTTACATAAATGAGTACAACTTATAGGAAGATGGGACAGACAGAAAATGTGTTGTCTGTGTTGAGAGAAAGGGGTGTTGCTGTGTGGAAGAGCTAAACCCTCATGCTCCCCCGTGGGAAGTCCACAGAGGGGATCAAATGGACATATCAGTGAGTGGCAGCATCAGCGTGATATTTACAAGCGTGGATGTAAGTGCCAAACAAATTCAGTTAAAAGTGGCTGCTTCTGGGGAAGTGGAAGTTAAGGATAAGAAGGTCAGGGGCTGCTGTTTCCTCATACCTGTTTGCCTCTTTAAATTGTATGCATGAATAAATCAGAAAATTTTTTAAACCTAATTTTTAAAAATTAACGAAGATAAGTTTGTTGTGTACAGGGGAGAACATAGAGGAATTTGTTGTTTGATACTTAATAGGTCAGCTCTAGAGGCAAGCCATGAGCTGCTTGTGGCTCTCTTCCCCCAGCTGTTCCACCTTGGAGAAGTTACACAACCTCTCTGAGCTTAAGCTGCTTCCCCTCTAAAATGGAACAATCATAACGATATCTACTACCTGGCACTCTGGTGAAGATGGACGAAATGACATAAATGGTGGACTTGCCCCAATGTCTGCCCCACAGAAAGCACCCTGCTGACGTTAGCGATCTTCCATGAGGATGACTGCTTTTCTCAGCAGGGTACCAAACACTCTTGCTATAAGGTGAGGTGGTGAGGTCTGGAGTTTGAGGAATGACACGAAAATCTCAAAGAGCTGTGAGGGAAACAGGACTAGAACTGGAAATGATCGCTCTGCAGAACGGAGGGCCCTGCTGGGGTGAGCCCAAGAACGTGTAGCAAGTTCACAGTGTCACCTGCAGCAGCAGCACTGGTGCACGGGTGGGGAAATCGGGTGTTTGGACTGACGGGGGACTGGAGTTTTGCTGAGCAAAGCGGGTAAGGGAGTGCAAAAACAGTGGCAACAGTACGATTGACGTGATGGACCCTGGAGTTCAGGCTGCAAACAAAGCCTGGAGAGAGTAGAAGCAACCTGATTGATTGGGCCTGGAGGTTTTCCGCAGCCAAAGATTATGGCAAGTAAAAGGAGGCACGTGAAACTAGTTCAGAAAAAAACATCAGAGAGCAGGGGATGGGCAGGGTTTTTATTTCCTAGCCCCATGGTATAGAATAAAATACATGCTATAGAATAGCAACTTATTTTATGTCCTCACGACAGCGTTACAGAAAAGGTAAAATGAGGAGTGGGCAAAAAAAGCCTGACCCCTTTTCATGGATATCTGGGTTGTGTTAGGCCCAGCACATATTAACTTTATTTATGTTTCACAACAGTCTTATGAAGCATAATCATGCCCTCATTTTATAAAGGGTAAACTATAGCTCAGAGAAGTTGGATAATTAACTCCAAAGTCAAGGTAAGTTCCACAGCACCCAGCTGGCAATGAACTCAGAGGCAGGTGATTGGTACTGCAGCCAGCTGTGGGAACTAGAGAAAGGCATTTATTTTTCTGACGCTCAATTTCCTAAAAGTTGAGTGGCTGGATTGGGTAATCTTTAAAACACTTCCAGAATTAACGCCCTGTGCTTCTAACTTAACAGTGTCTATGAGCATCATTTTTCTCATTTGTCAGAAAGAAGTAACCAAATCTCCCTTACCCACCTCAGAGAGCTGTGATGAATACCAAATACGATAATGCATGTAAAAGTGATTTATTAAATCAACGTATGCTATATGATCAAGAGATTAAAATATTTAGAAATACAGGGGGAAAGTTACAGTCATGACGAAGAAATATAGCGAGACTGAGATTCAAATAATATCCAGAGAACACCTCTTCCAGTCACTAGCTAGAGACCTCGGGCAGGTTAGCTGACCTTGTGTGCCTCAGTTTCCTTATCTGTAAAATGAGGATTAGAAAGTGGACTACTTCAAAAGTTGTTGTGAGAATTAAGTGAGTTGGTTTATGAAAAGTATCTTTTAAAAGCCCTTGGCGTAACGCGTGTGCTAAGAACACTATTATTGTTATTACTACACTGAAAACACAAACTTCTCAAGATTAGAAAAAAAAATCCAAAGGGAAAGCATTAGGATGCTGGAATGAGAATAAAACTGAGATTTGAAAAAATAATATATATATAGTAAGATTGGTGCAAAAGTAATCGCAGCTTTTGCCATTACTTTTAATGGCAAGAATCGCGATTACTTTTGCACCAACCTAATAAGTAGGGCCCACTTAGTCCGCTGCCAATTCCAGATGAGAAAGCGGAAATAGCCAGCAGCCGCCTGTGTATGTGACTTGTGGAGCTCCATGAAGTCTGCTCTGCTCCTCACAGTTCTCAGCCCCGCAGGAGAACCACAGTGTCTGCCATTCGAGGTTCCACTATCTGGGAATGATTGCCTCAAGTGCTGGAGAATAAGAGCAGAATAAGGCAAGTCACTGTCCTTGGACACCTAATGATGAACGAATCAGCTATTTAAACAGATAGCTCAGATACACCACAGGAACTACCAGCATTTTCTGTTTAATTTATTTACCCCCCCCCCCCAAGAAAAGCCAAGCTCCAGCTGTAGAGCTGGCACCGTTCATGCTTTACTCTCCCTACTCAAAGGACACAGTCAAGAGGTGGTGCCAGCGACCTAGCGAGGAACAGCAGGGCCTGAACTAGGGAAGTGGTATCAGGAATGAAGAGGAGGAAACAGATTTAGTTTACATTCTGGGACTTGAAACTGGCAAGGTTTGGCAACTGATCGGGAGCAATTGATGAGATATTGAAATAAAGGAAAAATTCTAGATAACTCTGGAGGAACTTTGCCAAGTGACATGGATCTACAGGGCACAAACATATCAGACATGTTTTTAAAAGTCCAAGCTTATTTTTAGAATCCCTCACACATCAGCGACTGCTAGTTTCCTACCCAAAGTCTACTAAACCATATTCTTAACTAATAAAACCTGTAAATTTCTAGGTGCAGAAAAAAAATGTCTGGCTTTCCTTCCTGATGGGGTGGCCAGTGAAATGTCAGCAAATGCATTGGATGAGATTGCTGGAAAACATCTTTGCTCCTGTCCCTTCTTTCTTAAATAGAACATGGGCAGGATAGCTGGAGGCTCAGCAGCCTTGTCTGTGGACCTGAGGTGACCTTAAGGAAAAGCACTAATAAGGATGGAGAAATTAAAAACAAAAACAGCCTGTGACATAGAAGGCATCACAGCACCACCACACTGGCCCTCGGCTACTTACATTTAGGTTGGTGCAAAGGTAATCACGCTTTTTGTCATTAATTTCAACAGCAAAAACCAATATTACCTCCAGTCAGCGAGGGTGGTCCCAGTGTGTCCGAAATTGGTGGGTTCTTGGTCTCACAGCCTTCAAGAATGAAGCCGCAGACCCTCACAGTGAGTGTTACAGTTCTTAAAGGTGGCATGTCCTGAGTTTGTTCCTTCTGACGTTCCAGCCTGTTCAGAGTTTCTTCCTTCTGGTGGGTTCGTGGTCTCGCTGGCTCAAAAGTGAAGCTGCAGATCTTCGGGTGTTAACAGCTCTTAAGTTGGGGCGTCTGGAGTTGTTTGTTCTTCCCAGTGGGTTCTTTGTCTCGCTGGCTTCAGGACTGAACCTGTAAATCTTCACCATGAGTGTTACAGCTCATAAATGCAGTGTAAACCCAAAGAGTGGGCAGTAGCAAGATTTATTGCAAAGAGCTAAAGAACAAAACTTACACTGTGGCAGGCCACTCTAGCAACTTGCTAGTGCTAGCGCGGAGCAGCCTGCTTTTATTCTCTTATCTGGCCCCACCCACATCCTGCTGATTGGTCCATTTTACAGAGAGCCGATTGGTCTGTTTTACAGAGAGCTGATTGGTCCATTTTGACAGAGTGCTGATTGGTGCGTTTACAATCCCTGAGTTCGACACAAAAGTTCTCCACGGCCCCACTAAATTAGCTAGAAACAGAGTGTCGATTGGTGCATTCACAAACCCTGAGCTAGACACAGGGTGCTGATTGGTGTGTTTACAAACCTTGAGCTAGATACAGAGTGCTGATTGGTGCATTCACAATCCCCCAGCTAGACATAAAGATTCTCCAAGTCCCCACCAGACTCAGGAGTCCAGCTGGCTTCATCCAGTGGATCTCACACCGGGGCCGCAGGTGGAGCTGCCTGCCACTCCGTCGCCGTGCGCTGGCACTCCTCAGACCTTGGGCAGTGGATGGGATCGGGCGCCGTGGAACATGGGGCAGCGCTCGTCGGGGAGACTCAGGCCCGGCAGGAGCATCTGGCAGTGCGGAGGGAGACTCAGGCATGGCAGGCTGCAGGTCCCCAGCCCTGCCCGAGGGGAGGCAGCTAAGGCACGGCAAGAAATCCAGCACAGAGCCGGTGGGCCGGCACTGCTGGGGGACCCGGCACACCCTCCGCAGCTGCTGGCCCGGGTAGTAAGCTCCTCACTGCCCGGGACTTGCGAGCCGGCCTGCGGCTCCCAGTGTGAGGCCCGCTGAGCCCACGCCCACCCGGAACTCGTGCTGGCCCGCAGGCACCCGCGAAGCCCTGGTTCCCGCCCATGCCTCTCCCTCCACACCTCCCTGCAAGCTGAGGGAGCTGGCTCCGGTCTCGGCCAGCCCAGCAAGGGGCTCCCACAGTGCGGCGGCGGGCTGGAGGGCTCCTCAAGTGCCGTCAAAGTGGGAGCCCAGGCAGAGGAGGCGCCGAGAGCGAGCGTGGGCTGCGAGGGCTACCAGCACACTGTCAACTCTCACCACGGCCATCCCTCTTTCCAATCAAGCCGACCTGGAAAACAGAAACTCAAAGCAAAGAGCTCATCCTACTTCCTCTTTACCCTCCTGTCTGTCACCTTGCTGAAGAATCTCACTCATGTGCACATCAGTTTCAAGTTCTGTCTCTATTCTCTGCATGGCCACGGAGAAGCCACCAGCTGATACCAGAGCGGCAAAGGGTTGTGTGGGAGATGAGGAATTCCGCCTGGAAGAGGCTGAGTGTAAGTGGACTTGAGGAGAACCAGGGGACGATGCCCACACTGGAGCTGGAGGGGCCTGGAGCTCGGGAGAAGGGCGCTGGCTGGAGGTTAGGTGGGGGTTTGGGACCATGAACGCGGGTGGGTCGCTCGGGAGAACACGTGGAGGAACGAGAGCAGCGGGGGGTGAAAGAGCCCTGGGGCGCCGGCCTCCCGCATGCTGTGGAGGACCCCTAAGGATGGCAGAGAATGCCCAGCGCCGCCCATGAATGAGAACGAGGGAAAAACGCCTCACGTAGAGCCGGGCGTCGGGATTGTCCAAACGGAGAGGTCCCCTTAGCGAAGTGCGCCTCGGCTTAGTTTAGACGCGCGCTGTCCTGCCAGAGGGCTGCGATGAGACGTGGGCACCGGGGCTGCTCTGGAGCGCCCCTGACGGCACGGCCGGGGAAGTGAGGAGCCACAGGCAGCGGAGGGCAGGAAGGCGGGAGGAGTGGCAGGAAGGCGGGAGGAGTGGCAGGAAGGCGGGAGGAGTGGCAGGAAGGCGGGAGGAGTGGCAGGAAGGCGAGGGACAGCCTCCGCTTCCAGCGTCCCCCAGAACGCGGAGAGGCAGCCTGAGTCTTACTCTCCCACCACATCAATTCCCAGCACCGTGGGCCCCGGGGCCACTTTATTTTTTGTATTTTTTTGAGATGGGGTGTCTCTGTCGCCCAGGCTGGAGTCCGGTGGTGCGATCTCGGCTCACTGCAACCTCCGCCTCCCGGGTTCACACCATTCTCCTGCCTCAGCCTCCGGAGTAGCTGGGGTTACAGGCCCCCAGTCCACTTTCTTGGAGTCTGCTGTGTCTGACCAAAAAGCCCATCTTCGCCACATCTAAAGCTGGAAGTTCATTTGCCAGCGTTGTTTAGAGCAAAAAGGTGAGAAAAGTAGCTTAAAGTATAAGACAATTTCTGGGGGCGGCCATAGATGGCCATTTTACATATCATATCTGGTTCTTAAATTTGTACCAGAATGAATATTTGACGTGAATGGATATTTGTAAAAGATTATACATTCAAAGTTATAAACTACTAATCCCATAATTTGGTTTCGGAAGTCTGTTTCAGCAAATGATTTGTACTATTTGAAAATACATATTATTTAAATTGGCTAAAAATATTTTCATATTGGTTACTAAAACTACTTTAATTATTACGGTGGAAAGGCACCCATGTGTAAAACAAGAGACTTTGCCTGTTCTTCCAACATAATGTGCATTATAAACACTCCATCTGTCAGGTGCTTGCTGTTTAATGTACTATCAAGGTCTTTGTTTTGTTGACAATTATTCTAATCACTAAAATCCTGTTTTGAATCAGATGGAATATTTGTTCATTACCCCAGAGTTCTATTTGCCTGCGTACCTTTTCAATTCTTTTCCTAAGAGGACTAAAGCTATTTCTGTGAGAAGCTCAGCACTGAATAACTTTAAGATAAGAAATCCGATAAACTATCCATCCAAAAACTGTCACATTGGGCTTTATTAATGTGTAGCATTATACGCAAGGAAGTCTCTGTGCTTTCCTCCACCTCTAAGATGCGTGGAATGTTTATCGAAGGCCTTGCAATTGTGTTCTAACAATTGTGTCTAGTTTTAAAGATTCATTTTCACACACTGAGATCCTTGACCATTATAATTGCATTCCATATCTCTGAAGAGTGCCAGATTCATAATAGAATAGGGAAGTGTGTCTAGAGGCATGCCCTAAAAAACAATGGGAGACAGCGCAGAAACAATGCCCTTCTCATGCTGCTTCCTAAGCCTAACTGCTTTATAATCAGGAGCATGACAAAAATCGTACGAAGAATTGAAAAATTGACTTGATACCTAGAAACGAAAAAGACCATGAAGGAAGGCTGACTTGTCAAGTGGAATTTTTCTTTTCCAGCTAGAGAGCATTTATAATTTTTACTTGTCCAGATAACACAAAGGTCTCTGCTCTTCTACATACATATATTATCCATTTAGAAGAAAATATCTTCACCCTTTAGAATTTCACCCTTTATATTGTAAATCACAATGACTGAAGAGGAGGCCTGATCCTCTTTGCATGCTGAGACTAGATTTTATCAGGAAATGTTTCATCACATTCTTTTCCTGTCATTAGAGTCAATTATCATGTATATTTATGCATTCCTTTGTATGAAAGTATGGTTTGGGTCTGAAAAGAGGCTGTACAAAAGGGTGTTTTTAATTGGACAGCTTGTGTGTCTTCTAACTCATAAATGGCTAAGTGAAATTAACATGTACCTGTACTGGACAAGCTCACAAACGCCGGTTTCCACTGCTTAGCGGTGCTTAACTAACAGGGCTGAGGAGGAGGCAGCTGCGTTCCACTCGACCTCACACATCACCAGCCAGATACCCAGCCGAGCTCAGATCCCACAGATTATTATGGGTAATGATGTTTAAGGCAAAAATTGTTTGGGCATAGCACCCTAATTTGGCAGTTAGGGCAATCTTGTTGTGACTTGTAAAGTTTGCACTTAATATGCCAGGCATTTAATACATTAATTATGTGTAGAGCTGAATGCTGTGTCACAGATTTAATGCCTGAATGGTGTCTGGTCTATGAAAATAAGCATTCCTAAATTTCCAGCCAGAAGAAAAGGAAAATTTGCCCTTCCCCTGAGTCCAGGTAAAGAACTGTTTGGCAGCTTTCAGGTTGTGTGTTTGTTTGTTTTGTTTTGCTTTCCTTTTTGAGACTGGGCCTTGCTCTCACCCAGGCTGGAGTGCAGTGGTGAGATCATTGGTCACTGCAGCCTCAAATTCCTGGGTCTCAAGCCATTCTCCTGCCTCAGCCTCCTGAGGACTGGACTACAGGTTGGCCACATACCCGGCTAAGATTTTTTAATTTTTTGTAGAGATGGGATCTCGTTATTTTGCCCAGGCTTGTCTCAGCCTCAGTGATCCATTCACCTCGGCCTCCCAAAGTGCCGGGATTACAGATGTGAGCCACCACAGTCATCTCTCTGGCAGCTTTGAAAGCCTATATCGCCTGTTTACATCTTGTCAGCTACAGCATCTGAAGTGTTTTCTTTCAAGGAGTATCCACCTTTTGAGATGGAGCCCACCAACTAATATGGAAGCTGAAAAATGACCAGCTCTTGTCTCCTCAAACTCCCTGGCAGCTGGGGAGTATAGATACACAATCGGGTTCTGCCAGCCCAACAGACCCACTCCTGCACCTTGAACCTGCTGGGCTGCTGACCTGAGAAGCAGGGCCATGCGGAATCCACAGAGCAAGGTGGGGGTGTCCAAGGGCACGTGCAGCCAAGGGGCACGTCATTGCTGCAGCTACATCTGGTTTCAAAGGCAGTCGTTTTTAAAGTGCCTGCGACTGCCGGCAGGAATGTAAATTAGTACAACTTTTATGGAAAACAATATGGAGATTTCTCAAAGAACTAAAAATACAGCTACTTTATGATCAGCAATCCCATTGCTGGGTATCTACCAGGTACTGGGTATCTACCTAAAGGAAAAGAAATCATTATATTCAAAATCTCTGCACTCATGTTTTTCACAGCACTGCTCACAATAGCTAAGATAGGGAACCCACCTAAGTGTCCATCCACAGATGAATGTCTTCATATACAGAAAATGTGGTGTATGTACACCAAGAATACTACTCAGCCATAAGAAAGAATGAAATCATGTCTTTGGCAGCAACATGGATAGAACTGGAGGCCATTACACTAAGAGAAATAACTCAGAAACAGGGAGTCCAATACCGCATGTTCTCATTTATAAGTGGAAGTTAAACAGCGGGTACACACAGAGACACAGTGTGGAATAACAGACATCGGGGACTACACACGGTGAGCTGATAGAAGGGGGTGAGGGCTGAACATTTACTACTGGGTACCATGTTCACTGTTCAGATGTCAGGGATGCCAAATCCCAGGCTCCACCGCTATGCAGTATCTGCATGTGAGAAACCTGCCCCTGTACTCCCTGCTTCTATAAAAAAATTAATAAAAACATGTTTAATATGTAATTTTGAAAAATAAAAAATTTTTTAAAATGTGTCTTACGTGGGGATATCAGCAGTGCAAGCCACCATGTCTGTGCCCAGCAGCAGCAGCTGTGAAGTGTTCACTGTTGGGAAAAAAACTTCTCCACTACCAACTTAGTTCCGCCGACTGGGGGCCTGCAAGTTAACTGATGATAGATTAACAGGAGAAACATGCATTGCACCTGCAGGAGTACCCTGTAGAGAGAGCAGCTCCCAGAACGTCTGGGAGTAAAGAGCATACATTAGCTTAAGTAAGGAATCCGGGGTATGTTAGGGCATGAAAGGATGGAGGGTTCTGATGAGGCTTGTTTATGCAATGTTTTTAGAATGGACTGGAGCCCACGGTGAGTGCCACTCTGAGTGGAGACCAGGGGTAGGGGCAGGGAGCAGCTGCGGTGGCCGACCCTCTAAAAGCTCTGCACTAGTCAGATAAGAGAATTTCAGATATGATTTCTTTCTGCATCTTCTGAAGCTCATATGTTGTCACTTTGAAGTAATTTCTGTACCAGTTTGGGAGGTTGTTGGTCTCTTCATACTTACCTTGCAGTGGGATTTGGAACACTCTTAGTGGCACAGTTTTCAATTCTACAGGCTCTCCTATTCTGTAAGTTCCTAAAATATTTTTACGAATATGGTTTACTATACAAATAATTTATTTGCTTTCAGTAGCCTTTATCTCTGAAAACAATTACTGCATTTAAAGACAAATTGAAGGCATGTAATGACGAAAATTTAGAAGCACTTCCATTATAATCAGAACCAGAACAAGGATGATTACTATTTCTGTTCATATTTAACATTATCCTAGGTAATGTCCTTGACAAGAACATTTTAAGAGGTAAAATAATCACAAATGAAGAGACACAGGCATTTATTATTTGCACACAAATATATATATATATATAAACCAAAATAAAGTTATTAAGACAAATGTGAAAAGTTACTAAATACAAGATCAGAATTTTAAAAATCAATACAGTTCCTATATAACAGTTAGAAAATGTATTAGAAAAAATATTCCACTCAAAATTATATTTTTAAGAAGGTATAAGTTATCAGGAATAAGTCTGATTTTAGATATAGAAGACCTTTATTAAAAAATTATAAATATTATTGGCAGACATAAAAGAAGACCTAAATAAATAGCAAGATAGACCACATTCATGGATGGAAAGATTCAATATCACAAATATGTCAATTTACTTCTAATTTATTCTGTAAATTAAGTGAGATTACAATCTAAATCCCAAAAATATTTTTGTGGTAATAAGCTAACAGCAAAATACTTATGGAAGAGCAGAAAGACAAAAAAAAATCAGAAACAATTTTGAAGAACAAAGTAGATGATTTGCCCTATGAGATATTGATATTTATTTTTTAGCATTAAGATATCATATTGGTAAAAAGATGAACAAAAATAATAATAATAATTGAGAGCCCTGAAACAGATAGACAGATAGCCAGATACTCTGAGGGAAACTGAAAATTGTTAGGCAAAAAAATGCACTATACAATATAAGATGCTGGTACAACTGTCTACACATATGCAAAATGGCATATATGCAAATAATATAAAATTAAATCCTTATAATTCCAGGAAAAGCAAAATTTAAATTTTTCAGAAAAATACAGAAGAATATCTTTGTGACACTGTTTAGGGAAGATTTTTGAAACACACAATAAAATCCACACAATAAAGAAAAAGATGGATAAATTTGACTACATTACCCTTAATAAGCTCTACATAGCAAAAGATATATAGAAAGCCACAGTCTGTGAGAAGATGTTTTCAACACAACAAACTAACAAAGGATTAATAATCATAATATATAAAAGATTCCTACAAATTAACAGGAAAAAGGCAAGTAATCCAATAGGGAAAACAGACAAGACATAAACAGGCAATTAAAAAAGAGAAAACCTCAACTGAATAAACAAGTAAAAAGATACTCAACTTCATTGGTAATCAGGGAAATGAAAATTTATGCCAAGAAATGAGATGCCATTTCACATCTATCAGATCAGCAACACTTAACATTTGCAACGCCAGTGTTGGCGATCTGGTTGATCAAAAGGAACTGGTGGTAGTGCAAATTGACAGAAATGCTAGTGAAAGACGTTAAAACTCCACAATTCAGCAATCTGCTTCTAGGTGTATTACAGGTGTGCACAAGATGTGCAGAAGAATAAAGTTTACAAGTAGTCAGTGCAGCAACTTTTGTAATAATCAAAAAAAAAATTTTTTTAATACTTAAATGCCCGTCAAAGAAAAATGAATTAATAAATTACGGTATATTAATATAATAAAATATTCTATGGCAATTAAGATAATTAAAATGAATAAATTAAAACTACATGTATCAACATGGACAAATCTCAAAAACAAGGTTATTTTTTAAAAAGCAAATTTATGCATATAGCATGGTACTGTATGTAAACATAAAAATTTTAAAGAACATGCAAAATAATAATGCATATTGCTTATGAGTTCATGTATTTGAAACAAAAGCTTACATAATGAAGTGATAAACATCAACTCCTTAATGGTACAGAGAAAAACAGAATCAAGAAAAGGCACATATGGCAATTAACTGTATCAATTCTAAGTTCTTTAAATTAAAAAATTATCAGAAGCAAAAACAAAACTTTTGAAAGGCATGATCAAAACAAAAGTGGGAAAAATGTGGAAATCATATAAAATTAGATTATCAGAGAATACTTAGAGTACATTGCAGGCTTTCAGCATTTGTGTAAGTCAACAGAGGGACTTCTTCTATATGGTCCAAAGTCTCTATTAAAGTTAAGTTTCAAATCTTGAAAGTAATGAATTTAAGAATTCTTCAGGTTGCTTTTTCATCTGCCTTTTTAAAAATATATCTTTGGTTTACCTGGATTCTGGCTGCTATGGAACAGATTAGCAAGAGATCTAAAAGTTACATTGAGTCAAGGTATCACGTCTTACTCATTCCTCAATACAAAAAAAAAAAAAGTTAAGTTATCTGAGTTTGTTTCAGCTTATTCAGCCTACATTATGCAGGGATGCAATTAGAAAGCTGGTGGCTGATTGCAGACTTTACTTCCTCTACTCCTAGAAGAAGCTCTTCTCACATAAAAAGCATTCTCAGACATTCCCAACTTGGTCATACAGAGAGTAGTGCAGGCCACATTTAGACACTATGCCAACACATTTAGAAAACTAGATGAAAGCAATTATGCTATTTTGCAAAGTCAACACAGGACTGAGACATGAAAATCACAACAGGAGAACCACATTTAAGAGTTTTGTTACTAACACACCTGTCTCTAAATTCTGCTACTTAATAACAAACTCTCTGATCATCCACTAAAAACGTAATTGCAATAACACTATTAATAGTAACCCAGCACACCCAGCTCATCTATCAGGACCCTGAGACCCTTGGAACAGAGTCTACAAAACAATCTATAAATATTTGACCTAAAACTGAAAAGAAGTGAAACCCACTACAAGTGAGGTCCTAACAATTCAAAAGCACTCCACTAATATTACCAGCAAGCAGTTCTGAAGATGAAATAGACAGACAAGCTAACCAATAATGAGATTCCAGATGGGAGTGAGTCATCAATATTGAGATGGGATTCCTGTGGTTCAACTCTGCTGGATCTGGAAGGTAAGAAGACAGATGAAAGAAAATGTTCTAAGCAGCTCTGGAGCAGTAGGCTGACACTCAGGTAGGAAATTAAATACATTCCCACACAGCATCGATGAGGACAGTTTGTGAAATGCAAAATAATAGCAGCAGATAAACCAACAGGCTGCATGATAGTAAGACATTTTGAGAAGAAAAAAATTGTCCAGTAAACCACGAGAGAGAAAACTAACCTAGTAACAGGCTGTTCAAACAGCAAATGGAGCTACCAGGGAAAGAACAGTCACCCTGCAAGGGTATGTCTACAGCACTTGGTATTTCAGCCACACACCATTAATTGAGCCTTAAAGTGAGTCATAATGCATACACATTTGAGTACCAGACTAACACACTAAATACCTAGTGTCAAATACAGTTTTTCTGAGGAGCAATGGGAAGCTGCCAGGTCTTTCCCCTCGGTTTGCTTAAGCAAGTTAGATAAAGTAAGTTATGTCCCAAGGAGTCAAGGGCACCAAGAAAGTCTCGAAAATACAGGTCCTCAAAAACATAGCATAGTCCATCTGATTTGTTAATGTCATCTTTTAATGTGCAATTTGTTCCCCTAGAATGTTAAACATACAAATTCTTAAGACTTTCATTTGGATCTGTTCTTCCTAGCAGAGATAGGAATCTCGCTCTGAAGAAATGAGCTTGAGGGAGAAGAAAGGGAGGTATTTTAGGGAATGGAGAGCATATTTGCAAGAAAACCTAATTTCACAGAACATTTACCATTACAATCATTGAATCAAACTATATTTTGATTCAGAAAATACACAGGCAATAAAGTCAGAGCCCTTGGGAGGATGGGCCTGAACATCCTCTGATGACTAATTGACATTTTGGGCCATCAGAAGGAACTATAAGAATTAGAAAGCAGGAAGTCTGCAAGTTAACTTCAAATTTTTGTAGTTACATTGAATTCTCGAAAGCCATTAAAAAGCATCTTACCATACTAGTCTTCCCTTTCCTCACTCTGTTCCCCTCTCCACTCTGCCTTCTTTCTGTTTCTCAGGTGCACCCAGCTCCTTCCCCACTTAGGATATTTGCACTCTTCTTCCGTTTACCTACAATTACTTCCTTCTATATTTTCAAATGGCTAACTTGTTGCATTCAGGTCCCAGCTCAGTATCACTACTTCAGTGGACTATTTTCCAACCAGTCATTCTGAAATAATTCATCACGTCATTCTCTATCACATTACTCTAATTATTTTCTTTATAGACTATATATCACTGTAAAAGTATCTTGTTTGTAAATTTTACTTTTTTAAAATCTTTGTTCACTAAGACTTAATGTGCTAAAAAGTCAGAACTGTATCTGTCTTTTCTACAACAGTGTCCAGAACAATACCTAGCATGTCATAGGCTCTAAACACTTATGTAGGAAATGAATACATTAATGAATGAATGGCCAAACTTTATTATGTGACTTTGTAAACATAATTTTAGAAAGAACACTGTTCAACATGAAAAGAATCACTAAATAACTGTGCCCTGCACCATGTAGCATTCTTTTTCATTTCCCTTACATCCAGAAGGAACTTAGCAATATGTCTGCTCAGTATGGATTTGGAAAGAGGAAAAATAATAGTAACAATAGTAATAATAACATCTGTATCAGTCAGGGTTCAAGGAAAGTATCAAGAACCATCATAGGTAATGTGTAGTAGTCCATTTTCACGCTGCTATAAAGAACTACCTGAGACTGGGGAATTTATAAAGAAAAGAGGTTTCATTGACTCAATTCCACATGGCTGGGGAGGCCTCAGGAAACTTACAATCAGGGTGGAAGGTGAAGGGGAAGTAAGGCACGTCTTACATGGCAGCAGGAGATGGGCGGAGTGCCACACTTTTAAACCATCAGATCTCATGGGAACTCACTCATTGTCACCAGAACAGCATGGGGGAAACCACCCCCATGATTTAACTACCTCCCACCAGGTCCCTCCCTTGACACGTGGAGATTACAGTTTGAGATGAGATTTGGGTAGAGACACAGAGCCAAACCATATCAGTATGTTAAGCAGAGAGGCATTTAATAATAGGTATTGGGCACTTAAAACTCATCAAAAGGACTGAAGGAGCAGATTCTAACCTGAGCTTCCAGTGACAGCACTCAAAATACTGCAAACTCGACACAGTATTGGAACTACTGTATTACTTTTATCAAATTCTGAAGAGAGAGGAATCAGGATGTCAAAGCTGAAATCTATGGGTTCAAAAAACACTACCAAAACTGTAATCCAGGGATCAGGAAACTACCACAGCTAGGGCAACAAGGGGTGGCTGCACACTGGCTTGAGGAGTTCAGAGTCACCTCTGATGTAGGTACCTCTTGACACCCACAGGTTTGGAGAACAGACATCATATCCATTTTTTATTGTCACAATCATGCTGCATAACCCAAATCAACAAAGCATCAATGGCATACAATAATAGTCATTCCATTTGGCTCACTCTGTGAGTCAGCAGTGTGGCTCTGCTCACCCTGGCTGGTCGGGAAGTCCGTTCCTAGGTTGACCAGGCATGAGTTGATCTATGAGGGCTGCTGACTCCCCTGTTTCATGTGCCCAGTGAAGGCAGCATTCTAGGTCCTAAAGCAGAAGTGTGTAAGTCTCCTTGAGGCCTAGGCTTGGAACTGGCACACCATCTTTCCACAGCGTTCTACTAACTGAAGCAAGTCATGCAGCCAGAATCAGTGGTGAAAAATAGACTCCATTCCTCCACGTGAAGAGCCAGAAAGTCACATTGGTAAATGAGGATACATTCATTAGACCCATCAATGCAGTCAGCCCACCACAGGCTTTAAAAGTCTGCTGCAGAAAAGAACTCATCTCTCCACAAACCCATTTGCCAGTAGAAAATGGCCAAAAGCAATAAGATGATTTCTTCCTGCTGCCTTCTACATCTTGCATATGCTAACTCATATAAACCTAATTTGCATCCAGAACCTCAGGTGCAGGATAGTTTAGAAAATGTAGGTTTTCTCTTTCAAGTCTCTGCCGCACAGGAAAAACTCACTAGAAGAAGGTGAGACAGACCCTGAGTAAAAAGACACCATATTCGACATAGTAGCTAACATCTGATAAACCCTTACTAGGTGGCCACATAACATACTAAGCAATTGACACGCCTGATCTCTCTGCAGCAAAGTTCTCTTTTGCTACTCATCTCCATGACCCTTTCCTTTAGTCTTTGGAAGAATTACAGATTTGTCTTCCATTTATGAATATTTCCGTCCTCCCAGCCATTGTCCCAGAAAGCCAATACCAGTGTTTAAGACATTTGAGACAGCACTAAAGTTCAGACCTGCAGGATTTGGCCTCTGTCTTACAGCCATTCTCTACCTGCTGTGTGTAGTTTTGAAATGCAGCCAGGAGCATCCCTTCAGGCCTGTAGAGTAATCCACCTTCCTAAGTATGCACAGTGGATAAAAATTAGTCTGATTGTATCCCAACTGTCATGCCATCCGTTTGCTGACCAAATCAACAAGCTGCATAGAATTCCAGCAGCAACTGGAAATGTGCATCTAGCATGAATTCACTTGAGCAAAGAGACTTCTTGGTAGCATGCCTGGAATTGTTGGTGCCATGACACTTGCTTTCTTTGCTGAAAGCAGATGTTCTCCACAGCACCCTTCACAGTGTGCTGCCAGGCCAGCTTGCCTGACACTATTTTATAGCATAATCTTTGTGGTTTCATTCTCTTGGCATATTTGTCCTGATTCTATAACAAATAACTTTCTCCATGCACTGATTATTATTTCTTTTTCTCTTCTTGGGAAATGTATTTACCATTTTTTTCCCAAGTAGAATGTATTCTTTCTCCATCATTTACCGTAGTCTCATAAACCATCTAATTGATTGTAATAATTACTGTGAGCCTAATTTATACTCAGAAGTCAATTTATGTTGTCCCAACCTTTCTACTATGATTTTAAAGAGTTAATTCTTTTGGAAAAATACAAGATTCTTCGATGTTTTCTTTGATTTATAGTTGGATATTTTTTTAAAACTCTAATGTTATAATTAAGAAATCACAATGGCTAGTTTCTAAGCAAGATACTCTGAGCAACTCTAGCTTATATTAACTCTATACAAGTGCCTAAGAGTCTTCTTTAACTAACCAAGAAGAAATCATAAAATATCGTTATTTAGAGCTGAATTTTAGAAATTCTCTAAATAATTATTTTCAGATTATAGTCTTAGAAGTACAGAGTTTTGCAGAAGTATCGCAAGAGACATCAAGGGAGAAAAGGATGGACAAGACCAAGGCTCACGCCGTGCTACCACTCCCCCCTCACCCACACACACACATATACACACACACATATATACACACATGCACACATACACACACATATACAAACATACACACACATACACACATATATACACATACACACATGCACACATACACACACATATACAAACATACACACACATACACACATATATACACATACACACACACATATATACACATGTACACAAGCACACACATATACATATACACACATATACATACACACATATACACATACACACACATATACACACATATAAACATACATATATACACACACACTTATACACACATATATGCACACACATGCACACACACATATATACACATGTACACATGCACACACATATACATACATATACACATGTACACACGCACACACACATATATATATACACAAACATACACACATATACACATGCACACACACACACTCTTCCAAGAAAGCAACTCTTCTGTTACTAGGCTCCTGGCCTATAATATCTATATACATGGTTCCACTGCTGTAAACAATAGCAGGAAAGTTCAGACGCCATTGTCGTCATACTCCCCTCATTGTTCTGTCAAGATAAAAAAGGGCCAAATGAGTTAAGTGATTTAATCGAGGCATTGTTTTTTCTTGTCCCCGGTCAAGTGACTTCTCCACTCATCTTACTCTCTTCTTTTTTGTTTATAAAAAACTGTATGGCCTTTAAGGAGTTTTTTTTAATTTGTAATTATTTTAATTTTAACGTTTAAATATTTAATATATAATTATCACTGTAAATGAAGACAATTTTAGTTTTATGACATAACTGAAAACTCTGTCATTTTGTCACTTTACCTGAGCACCTAAAACTAGTAATATGAACTATGGTAAAAAAACAAAAACAGTACATATCCGAATGTTGGTCTCACCAAAATTACAATGTATTTCTCCAATTTTATATACAGATCAAAGAACTGTAAAATTCAGGACAAAGAAAAATGATATGCAAAAATAGCAGGGTTTTATCCTACTTTTCAAAAGAATTTTTCATGCTTCCTCAGCCATTCTGTTATCTGTATGCTCCTCAAGTCAGTCAATAAAATGTATTTGACAGTCCTGAAGAAGACTGAGTATTCAAAAAGTATTTAGAGTATGCCCAAGACTTAAGAAGGCTTTTTTGGAGCTATTAGGAATAGCACCAACAGGGTTAGAAATCCCACTATTATATCCAGAAGGATAGGTTTAGCTTATATAAATAAAGTTAAAACTTGGTTTTACCTCACAATTTAGTGCAAAATACTTGCAGTATGGAGCAGAGATGATTCTGAAGCTCCCCAAGGAGCTGATTAGGACCTCGGGGCTGTCATTTTAGCCAAGATTCTACTGTGACTTTAGACAAACTATTCTATTCTGCTTTCTTCATTCAGAGGACAATACTCACTGGCCTCATAAGATTTCTGTGAACAAAAACTATATAAATGATAGTATAAGTATTTATCAAATCAGATGCAAAGAGGCCTATTTACTATGAAATTTCATTCATGGCCACTATAATGACACATATATTCCTTGGTGGTTATGACCAAATAAATAAATAGACTGTTTAAGAAAAAAAAAAAAAAAGAACAAGAAAAAAGCATACAGATTCTACATTGGAGAATGAATTTTCCAGAAAAAGCAGTATGTATATACAGACAAGTATGTATATCTATAAATTTATTAACACATTTATACATACATACAAGCTTTATAAACCTTAATCAAGTCATTGGACCTTTTTCAGGCTCCTTTTTAAAAATGAAGTTTATAAAAATCACTCCATTGTTGTAAGGATTAAATGAAACTGGATTAGAAATTTTATACAATGCATTTGACTTGTGGTAAACACACTGCTTTCCTACCCATAACCAAAAATGTAATCTTATATGTTAGTAAAGTTTCAGATCTTACACAAGAGCTTTTTTTCTATGATTACAGTAAGCTTAGCTCCTATAGACATGGTGATATTTGGATACAAATCTTGACTTTAATGTAATTGTATTGCCAGCATGTGTTTTTCCTTAGCACACACTCATAAAAATGGATTGAATGAAAGTCAAGCATAACGATGTACTTGTAGCCAGATCTGCTTCAAGAAAACTGTGTTTGAACAAGCTTCAATTTTTAACACATATCTGTAATATCATGAATAAATGAATCAGATGGCATGAGGAATCTCCTATGAACCAAAGTTAAAGAGGGAATCACCACAGTTTATGATATTTTTAATATTATTATTATTACTATTGGCTTTTAAATAGCAAAGTCTTTCACCTAAAAATCTTTAACTCTTTGTGGTCAATTCCCTGTCTTAACTCCCCTCTAGGTATGGTCTCTCCCATGAGGCAGTGACTTCTTTCTTCCATTGCTAGATTTTGCCACTCTCATTTCTGTGTGTTTACATTATTTTGACACCAATAATCTACATTATTAAAGGCCATTAAATCATAACAGAGAACCTTTAGGGCTGTGTAGAATGGATACATTTAACTGGGAATAATAAAATCATTCATTTGATTTGAACAAATGTTTAAGGTTTAGAATCAATCTGTCATTAAAATCCTATAAGCAGACCACAGTGGAAAATGCTAGTTGAAGCAGGGCGGAAGAGCCTGAAGTCTTACTCGTATGTTCCCAGATCATCCACCTCCTTCACAATCAATATCATCCCCACCACCACCAAAGTTACCCCAAAGAGCTTATAGAGCACTGTTCTAAACCATAGAGCACTATAAGAATGTCCTCTCCATAATCTCTCTGGGAAAATAGGACGACTTATCCTATTGGCAATAAGGAGGATTCTCCATAAAAGATAATTTGTTGGCCGGGCGCGGTGGCTCACGCCTGTAATCCCAGCACTTTGGGAGGCCGAGGCGGGCGGATCACGAGGTCAGGAGATCGAGACCATCCTGGCTAAAACGGTGAAACCCCGTCTCTACTAAAAATACAAAAAATTAGCCGGGCGTAGTGGCGGGCGCCTGTAGTCCCAGCTACTTGGGAGGCTGAGGCAGGAGAATGGCGTGAACCCGGGAGGCGGAGCTTGCAGTGAGCCGAGATCCCGCCACTGCACTCCAGCCTGGGCGACAGAGCCAGACTCCGTCTCAAAAAAAAAAAAAAAAAAAAAAAAAAAAGATAATTTGTTGCTGGACTCACATGAAGTAAGAGAAACCTCCAGGAGCCTCCCAAGCCCCTCAAAGTGAAATGAAAGTGGAGCATTCCATGGTGGGTGAAGAAAAGGGCAGCAGTAATCCAAGGGCAGATGTCCATTCCATATCTGTGGCCAGCAGGCTGAGCCTTGGGCTTGAGGAAATGTAGGAAAGCTGAACACAAGACTGATGCAACTGTGGAATGCAGCAGGGGTCTAAATAATATTTAGCTGAGAAAAAAGAGAAAGAAAGAAGCCATACACATTGTACATTTTGAGAATTTATTTTCTAGAAAAGTCAGAATGTATCATGTCCACTGAATCTCAGCACAATTCCCTCTGGTATGCACAATTCTCTCCCGCCAAAAGCAATATCGATATAAGCTTCCAGGTTTCCCTGGATTAAAATCAACCAACGTTAAGTCTAAAATCAAAGATCAACAAACACACATGGGAAAATAAAACACATTGAAATCAACAGACATGGCAAATTTAGACTTTCAAATTCTTTGGGAATTGAATTTTTAAAGACATAATTTTCAAAAATTGTTTTAAATCACAACAATAAGCAAGATCAAAATTACTAGGGATATTGGTAAAATTATCCCAAAAGGAGTTTAGAAATAAAAAACAAGATGTCAAAAGCTTAACTGATAGATAGAAGAACAGATAGACATAGACATATTAAGATCAGTAGACTGTAGAGTGAAAAAACCTTAGAAATTAATAAGAATGCAAAAAAGTAGAAGATGTAAAAAAGATGTTAAGATACAGGAAGAATAGAATGAGAAAGTCTATACATACCTAATTGAATGAACTGAATCAAGGACTAGAAAGAATGAAAGAGATCAATATTTAAAGTAATTAGCAGAGAACTCTCTGATTCACAAAACACAGTGTTTGCCTATCAAAATGAGTAAAAAGGAAGCTAACACCTAGAGACTATGGAGCATTAAGAATTAAACAGATGAGCTTAAAAGCATAAGAGAGAAAATGCTGACTACCCACATAGGAATGGCAGTTAGATTTACAACTAACTTCTCATTAGGAAAAATTGAAAGCCAGAAGGCAAAGGTTTAAGATCATGAATATGCAAGGAGAAAAAAAAAATTCACTCTAGAATTGTGTACCCTAAAAATTTACATTTTAATAAGAAAGTAATTCTTCGTGATTCTATAAGTCTATGATAAAAAACAAACAACCCAATTTAAAATGAGCAAAAAATGTGAACAGGCAATTCAGAAAAAAGAATATAAAATGATCATGAAGAATACAAAAAGACAGGTGCAGTGGCTCATGTGGGTGCCTGTAATTCCAGCTACTTAGGAGGCTGAGGCAGGAGAATTGCTTGAACCTGGGAGGCAGAGGTTGCAGTGAGCTGAGATTGCACCACTGCACTCCAGCCTGGCTGACAGAGCAAGACCCCATTTCAAAAAAAAAAAAAAATCAAAAACAAAAGATGTTCAACAATTCTTAGTTATCAGGGGAATGCAAATTTGAAAATACACAAGGATTCCCCTATACCCCTATTAGAATGCCCAATCAGAAAAACAGACAATGACATGTGTTGGCAAGAATGGGAAGGCAACTTAAACTCTTACTTATTGCTGCTATAAATATAAATTAGTATAACCACTTTGAAGTACTATTTAGCAGTACTAGCTACTAAAACTAAACATATATATATATATATATACACACACACACATATATGTTTGTGTGTCTTTATACATATATATATAGAGAGAGAGACACACACACATGTTTATAAGAAGAACCAGCAATTCCACTCCCAAATGTATACCCAAATAGAATGAGGGCTGATGTCCTCTAAAACAGAAGTCCCCAACCTTTTTGGCATGAGGGACCAGTTTTATGAAAGACAATTTTTCCACAGACCAGGGTGGGGGGTGTGGTATCAGATGATTCAAACGCATTAACTTTATTGTTCACTTTATGTATATTATGATTACATTGTAATATATAATGACTATACAATTCATCATAATGTGGAATCATTGGGAGCCCTGAGTTTGTCTTCCTGCAACTAGATGGTCCCATCTGGGGGTGATGAGTGACAGTGACAGATCATCAGGCATTAGATTATCATAAGGCGCATGCAACCCAGATCCTTCACATGCACAGTTCACAGTAGTGTTCATGCTCCTATGAGAAACTAATGCCACTGCTAATCTGACAGGAGGCAGAGCTCAGGCATAATGCAAGCGATGGGGAGCAGCTGTAAATACAGATGAAGCGTCACTCACTCTCCCGCCACTCACCTCCTGCTGTGCAGCCCGGATCCTAACAGGCCACGGACTGCTTCCAGTCCATGGCCCCGGGGTTGAGGACTCCTGCTCTAAAAGATATATACAGGGAGGTTCTTACCAGCTTTATCATAATAGTCCAAACCCATCAGCAATAGGATGAATAAATAAATTATGGAATAGTCATATGATGCAGTATTGCACAACATGAAAAAAGGATGAACTACTGCTACATGCAACAAGAAGAATGAATTGCAAAGAGATAGTGTTGTCTAAAGAGGCTATAAGGGAAAGGGTATACATGTACAATTCCATTAATGTGAAGCTGATAAACTAATATATGGAGATGGAGATCAAAACAATATTTTTGGAGGATATTATCTGAGAGGCAGAAGAGGAAGCCTACTAGGGTGCTGGAAATGCTTTATATATTAATCTGGATGGTGGTTAAATGAGTGTGAGTGTGTGTGTGTGTGAAAGTATATATATTTATGTATTTTTATATGTAAAATTCATTTAGCTGTATACTTAAGATTTGTACATGTTACCATGTATGAGTTGTACATTAAAGGGATTTTTAAGTAAAATAAGTGAAATGAAAATATTTCAGATTTTTTAAGGGGACAGATTTTTACCACAAACAGATTTATGCTAAAATAAATATGAAAAGAGATCATTCAAAAAAAGAAAAATGAGACCTAAGCAGACATTTCTCTAAAGAAGACATAAAAATGGCCAAACAAGTACACTAAAAGGTACTCAACCTCACTAATCATCAACGAATACAAATCAAAACCACATTGAGATGTCACCTCATACCCATTAGGATGACTATTATCAATAAGACAGGAGGTAAGTGTTGCTGAGGGTGTGGAGAAAAGGGAACCCTAGTACACTGTTGGTGAAAAATGTAGATTGGTGCAGCCATTATGGAAAACAGTATGGAGTTCCTAAAGAAATTAAAATAGTACTAGCATATGACCCAGCAACCCCTCTTCTCAATCTATACCCAAAGAAGACGATATCACCCTGTCAAAAAGATGCCTGCACTCCCATCCATGTTCATTGCAGCATTATTCACAATAGCTAAGATACGGAAATAACGTTAGCATCCCTGGACAAATGACTGGATAAAAAAACCAGGGGATATATTTACAACAGAATATTATTCAGCCTTAAAAAAAAAGATCCTGCCATTTGCCGTGACACGGAGGCACCTAGAGGACACTACACTACGTGAAATAAGCCAGGCACCAAAATACAAACTGCATGATGTCAGTTATATGTGGAACCTAAAAACAAAAGGAAAAGGTCAAATATATAGAGATAGCGAATGATACCACCATTACCAGGAGTGAAGGATACAGGAGGAAATGAGGAGATGTAGATCAAAGGATACAAAGTAGCAGATATATAGGATAAACGAGTCTAGAGATCTAATGTTCAACATGAGGACTAGTTAATAGAATTGTATGCTGTTAGGGATTTTTGTTAAATAAGTAGACTTTAGCTACCCTTGTAAACCATAAAAAGTAACTATGTAAGATAATAGATATGGTCATTTGCTTCACTGTGGTAATCGTTTTACTATCTACATATATCCCATTTTAAAAGATTTTAAATTTTAAAACAATGTTGTAAACCTCAGATATACACAATAAACATTATTTTTAACAAGAAAAAGAAAAATGACACCAAAAGGATGATCTGAGATTTTTTTTTTTTTTTAATGGAGTCTTGCTCTATCACCCAGGCTGGAGTGCAGTGGCACGATCTCAGCTCACTGTAACCTCCGCCTCCTGGGTTCAAGCAATTCTCCTGCCTCTGCCTCCTGAGTAGCTGAGATTACAGGTGCCCGCCACCATGTCTGGCTAATTTTTGTATTTTAGTAGAGATGGGGTTTCATCACATTGGCCAGGCTGGTCTTGAACTCCTGACTTCAGATGATCCGCCCCCCTCAGCCTCCCAAAGTGCTGGGATTACAGGCGTGAGCCACCACGCCCAGCTGATCTGAGATTTTAAAAAAGTACTTGGAAGCAAAAAATTGGCATATGAATAAATATAAATAAATATTGTCTCTATAAAATAATGTTACACATTTATGAGCTTTTAAAAAAGATAAACTTAAAATTTTGACAAAATGGCACTAAGTTGCAATGGGATAATATGAGTTACATATTTCTAAGATTCTAGTACTGTCTTTAAAAAGGATGAATTTATTAAGCATGATATTTCAGAAGTAATTACTAAAATAATGAAATGAAGTGCTTAATTTTCAAACAAAACTCAGTTAATGATGATTTAACAAGCAAGAAATAATTTAAAAGCAGGAAATTTTTAAAACTTAAAGAAAATTAGCAATGTCAAAATATGTCCATAAAAATAATGAATATAAATAAATTTAACATAAATAAATTTAACATGGCAGTTAAAAGTCAGAGATTGCTTGGTTGCATGGAAAAAAATACCAAAAACTTAATGCCCTGAAAAATCTGTAAATATGAGAAGAAAATGATATATCATTTAAATTCTAAACTAACACAGGCTTAAGTAGTTATTAGGAAAAACAGACATTATGATAAAAAGCATTATTAGGGATAGAGAATGTCACTATATGATTACATATAATCATAAAAAGTTTTAATTCACTTAGGATCATAATTATAAATATGTATGCATCTAATAATATAGTCTCAAAAGACATAAAGTAAAATTTAATAGAATTACAGAATGAAATTGACAATACTATAAGGAGGGGCATTTCAATATACTTATTTCCATTATTAATGGGTCAAGCAAAAAATAATTAACATATAAAAGACTGTACAACACAATTAACCAACCCTGCAAGCCAAAGTTAGAAAATAAGTGTTCTTCTCAAATACACATGAACACATGTAAAAAATAATTGTATAAGACTGATTTGAATAATAATAAAACTCTGATCTCCCATGGGAAAAAAAATTAACTGTATAACTGACTATAAATAATGTCTCAAAAATTTTCAAAAAATTGGCTTATATTATGAGCTTATTCTGTCACTGCAAATTGATTAGATGTAACTAACAAAATACAAAGAAAAGTAGGCTATGTTGGCAAATGTAAAACACACTACTGAATAACTAAGATGTCAAAGATAAAATCAGAATAGAGATTTAAAAATACTTGGAATTGAAAAATGATGGAAAAATATATGTTAAACCTTGTGGAACATGGCAGAAATGGTATGTTGAAAAATAATTATAGCTTCAAATTACATTACAAAAGTGTAACAGCTAAAGATTAATGAGCTACATGCCCAAATTGTAAAATTAAGGGAAAAAAGATAAGAAACCCAAAGAAAATATAAGGAAGAGGTCAGAATTAGACAAGAATAACTCAATAAAAGTATTTTAAAAAGAAACAGAATGTATCAACAAAGCCAAAAGTTGGTCCTTACAAAAACTAACAAAGAACGTTCTAACACAAGTATAAAGAAAAAATGAAAAAGCACAAAAATAATTAAGAATGAAAATGGGGACATAACAAAAGTTCCAAGAGAATAAAGAAATATTTGTACCAATAAATTGGATAACTTTGATGAAAATGAATAAATTTCTAGAGAATTTTTTTTAACAAAATGTATTTGAGGAAATGTACGATGCCCCCAAACTTCTCTAACAATTAAAGAAATTAAATCAGTTGTTTTAAAAAGTCTTCCAACAAAGAAAACATTGACCCCAAATACTTTTGCAATCAAAGTCTACCAAATTTTCAAGATCTTTCCCCTTTCATATAGTATATTTCAACTATAAACTACTAACCAACTTATTTTATGAAGCCAATATTGCATTGCTACCAAAATGACACAAGAACAGTAAGAAAAAGAGAAAGAAAACTACAAGCCAGTTTCTTTCATGAATATAAATGCAATTATCCTATGCAAAATAACAGCAAATTACCCCCAGTGATTATATAAATACAATAATATACCACGACCAGGCTGGATTAATTCCAGAAATACAAGAGCCATTTAAATGAATAAAATATATAAATATCATTAGCACATTAAACAAATTAAGATCATATTAATAGAAACAGAAAAAGTATTAGATATAAATTAATATTAAATCACAGTTTTAAAAAATTTCAAGATGCAAACAGAAGGGAACCTATCAATCTAAAACAGAATATTTATCAAAGTCCTAAAGAAAACATTCTTTAATATCTAAAGTGCTAGGAGCCTTCAAGAATCAGGAATAAGATATGGATATCAGTTTTTACCACTCCTATTCAATATTGTAGCCAGATAAATAAGACAAATAAAAGACATAATGATTATAATGGCATAAAGAAAAATATTATTTACAGAAAATGTGGCTGTTTAGATAAAATTCCCAAGAAGATCTGCAGATAAATTTAATTAGAAATGAGAGAGTTTCTCTGGGTGCTGTGGCTCATGCCTGTAATCCCAGCACTTAGGGAGGCCAAGGCAGGCAAGTCACTTGAGCCCAGGAGTTTGACACTAGCCTGGGAAACACAGTAAAACCCTGTCTCAACAAAACATACAAAATTACTATCTTAGTAAAACCCTGTCTCTACAAAAAATACAAAAATTAACCAGACGTGGTGGCATGCACCTGTAGTCTCAGCTCTTCGGGTGGCTGAGGCAGGAAGATCACTTGAGTCCAGGAGACTGAGGCTGCAGTGAGCCAAGATCACACCACTGCATTTTAGCCTGGGTGACACAGCAAGAAGCTGTCTCAAAAAAAAAAAAAAAATTTAAGAAATGACAAGAGTTTAGCCAAGAGGCCGGCTATAAGATCAGGATGTGTAATTAAATGCATTTCTCTACACCAGCAATTAATGGAAAACACTTTGAAAAAATAACTGTATGAAATAGCAATAAAATGAGTCTGACAGAAGATATATCTCAGTGATATATACAGAAAATTATTTCTCTATATTTAAAGCCAATAAAGAAAATATAATTAAAAGAAGTCTGACTTAGCCTGGGTCTCTCCATCTCTCAAAGGTGAAATCTGAGAAAAGCCTTTTGTAAAGGTCATTTATTGAGAGTCTGATCTTATGGGAGGGAATGAGGGCTGAGAGAAGTTAAACAGGGAAGAGAGAGCCAATGCAAGGACACATTACTGAGTTGGCCATTGCTACAGGCAACTGGATGCTTTTTACCATGGATTCATGTGAGAAACTTTATGAAGAGTGTCTCAGACCCCTCCCTTCATTGTGAATAAAAGCAGTTGCATGTATCTATTAATTCCCATTCTCTAATGATCAAGGGTTGCTAAGCAGGGTATTGATTATCCTATCCTCCAGGATGTGCCCTTATATGTTCTAAGTGTTTTTCCACAGACATCTTAAATAGAGAAGATCCAGCCAAAGAAGCAAAAGATATAACATGATTTTGAGATAAGGCAGGCAGGCAGTCTGCAAGTGTGTGAAGCTGGTTGAAGTCGGCCTGGGATTGGTCACTACAACTATGGCTAGAATGAGAGGGAGGGCTGAGGCAATTTGAAATGGTGTACAAGAGGTATCAAATATGGAGACATTTACCATGTTCATGAACAAGAAGCCTCAATATTGTAAATACATTAATTATTTTCAAACAATACTAATGAAATCTGAAACAAATTTTTCTATGAATTTTACAAGCTCAGTCTAATATTATATGGAAAGCCAAAGGGCCAACAATAGATTAGACATTTCTAGGCTGGGCATGGTCACGCCTGAAATCCCAGCACTTTGGGAGGCTGAGGCAGGTGGATTACTTGAGGTCAGGAGTTTGAGACCATCCTGGCCAACATGTTGAAACCCCATCTCTACGAAAAATACAAAAATTAGCCAGGTTTGGTGGTGCACACAGGTAATCCCAGCTACTCAGGAGGCTGAGGCATGAGAATCACTTGAACCCAGGAGGCAGAGGTTGCAGTGAGTCTAGATCATGCCACTGCACTCCAGACTGGGCGATGGGGCAAGACTCCATCTCAAGAAAAAAAAAATTAGATTAGATATTTATAAAGAAGAATAACATAAGGGGTACTTGCCTTACCAGGTAACCAGATGTATAAAGCTATAAAATAAAGACAGTGTGGCACTAGCACACAGACAGAAAAACCGACCAGTGGAAGGAAAAACAGATCCCAGAAGTGTATCAAATATGAAGTGTGGAAACTTCATATTTGACAGAGATGATAGTGTAAACAACTGGGGAAAAAATAAAGTATGCTTGAATAATTGGTTATCTCTATAAGAAAAAAATGAAATTTGGATTTCTTACTCAGACCATTCACAAAAATCAATTCTCATTGTATTTAAGACTTAAATCCAAAAGGCTAATTTCTAAACCTTTTAGCAGAAAGTAGAAGAGAATATTGCTACATTAGGATACAAAAGACTTTCTTACATGAAACTGTTAAGAAAAAGTAATTGACAAAGTCAACTAAATTAATGTTAAGAATGTTAATCAAAATATAACATAAATAGAATGGTAAAACGACACAAATTTTGAAGAGAATACTTCCAACTCATAAAACACACACCAATGTTTTACAACTTTGAGTGGAATTAGATCCAGATATTAATGCAAAGGCAGTAGATGAAGAATCAGCTCACCTAAAAGCAGAACCAGCTATGTCTCCACTGTTTTTCAACAAGGGTCCCATTGGTATTTTGGGCTGGACCATTCTTTGGTGTAAGACAATGCCCTGCATTGCGGGAGTTTTATCATCCTGGTGTCCACTTCTTAAATGCTGAAGGCAACCATTAGTTCCTGGACAACTAAAACACCTCAACAGTTCTACAGTATTCTCAGGAATTAGGCAGTAGCTCCCTTGGTTGAGAAACAATTTGATTCTACCCAGAAAATACATTTCCTTAAAAATTAAATAAGAGACAGAACTGAACCATATTTGAGGGCTAAACTTCCAAGTCATGAAGTGAAAGAGATTTTCTTATATATATAAAGGTGAAGGAGGTGATTTTTCACAGCCTGTCTTGGGAAGAAATTTGGGGGAAGGCTCAATGAGGAAATTTACTTTTATTTCTGAAACCTCAGAGGGAAACGGAGATCCCTATCCAAAAGGAAGGCTAAAAAACAGATTTAAGGGCACCAAGTCTCAGATGATTTCCCAGACAAAAAAAAAAAGAAAACTTAGAAAACCATTTAAAAAAGACTGTAAAGTTTTAAAAGAGCAAGATTTCTCTACTTATTTATTGGGCTGTCAAGGAAGGAGTCTATTGAGGAAAAAAAAATGTTCCATCTCCTGGCCAACAGGACAAAAAGAAACTCAGGAGGTAAAAAATAAAGTGTCAACTTCCAAAAATGAAATCAGGCTGTATCCCTGGAGCTTGAGAAAAATGAAAAGGGTATATAAAATTACGAGGCAGCCAAATGTC
The DNA here is from genome assembly GCF_000001405.40 of Homo sapiens. Lineage (NCBI taxonomy): Eukaryota > Metazoa > Chordata > Mammalia > Primates > Hominidae > Homo > Homo sapiens. Next base: position 186,864,879 of record NC_000004.12, on the reverse strand, counting down.
CCAAACAATGGATACAAAAACATTTCTTAATGTGCCCAGACTACATCCTACTGATCTGAGATTTTTAGATTAACTTATGTAATTAGTACTGGTTGGACAATACTTTATGTAAAGTCAGTTTTCATAGTCGGTAATTCCTGTAGGATTATTACATATTCACTTAATAATAGCAGAGGAAACAGCTAATTACTAAAAAGTATTTATCTATGAAGATTAAATTTACTGGAACATTAGAGAGGGTTTCTGCTTCTGCTTATTTAGGAAAAGGTTTATATAGTAAAAATAAAATCACTAAAGATAAAAAAAAGGTTTACGTAAGCCAGCAGCATTGGCATTCAGCTATACTGCTATCTAAGCTACTGCTAATCACCCATTATGAAGTGTGAAGGCTCATCAGTCTTCTAGGTCACATAACTGGATTTTTCAGAGACTCATTAATCTGCATTGAGCCATGTTCATTCATTTATTCATTCTTCATTCATTCAATAAATGCTAGCTCTCTACCAGTTGCCAGGCACTGAAGAAATAGTTAGGAATCTCTGCCCTCAAGGAGATTACAGTTCATCTTGGAGAACACTGGAGAGCCAACTAATGGAGTTATTTGGGGCAGGGACAGGTATTGACCCGAGGGCAATGCAAAAGATCTTCCTACAGAAATACTGATCTGAATTTTGAAAGATATATGGGGGTTAGCTAGGGGAAAGCATTCTAAGAACATGGGTGAATATGTGCACAGAGCCAGACGTGTAAAATAGCATCTGAGTAGGAGGTTAGCACTGAGGCACATGACTGGTGTAGTGATGGGCAAGAGTCACAGGTGAAGCACTGGCCTCAGCAAGAGCTTTTTCTACAAACTCAGACCTCCGATTTAGAACCCATAGCTGGAAGGCATAAGGAACCATTAAACAATTTAAATAAGAAGCAGAAAAGCTCTGTTTTACATTTTGTTTTGTTTTCTTTAAGATCTCTTTGATGGGGGAATGGAGGTTGGCCCAACTCAGGACACCTATGACAAAGGGTTTTGCAGTAATCCAGGCAAGAACCAATGAGTGCTTAAAAGCAGTCAGAGGCAGAGGATCTGCAGAGAAGGGTGCTGATAGGAAAGGTACTGAAGAGGCAGGGTCCACAGAACTCGGTGGCTGACGGGGTAGCTGGTGGTGGAGGAGAGGTGGGTGTTCTGGATAGCTTTTTTGGTTTGGCTTGGGTGTCATTTGCCACACAGCTGGGGCACTTTGAAAATGGGAGTAGAGGAGGAAGAAGGTGAGTTCAGCTGGGGATATGTTGACTTTGAGGAATGCATGGGACGCCCATGAAGAAGAAACATTTCATAGACAAATTTATGGCATTTACACTCCAAAACAACATCTGGACTTAAGATTCAGATGTGTTTACCTTCACAGGTAGCAGCTGATATCATGAGTTGGGGTAGAAGGAAAATATAGAGAACCAAGAACCAAGAACTGTGAAGACAACAACATTTCAAGGACCAAGAAGGAAGAGAAGGGCTACAAGAGGCTAAAAGGAGCACCTAGAACAGAAGAGCAGAAACAGAGCCATGTCACAGAGCCTAAGCAGAAAAGAAGAGTGGCCACATCAGGAAGACAGAAAAGATTAGAAAATTGATGAGGAGGACAGTGGCAGAGCCCGGGAGCACAGGTTAGGTGGGTAACAAGGCAGGTAGCAGGTGCAATGTAGAGAAGTGGGGGAGCCAGGGAGGAGGAGAGGAAATGGAGACTTTGACAGCATGACTCTAAAAGCTTGACTAAGGAGTCAAGAAGAGACAGTGGCTAGAGGGGCTCAAGAGATGTAGGGAGGGTCCCTGGCCCTGTTTCTGTTCAGAAGTCACACATCACAAGCACTGTACTCAGGTGAATAAAGAAAATGTGATCACTTTATTTTCCTATAACCTAATCTTCCACTGAGCAGGGTGAAATCAACTTCATTGTGACAGATGTCATCACTCTCTTTTAGCTTTAGCAATCTCTTTTGGTGAGTCAGTCTCTTTCAAGTCAATGCCCCCAGTGACAACCAACATTAATGAGAATATTAGGGGGTTAATGTGTGTGAGGCACCTTTTAAGCATTTTATAAAAATTATCTTAAACTGTCATGACAACCCTACATTGACTTGAGAAATGAGGAAAATGAGTAAATTGACCAAGATGAGGCAGCTGAAGCATGTTGAAACCAGCTTTCAAACGTGGGCAGTCTGATTTCTGAGCCTGTGCTCTGAGCCGCAGCACTTGGCTAACACCAAGAGGTGGTCTGGGTGTGCAGAGGACTGAGCGCAGCGAGTCTCTGGGATCCTCCTAGTCCTCTGTCCATCTGACGGTTTGATCAGCTCTCTGGACTGATGAACACAGAGGGGCAATGAGTGCTATCTGATCATCTGGCGTCAAGCTGGCATACAAGACTGGGTTTTGTGGTCCTAACCATGGGCTTTGGACACTAAAGTCCCCATTTGTCTTCTGCTTAGGCTCTCTTTGTCTCTCTCCAAAGCATCAAAGAACAGCTGGAAGCCCTGCACACCCCTGCAGGCATGGGAGCAAAGAGCTCGGCCTGCGCCACGCCATCCTTCAATCACTGTGGCACTATTTCCTCTACAACATGCTGCAGATGGCCAAGTTGCACCCTACCCTGTAATGCCCAATATCATTGCCCTTTGTCTTCCTTTCATTTTGCTGTTCCATATCTCAGAGGAAAAGGGAAATACTTCTAATTTCTCCATATCTCTAAACTCTGAGTTCCAACTACATTTGTATATAGTAATTAGCCAACACTTTATATTCATGGAAGCTAAAGAAACTTAGAAAACACATTTCCTTCTCCCAAAGCCTGGCTTTCAAAATCATGATCTTGCTGCGTGCTCCAGAAATTCAGCTTTGTGAGTAAAGCTGATCCATCACACCTTTGCTGGAGGCAGAACTGTCCTACTGTCCCCTGGGGCAAGAGGCCTCATGGCTCAGCCTCAGAGGTGGAAGGCTGGAAGGGACCATGATACCAAAGCGGATTAAAGTGCATTGACTTCACATCTTCAAAATATTACCAACAAATATGTACAAAAAAGCCCTCCTTAGGGGTATAAACAAGTATAAGTAAACTCTCCTTGTTCCTTTCTCTGAAGCTGTCTTCCTTGCAGTCTAAGAATCCTGTGCTGTATTTGGTCACAAATTTCCAGTCTATAATTTTGTTGTAGCCCTTTTTAATTTTTGCAGCCAGAGTGGGAGAGACTCAAGCTTATCAACATTTTGCATCTTGACAAAAAAAAGGATTATTGTAACAAGTTTCTTTTATTTAGGACTAGAGCTGAGTTAGTTGTCTACTTTAATGAGTCACACACAAATGAGAAATTTAATACTACATAAGCAAATATTTTCATTACATAAAGAAGACATATTTTCCTTGCAGGAGTTCAGCTTACAGATTTAGAGAGTAATAAAAGAGCTACTGGTATTATTTACATCAGTAACACAGATATTCTAGCTTTAAAAGGTGGCATTCATAATTATTATAAGCCTGACTTCTCTATCTGCTTTAATCAATCACATAATGCTTGCATGATTTATGCATATCTGTGTGCAGTAAGCCATCGACCACATATCTTATTGCTGGTTCTTTCAATGTAAGTCAGAAAATCATCCATAAGCTCAGACAAATTAACCAGTGAAGCAATAAGACTCTGGTAGATTAGCATATAAGAAACATGAACAGACATTTTATACAAGAGAAAACAACTGATCAATCTACAGAGAAATATCTTTTTTGTACTGAAGAAAACAAAAACACCAATGATATACTATCAATAGTCATTAAAGTAAGAAAAACTTAAAGTGATGAAACCCACTTACGGTACAGTTGGATGAAAGTTGCACAGCTATATGTTGCTGGTAGCATCATAAATCAAGACGACAGCATTAGAAAACATTGGGAAATATGCTTTGAGACCATACTTGGGCCAAGGAACCCCTATTATCAGAATTTATCTTAACAAAATTATCCAAAATCAATTTGGGTCCTAAGTTAATAATTTGGAATGGGCAAACTTTTTCTGTAAAAGCCCAGATAATAAATATTTTCGGCTTTGTAGGCCGTAGGGTTTCTGTTGTACCCACTCAGCTCTGCTGTTGTAATGTGAAAGCAGCATAGACCATACACAAACAAGTGTGTGTGAATGTGTTCCATTGAAATTTTATTTACAAAAATAAGGTGTGGGCTGGGCGCAGCGGCTCACGCCTATAATCCCAGTACTTTGGGAGGCTGAGGCAGGCGGATCACCTGAGGTTGGGAGTTCAAGACCAGCCTGACCAACATGGAGAAACCCCCATCTCTACTAAAAATGCAAAATTTTCTGGGTGTGGTGGCACATGCCTGTAATCCCAGCTACTCAGGAGGCTGAGACAGGAGAATCACTTGAACCCAGGAGGCGGAGGTTGCAGTGAGCCAAGATGGCACCATTTCACTCCAGCCTGGGCAACAAGAGAGAAATTCTGTCTCAAAAAAAAAAATTTTTTAATTTTAAAAAAATAAGTTGTGAGCAGGACTTGGTGCATGTGCCAAACCCAGCTACGTACTGTTGTTTATTATGGCAAATAAGTAGAAAAATCTAAAAGCTTAGCAATTATAAATATTTTCATAAAATGTGATAATCAACTCAATGGTTTATTGGGTAGCCATTAAGATAACAACAATTATAAAAATTACAGCAGCATGGGAAATGTTAAGTAAAAAACAGGATCCAAAATCATATATACAGCAAGATTACAAACATACAAAATTCCATCTGTAAAAGAACAAAGACTGAAAGGGAATGTACAAAAAGTGCAGATAATTATTTGCCATGAAGGATGAATTTTGAGCTTGTCATTTTCATCACTGTTATTAAAAATGTACTTGAGAGGCAACGTCAGCTTCAAGCACTCATAACCACACTGCATTGCTGTCATCACAAAGCATCTGCCCTTTGGTTAGAAAAAGCACTAGGAAAGCCAGCCAGAGGCTTATGTAGTTCTAGGGTGATCACGTATAATTTCATTACTATATTAGTCTGTTCTCAAACTGCTGTAAGGAACTACCTGAGACTGGGTAATTTATGAAGAAAAGAGGTTAATCAGCTCATGGTTCTGCAGGCTCTACAGGCTTCTGCTTCCAGGGAGGACCCAGGAAACTTAACAATCATGGTGGAATGCAAAGGGGAAGCAGGCAATTCTTCACAAGGCCTGCAGGAGAGACAGAGTGTGTGTGAAGGGGGAGGTGCTACACACTTTCAGAGAACCAGATCTCGTGAGAACTCTGTCACAAGACAGCACTAGTGGATGGTGCTAAACCATTAGAAACCACCCTTATGATCCAATCATCTCCCACCAGGCCCCACATTCAACACTGAGGATTACAATATGACAAGAGATTTGGGTGGGGACACAGCCAAACCATACCAATCACCATATATGAATTCCTAAGCCTCATCCATCAACTTGCAATGCAGATTGGCTACATTGGTCTCAGATAATCAGACGAAAACTCTGCATGATTTAAACACATCCATGTGCACTAGTTTTTTTGTTTTTTATTTTTTTAGATTTGAGATTCCTTTAATCAGAAGCATTCATCTTCCAACAATGTGCTCTTTACAACCCTAAGGGGATGCTTCTGAGGGACCGGGTCCCTTAGAGTGAGACTTGGGCTCTTGATAAAAAATGTATTTTCTTGATTTTATTTAAACAGTGGTGAAACTTAAAGGGCACCAGTCTAGATGCCCAAGCGTCCCAAGTATTTAGTGTTTGTGAAACCAACTTAAAGGGCCTCTTGAGCTACTGGCAGATGAACATTGTCACTATAGAGAATGGTGGCCGATATGGCTCAGATCTACCTAGTCCTTGTTACGGCATGCCAGAAGCCTGCTGAACCAAATCCCGTATTTATCAGCAATTGAGCATGGCTTCAAGTCATAGTCATAAAATCTTTATACTGCCATATACTATTTAGTAGTGTAATTTACACTATCTCCTTTGCTCTACAGAACTCATTGAAAAAGGATATTGGGAAATTTTTATATAATTCCTGATTTATTATGATACATTACAATCATGCATAACCAAATCTATAGTTTGGTGGTTAAGAGTATGGATCTGGATATAGTCTGCCTGGTTTCAAATTCCAATTCCTTTACCTACTAGGTGTGGGAACTTAGGTAAATGTATTAACTGCTGTGTGCCTCAGCTTCCTCATATGTAAATTGATTTTAATAGCAAAATCTACCTCCTCAGATAGTTCTAGGGATTACATAAATTACTACCTGTAAATTGCTTAGAACATATTTTAACACACTCAGCAATACTGAATACTTAGGGTTTGTGAAAACTCAGTAATTATCTATTATTATTTTGGATTATGTTCTACTGATATTTATTTCAAATCACTGTTGTATGTAAAATTTTATCTCACCACTCTGTTTACACTATTTTCTCCTCGGGCAGCACATAAAAAATTAATTCAACTCCCTAAGTAGACAATGGTTCAATAATACATCTCATAAATCCTATAGCATCGCAAGAAATGCAATGGAAAAACATCAGATTTACTCTGGTAGTACTCTTAATTTCACTGTTCTTCCACAAACAGTTTGCTATTTAAAAGCAAAATTGACAATCACCCCCCAACCCCATCAGTCTCCAAGAAATTCTGCTAATAAGACAACAAAAGCCATCTTGGACTTTCACAGAGAGCTACATGGGAGACAAGTACCCTTTAGGTTGTTTCTAGGAGGCAGGTGGAAAATTTGTCTCAAGATTTGTGCTGTCAGACAAAAACAAGGATCAGACAAAGCAGCACAGTGAATGTTGTATTTCTTATTATAAGCCACAGTCAGCATGGAAATGATTTTCAATAGCTGCTGTCAACATCCTGCTTTTACTGTCCAAGTACTGCAGATTGAGCAAACTCTTAATGTATCAATCATCTTTGAAAAACAATTTAAGAGTTCTGAAAGGTAAATAATATATATAAATGGGTAATAGCATGCTTTATTTGATGCCATTTGTCATAGTAAATATATTTATGTTTTCCCCACTTGTACTAACTTCACCATTTGTACACTTGGTGATATTCCTTCAGAGTGCAGAACAAAGGTAGTTTTCAACTTTGCCCATCAGTCTCTTCTGCAGATTTTTCTGCTCACCCAATGAATTCAGCAAGACTGCATAATCCCCTTTACAGAGGCGATGACCAGATTATAGGTTAGAAGTAGTTACAGTCTTAACTGGAAAGTCAATATAAAGAAATTTTATAGAAAATATTTCCAAATACACTCCCAGATGCAGCCATGGTAAGAGGTTTTAAAATGTTTGTTCACCACAACAATTTATGGGTCACATAACCATGGTTCTCAAATTTTAATCTGCAGGAAGACATCTGTCTAGAAAACAAGCTTAAAATGCAAATTCCTGGGCCCCACCCCCATGGATTCTACTTCAGCAAATCCAGGATGGGGCCCAGGAATCTGCATTTTTATCAGACATCTCAGATGTCTTTTACAGTCAGCACCAGACCATACATTGATCAAGATTGCCCTGGATAGCCCCATCGTCTCCACTCCTCTACAATCACACAGTGCTGACAGCATGAATTTGTGTATTAATAGTAGTTCATGGCCCTTTGTTGACAGATGAAAATAACGTTGAATTAGGTTCTAGATGAGGCTTTGCTAATTTCTGTGTGATAGGGCCAAGGCCCTCCGATTCTCAGATTTCATTGTCTTAGCATTTGCTGTTGCCTCCCCAGCATCCATTACCATAAACTGCAACCTGAATGTCTTTTGCAATGCAGTTGGCATGGGATTGATCCTGCCCTCAGCTCCAGGTTTGGAAGTGGCTGCCTTAAGCCAGTCGGTAAATCTGATCACATCAATCACAGAGATTAATTCAAAAGAAAGAGTGGCACATGACCCAAGTCAGTCCAACCAGGGCCAGGAGAACTCACTTCTGGGGTTTTGCTTGAGGTGTCAGGAGGCAGACTCTTTTCCCAGTAGAAGTGCTGGGAAGCATGTGGGTAGGAGCTGCTTGTCCCCATTCTGGGAACTTTGAGAATTTAGCCCTCATGGAGGAAGCAGGAGCAAGAACTAGAGAGATAAACCTAGGCCCAGTCACAGAGACTGAACCCTGGATAAAGTCTAACTCATAACCTGCAACATTCAGTGTCGTGAACCTCCACATTTCCATTTTTACTTAAGGAACTTGGAATCCATTTTCTGTCACATGCAACCCAAAGCATCCTAACTGACACACCTGTGAAATCAGAGTATTTTCTTAGATAACCTATAAAATCATCCTAGAAGATCTATAATCTTTAAAATTCTTTTAAGTTAAATAGACTGATTAAATGACACAATCATATCTGGAAAATGCTGTGCACACAAATTGGATAGAGACCATATCTTCTGTTAACTTGTAAACTAATGCAGAAATATTCTTTTGGCTACTCTTTGGCAAATATTCTGAGAATTGCTTTTAATTGGCACAAGAATCAAAAGATGTTGCAATGGTGCATGATCTACTATCATAAGTCATGAAGCACTAAGGACAACCTAATTACTGATTCCTATATCAATCTTGGCCAAATGGAGAGTTTCATCTAGGTAAAGGGTTACTTGATTTGGGTAAGGTGAGAAAAGAAGGAACTTTAGCAGAGATTAGTCCTGAATTGGATGTGAAAATAGACCTTAACATATTAAAGATGGTCATTGTATTGTTAGGAAAAGAGTTATTGGACAATATATCAAAGAGTTCTTCCAGAAAACTTAAGATTATTTTTCCAATTCTGACATGTATCATTTCAGCTCCATTCAACCAAATTTATTGACATCTAAGATATTTCACATTTAGAAATTATTTCACTATATTCTGGGTCTTCAAATTGTATTCTGCGTAATACAGGTTTAACATAATGTTATCGGGACATACAGATAGTCCTCAACAAAGTTTCAACTTAAAACTTTTCAACTTTTCGAATGGTGAGAAAGCATACCTCAAGTAACTATACAACCATTCTGTTTTCAGTACAGTGTCCAATAAACTACATGAGATATTCAACACTTTGTTATAAAACAGGCTTCGTGTTAGATGAGTTTGCCCAACTATAGGCTAACGTAAGTGTTCTGTGCACATTTAAGTAAGCTAAGCGATAATGTTCCATAGGTTAAATGTATTAAATGCATTCTCAATTTATGATATTTTCATTTTACAATGGGTTTATCAAAATATAACCTTATCATAAGTCAAGGAGCACCTGTAATTAAAAACATTAAAAATAACATTTGTGTTACCATATTGCTGTCTAAATTAATGTATTAGTATCTGTTATGATATATTCTAGCCAAAGCTTTTGAATTCATTAGAATTACAAGCAGATTGAGACTCATCATTACAAAAGAATCTGTCCAATCACATGAAGAGACAAAGCCAGTTATACAGCTAGATCTTACAAAACTTACATTTTTCACCTCTGTAAATCATAATTTCAGTATTTGCAGCATTGTGAGTGCAGACACCACAGGCAGTAATAACTGGCTTAAATGCCTTCACAGTACAGCTGTTTGCAACAATACCTCCATTGATAACTCTCAAAAAATGAAATGACAGCTACAAATCCCTTGAAAGAATATATGCTCCTCTTTACATTGTCCTACAGGTTAACTCCCAGGGTGCTCTCAATTCTACACAACAGTAACTGTAAATGAAAGCATTATGCCCAAAGTTATTACACAAGGCCGTGGGTAACTACGAGCACCTCAGTAGTTCTCAGCAGGGAATTTATGTTTGAATTGCAGTATGAAATCACTTTCTCTTCTGGGGAATTTGTTCATATTAGCATAAAAACTTCAGAATGTCTATCGATCGTTGGTAATACTAAAGAAAAAACAAGAAAAAGTGAAAGAGCAAGAGAAAGAACTTAGCAGAATTATGGTCAGGACTCGCAAGAAGTTCTGCAATAGAGTCTGCATTAGTTGAGATCCTTATTGCTTGGACATGTTAAAAACTCAACTCAAACTGGCTTAAGGAAAGGGGGACTATAGTGACTATGCAATTGGGAAGTCCAGAGCTGAATATATCTTTAAACATGGACGGACCCAGAGGTAAACAATATACACAGAGCTCTGCTTCTTTTCTTCTCCACCTTTCAGCTATGCTTATTTCTGCTTGCTAAACTATAGGCAAGCTCTTTCTGTGTGTTTGTGTCAGATAGAATGACCTCAATCAGCTCCAGGTGCACATTTGTCCGGCCTAGCAGCCACCGTGGAATTAGACTTCCCCCACCCATTAGAAGCCCTATGACAATCTCTCAGGGAAGACAACAATTTATCTTTCTGGGGTCATATGCACATTCCTGAATCAACACTTGGCACTCCAGCAGCTAGGCTTGGCCACATACTCACCGATGAAGTGAGGACAGGTCATTGTGACTGACATCACCATCTGGACCACTAGGAATGGGGCAGGAGTAGAAGGAACAGGATGGGAAATGATGCTGAACAAACAAAAACCATAGCTTCCCCCAATCACTGCAGACTGTCTACTCCTGATGAAACTACATGCCCTAAAGAAAAGATTTCCACAATGTGGGGAGGATCAACCCAAAAAAAGGGATGGAACTTATGGATTCTTTGTAAGTTTTCATTTATTAAAACCTTTAAACCAATCAGTCAGCACTGAAAGATCATTTACACCTGAACCAATGCATGAGTGGTCATTTGAATATTGTGTTGTCTATGTGATGGGTTCCTTTCAACATTTTCTGAGAAATCTAAAATCATGCGTGTAATGTGAAGTCATGAATTTGGAGAATATAATGTTGAAATGGAAAATAAATTAGGCAAATCTTGATGATTTACACCCAAAGCTTTGTGGGAAAAGTGATTTAAATTAAATTTTATAATGTGGAAAATAAACTACCACCCAATGAAATTTTATAACTTGCATGAAAATTCAAACTGAGGGATTTCACATTACTTTACTTCATCAATTTAAAAATTGTCTTGTCATTTAATAGTGAAACTAACAGACCAGGGCTTTTTAGTATCAATAGTCACCTCCATTGCCCCTTTAAAAAATGTAAACACTTAGGTTCCAAACTCAGTGTCATTCCTACCCTTAAAAGTGAGTAATTATTCTCCTTTCATTGTCTAAAGTTTCTTTGGATAGACCAACATTTCTTTATGTGTTTTCCACATTCACGTAAAAAAGGCCAGTGAGGAACCAGTGTGAGAATATTATTGGGACTAATTCAATTCCAACTGACTGAAATGAGAAAGGAAATGAAAAGAGCTTCAAGCTCTTTCTCAAAATGCTAACAAAATTACAGATTTAGATGTGTTCACTTGTTTGAATATTCACACTAGATTCTAGTGCTTGGGAACAGAGTTCTTCTAGCTGACAAACAGGGTTTCTTATTTGTGAGGGGAAAAAAATTCTGAACCTAAAAACAGTCATTTCCTGCTTACAAAGCACACATTGGAATCTATAGCCTTTATGTCATTGGGGAAAACTTGTCTAGGAGGGGGGAACCTGGTTAGAAACCAGAAAACAACTATAGAAACCATTAAAAACAAAGATGCAACTATGCCTTTACAGTTGCTATTATCACATATGCTATATGAAAGAGAAAACAATAGGTGGGTTAAAAATTAACACAGAGAGTATTAACTTAGTTAGTTCACTGAACCCAAAAGTTTCAGAATTAGGCAAGAGTTTTTGCTAAACTCACAATGTGGCCAGAATCACCAATTTGTTTTGAAAGGCATTTCTTCAGCATGGGTCCCAACCAATAAGGGATGGTCGATTTCTGTCTTTCCAATTCACTTCAGGAAGTCCTCATAGTACTTTTTATTATTTCTGAGAAATGACAGAAAATGCCTTCTAAGAATGTTAGTTCTCTTTTCACTATACAGGATAAGAGAACTCACACAATTGCTTTCAACCCTTTGTTTCTTTACTAAAATCCAGCTGAAATTGCAAGGTAGTCATTTCTCTTTTGACTAAAGTTTATTCCCCCAGCCTCCCAGAAATCCTTTCTTGGTAATTGGTCTTACCAATTCACTAAACTTTTCTTATTTCATAATATAAAAGTTTTTCTTCCTCTCAACTCTCCCAGGTTTAAAACTTTAAATAACCATGTTTTTAGTGCTGTTCTCGGAATATGATTCACGTAGCACAGCCTTACAAATAGGTTTTTTATTAATATTTCCACACATTTTGATTTAGGTTGAAAGAAAAATCTAGGATTCCATGTGCCGTATAATCCGTTCACTGTTATAGAAAACATGTCTTCTAGACAAGTTTCATTGAAAACTCTTAAGACTTTTTGATGTATTTAATAAGTGTTAATCTCTTTAATTTTAGTAGTTCCATGTAACCAAGTAAGTATTCTTTCACTCTACAAGCTCGTTTACTAGCAAATCAAACTAAAATATAACTAGAACATGATACTAAATGTATAATGGTTAATCATTACAGAAGGTATCCTCTAACTGCAAAACATTTTGATCTTTGATTTCAACTTATCTAGAGACATGTTTTTACGGTGGTTGGACTGTGCCATAAAAAGGGTGTGAAAGATGCTGACTCAGTTTTACTACATTATAGTAGACTCATTCCACCTATGTCATTTAGAGGACAACTCTGTGCTGCCTAAGTGAAGAATTACCTTCTGTGCCTGGGTTATAAAAGATTCCAATCTGTCTGGGCATGCCTAAGAAAGCTGAAGGCATGAGAATTTGGAAGCGTCTTGGAAAAGCTACCTAGCTTTGTGACCCATCTTACATGTATAAAACACAAAGTGAAAAGAGTAATTTGTCTTCCAGGATCTTCTTCATTCTCAAATACCACCCTGCTTTGACAATCTCAAAGGGTGTTGGTTATGAAGCCTGGTGAAGCAGCTGCTTGGCTCTATTGTGCCATCCAGGCAATAGCAGAGACTACAGTGTATGCTGGAATGGCTGCTGAGAAATATCCCAGTCTGACCTCAGTGCCAAAACTTGTTGCATCCCTCCAAAGCAACTGAGAGTCATTTTTCTCCTGGCCCTTGCGACTATGCAATTGAGTAGATATCTCTCTTCTCATTGACTGCTGGAAAGCTTAGAGTCAACTTTTGTTTCTGGCACTATTATAGACCAGATATTCTGGAAGAATCTGCCAACAAAAATGACTAAAATTTTGAATTAAGAAAAGAATTGCATTGCTGAGCTGGCAAAAAATATATATATAAAACCCACAGAGATCAAAAGTGAAGTGAAAGCAGAAATTCAAAAGTTAAGCATGTGCCAATGCCGGCTTTCCCTCTAGGACTTGTGCTGAGCCCTGAAGACATTGAGTTTCCACCATAACAACTGCAGCAGGTGTGAAGGACAAGAGATAAATATGTGCCCAAGGTGGGAAAGTAAATAGAAGGATACTCTACATGCTGCTGGGACATCAAAGATCTACATACTCTCAGCCTTAGGACAAATGAAAAATATGCCCACTTCACAGAAGTAGACAGCACAAAAATTTGCCTCTTTCAACCTCAGAGAAATGCAGAAGAGATCTTCAGAGCTGACACCATTGAAGTTCAAATTCACCTACCTATGTAATTCAGAAACCTTAAAGCAGAGAATTTTATTTTAAACAATCTAGCTGAAGAGTTTGTGTGCATAAGATGACTGAAAAAAGCAAATGCAAACTCTCTTCAGAGGAACATTACTTCAATCTAGATGCTAATGAATTTTCATAGTTAAAAAGAATATCATCCCCCACTAAAAAAGGTCACAAAACATCAAGGACACATGAAAACATACAGTAGAGTCAACCAAAACAACAGAAAGCAGAAAAGAACCACAAAAACTTCAGATATTGGAATTTTTTGATCCAGAATATAACATAATTATGTTTCTAACCATAAAGAAATTAAAAAGAAACTTGAAAACTGAGCCAGTAACATGAGAGTATTTAAAAAAAAGCATATTTTTAAAAAAATCAAATAGACGTTTTAGAAATTAAAAAACTCAGTGAACAGATTAAATAAAATAGATACAGTTGAAGAGACAATTGGTAAACTAGAAGATAGATCCAAAGAAACTATCCTGAATTCAGCTAATGAAATAAAAGAGAAAAATATCAAAAAGAGTTTAAGAGACCTGAAGAATAAAGCAGAAAGGTCTACCATATTTTCAACCAGAGTTCCAAAAAGGAGAGTAGTTGAAGAGGCAATGTTAAAGAGATAATGACAGAGCACCTTCTAAATGGTGACCTCCATGGGCAAAGTATATTGCAGCATCTTAGTGCTTGGTTCCTTTGGAGAATACCAGGATGATGATCAGATTCATTAAAAGTTATTTGTAATAAAGAAGAGATGGTTCCTCAATTCAGTGGCTGAACTGGTCTCAGAGGACCTCCCAGGAACCCCAGCAGGGCAGCAGGTATGGATGTCATGAGGTAGAAAAGCTTAAGTTAAGTGGCTTCAGAGGTCATACCTATACCATATAGCAGACCCAGAAAAACTCTGGGATAAGTCTGCCCAGACCTCAGAAAGGACATGATGAGAGTGACTGTCAGAAATTTTACTGCTAACAGCTTAGAACTCAAATTACAGATACAGTAATCCAAAATCCCTTGATTATACCTCCTTGGAGGAGTCAGGAAAGTAGAAGTTAAGAAGATGCTTGACCTCTTCTCTCTCACTTATTTGTCTTCTCTTTGCTATTCTTTATGCCTAAAACTCTCCTTAAAGTTTTCCCTAATAACCACTCATTTCCAAGTGCCCCTTGTATTGCATGCTCATTACAGCATTACTGCCCTACACAGAATCTTAATCTTCTCATAACCTATTTAACTGCCTGTTCCCTCCACTCATAACTTCAAACTTTACATTCCTACAAAATACAGATCTTATATTATTAGTATTTGTATCCTTAGACTCCATTAGGATCTAGTGCAATGCCTTGTATATAGTTCAACATACTTCCTAAATTAAAAAAAAAAATCAATTGCACACATACACACAGACACACACATAATTTCCTGATTTTTATTTTTATTTATGTATTTTTTTTGAGATGGAGTTTTGCTCTTGTTGCCCAGGCTGAAGTGCAATGGTGCAATCTCAGCTCACTGCAACCTCTACCTCCTGAGTTCAAGCAATTCTCCTGCCTCAGCCTCCCAAGTAGCTGGGATTACAGGCGCCCACCACCATGCCTGGCTAAATTTTTGTATTTTTAGAAGAGATGGAGTTTCACCATGTTGGCCAGGCTGGTCTCGAACTCCTGACCTCAGGTGATCCACCCACCTCGACCTCCTAAAATGCTGGGATTAGAGATGTCAGCCACTGTGCTGGCCTAATGTCTTTTAAACCTCTCTTTCACACACACAGATATATTCCTAGTCATCACACCCTAATGGGTCAAAAAGTTCAGACTTAGATCTTTGCCATAAGTGAAATACAATGAGAATTACATTGCTGAAAGTAAAAGTCAGAAAGGCTAAAGAATAGCACAAAAGACTGCAGCTAAAAGAATTAAATAAATTTTAACATTTCTTATACTTGTATTCTCATTTTGATTTCAATGATTTTACTAATAATTAGTTTTGCCTCCAAAATTATTTAACAGTGATTAGTATCCCTTATTTTCCAGGCTGCACAAATTTTATAAAACTTTTTCTTTTCAAATTTTTCTCCCCCAGGCCTCCACAGCTGGATGTGTTCTGCCTGCATGGAATCACATTAGTGCTTCCGTCATCTGGTGCTATCATTCAACCCAAATATTTTTCATTCAAAATTAACCCTGCACCAGATTCCTCATTAATTATAGCAGGACGTTTTGGAAAAGCTGATGCTGTTCTGGTATGAGATTTGGACTCCAAGAATAGAATTAGAAAAAAAATATATATAAAGATTATTATTCCCTACAACATTAAGCCATAAATCATTCCCCAAGAAAGTTAAAGAATATAATTAAGTAAAGTACATATTTATTATTTATTTTAGTAAGTTTTCATTTTGATATAATTTCAAACTTACCAAAAGGTGCAAAACTATTATGAAGTCTACTGTACACTTTACACAGGCTTACTATTGCTACCATTTGCTCCATCTTCATGAATCAATATCTCTCTCCCACTCCCCTCTGTCTCTCTCTCTCTCTCTCATTTGATAGATAGATGATAGATAGGTAGATAGATAGATGATATAGATAGATAGATAGATAGATAGATAGATAGATAGATAGATAGATAGATGATAGATGTTCTGAATCATATGAGATGAAGTTACAAGCATCATGCCCCTTTCCCCTTAAATTACTTCAGGACATATTTTCTAAGAACAAGGACATTCTCTTCTGTAACCACAGTACAATTATTAATATCAGAAAATTTAACATGGACACTATCTTATTAATATTGACATTGATCTTATCTATGATACATATTTGAATTTTTCCAATTGTCCCAATAATATCCTTTAATAGCTTTTTCCTCCAAGTCCAGGATCCGAGCCAGGTTCACACATTGCATGCGAGTCAGGTCATGCCTCTTCAGTCTTCTTTCATCCGGAATGGTTAGGTGGCCTTTCTTGGTGCTTCACGCTGTTATTTTATTTTTTTTATTATACTTTAAGTTTTAGGGTACATGTGCACATTGTGCAGGTTAGTTACATATGTATACATGTGCCATGCTGGTGCGCTGCACCCACTAACTCATCATCTAGCATTAGGTATATCTCCCAATGCTATCCCTCCCCCCTCCCCCCACCCCACAACAGTCCCCAGAGTGTGATATTCCCCTTCCTGTGTCCATGTGATCTCATTGTTCAATTCCCACCTATGAGTGAGAATATGCAGTGTTTGGTTTTTTATTCTTACTGAGAATGATGATTTCCAATTTCATCCATGTCCCAAAAAGGACATGAACTCATCATTTTTTATGGCTGCATAGTATTCCATGGTGTATATGTGCCACATTTTCTTAATCCAGTCTATCATTGTTGGACATTTGGGTTGGTTCCAAGTCTTTGCTATTGTGAATAATGCCGCTGTTATTTTTTAAGAGTAAAGGCCAGGTATTTTGTAGAATGTCCCTCAGATTGGGTCTGTCTGAAGTTCCTTCCTAATTATATTCAGAATATGCGCTCTTCTGGCAGAAATGCCACTGAAGGATGGGCATCTGACCAGGAAGCCCCTGAGGGCAGGCTGGCCCATTAACAATTGGCGATGTTAACTTTGAAAAGTGTGTATATAACCATATCAGTACATCTAGAGGTG
Source organism: Homo sapiens (assembly GCF_000001405.40). Classification (NCBI taxonomy): domain Eukaryota; kingdom Metazoa; phylum Chordata; class Mammalia; order Primates; family Hominidae; genus Homo; species Homo sapiens. The sequence continues at coordinate 186,847,599 of NC_000004.12, read as the reverse complement.
AGGAATACCAACAGGTAGATTGTTATGAAAGCACACAAAATGTGAGCCAAGTATGAGAGATCTGTGGCATTCAGAGAGACAGCATATACTCACACCAGCTCCTTTCAGCAAATAGGCAAGAAGATATGTGAAATCTTAGAATTAGCATCAGGGAGAAATTGTTATGGAGAAATTTGGGGCATGGGGACATTTGCACATTAAGGAAAAACAAGTTGCTAATAGTTTCAGGGAGTGGATAATAAATTGCGGGCCATTTAAAAAAATAAGACAAATTTCATTTCCCCTAGGTTCTCTTCCCAGGACATCACTGGTAATTATGTTTATAAATCATAACTGGTTCCTGACAATGGAAATTTTGATCTGCTTCTGGCAAAAAAAAAAAGTAATTTCTTTTTAAGTTCCCTTTGGCTGAATAGCTTTTAATTTTAAAAGGGTTGTAGGAATATATCCTTATGACACAGCTTTTAGCAGCAAAATTAAAACATATGCAGGTCAACTTAAACAATAAGTAGATTTATATACATGCATGTAATAGCATATGTATACGTATTTCCAATGTATACACATATACAAAATGGAAAATTTGTTCCTTTCCATTAGTAAAAGTCACAACCCACAGAGCATTCACTCATCTAATGTCACCTTTGTTTCTGACCCTTCCCCATTCAGAGTTTCCACGTGTAATGGGCAACATTTTGGTTTAAGAATGAGACTCTGAAATCTTCCGTGGTAATTTTATCCCATCCCTGCAATTGGATACAGTACAATGCTATTTAGAGGAAAGTAGAAGGGAAGTTCAGTGCATTACAATGTGCAAACTATAATTTCAGTCCCAATTTTCAGAAATTGTTCCGTTAGAAAAAATAACTTCACTGGAAGATTCAGCCCTGCACTATTTTTACACAACTCTCTAGGCATGTAAACTTAAAAGGCCTGAATTGCACAAAGAAATGATTTTCTGTTTGTTTTGTTAAGAACTCAGTTCCCTTAGCACTCAAGTGGAGAATGAAGAGATTGTCCTTTTTTTTTTTTTTTTTTTAAGATGACACTGTGATATCCAGAAGTGAGACAGGAAATTATAGCATTTGCCATTCGTCCAGGACTTAATGAGGCTAACTCATGTGCAAGTCACCATTTTAGACTATGAGATCGAATTTTAAGAAGAACATCCCATCACTTGAGCTATTTAATATGTCCTAGGGATTGCAAAATACAATAAAAACAAATACTTTTTGGATAATATTGCCACACAATATTACAATTCACAAATAACTATGTGGAGGAAGTCACCTAAGAAAGACGATGTTCAGGCTGGGCGTGGTGGGCCACATCTGCAATCCCAGCACTTTGGGACCCAAAAGCAGGAGGATCATCTGAGGCCAGGAGTTTGAGACAAGCCTGAGCAACAGAGCAAGACCCCATCTCCATAAACATTTTAAAAATTAGCCGAGCATGGTGGTGCACGCCTGTAGTCCCAGCTACTTGGGAGGTCAAGGCAGTAAGTTCACTTGAATCCAGGAGGTCGAGCTTGCAGTGAGCTATGATCCCACCACTATACTCCAGCCTAGGCAGCAGAGTGACATCCTGTCTCTAAAAGGAAAAAAAAAATGTACAAAAGACATGGTGGGGAGGTAGGGGGGTGGGGATGTGGTCGAATGAGCTTTTGGTGTGTCTTGAGTTGAGAATCTTCCTAAACTTTTAATCCCCAGGGAAAGGAATTTTAAAAACATAGTTCTTTCTTAGACATCACTGAACAACCTGCCTTTTAAGGTCTGCCATGAGGTATAACACATGAAATTGTTCAAAGGTAAGGAAATAGAGCGTGACAGGTGAGAAAAACATCTAACACATTCCTTCTCTTCTCTAACAGGTTTTCCTTGTGTTAACTCCCTTCTTCCCCCTTTGCTGTGGTGTCTACACAATCGGGCACTTTCTCTTCCAAACGCTGAGCCCTCATAAGTGCTCCCTGACGGAGGACTTAACAGAGAAGCAGTTGAAAGTAGACTTGGCTTCTGGCTCCTAAGATGATAAGAAAACTTTGCCATTTCCCCTTCATGTCCACTAGCTTTATCAGATGGAAGAAATGAGTGAATGACTCACAGTCACTAGCAAATCACAGGCGGAGGAGGCAGGGGCTGCCTTAGAGCCCTGTGGACTTCAGCGTGGCCTTTTGTCTCCCATGCCACAGCCTGTGTGGGACACATGGCAGGGACATCAGGGAGGCAGCCACTCTTGGCCCGCTCATCACCACCATCCACGAGACTCCACAGGTTCCACGAGGGGCATTAAAAATAACCCTGTCTACATGGGAGGCCTTACAAGAGTGGTGACCAGCATGACTCATTTTTATCTCTGTGGAAAAAGGAGGAAGTTGTTTATGTGGAGGGTGCTGCCTGCTGTAACAGGTCAAGGCATAATGAGAGAGCTCCAAATATTTAAAAGAATGAGCAATAGAAAGCAGTTTCCCCATTGCATTTTTACATTTTAACAAAGGAATGTTGAGACTTAAAGCATTCATTTTTACTTTAAAGCAGTTTCCCAGGCTATAAACTTTGACAGGTTTTCACACAAGTAGCAGACACTAATTTGAAATAAAACTAAATTCCATGCTGCTTGAAGTGAGCTGAAATAGATAATTCCACATAGTTTAAGAATTAAAATGTGTTATTCTTGGGGTCATTGCATTCTTGCAAGGTGGAAATTATTACATAATATTTCTCTGTGACAGCCTCCTCTTTGGGGTCATGAAAATAACATTTACCTTAAATGATCCATGCCAACATCGCTATACAATCAATAGCAACACTGTGTGGTTTTGAATCAGATGTACTTCTGATAACTGCCGTATAAAATGCATGAGCCTCACTTTTCCAACCCAAAATGAAAGTCGACATAGAAAAACAGCAAAAGATGTCAACAGACTGAACTCACACAGAGGGGAAAAAAGGAAAAAAACTTAGACAATGAAGGGTTGGCTTTGAAGTGGTCCATTCTTTATTAAGCTAAGGGACAGCCTGAATCCCTAGCATAGTTTACTTAATCCAGGTCCTTAAAAAGTTTTGGATTCGATTCAGATATGGTGAGCTCCTAAGCTGAACATTTCCACAGCTGACATGACTTCCTGGCTAGTGAGCTCGGCATTAGAAATGTCTGCAGGATACAGTCCACAGTGGCACAGCACAGAAAACCGGCGCTCCTCCCTCCTATTCCCAGGCTCCTGAGTGATACAATCAAGAGGGAACTGGGATTTGTAAGAAAGAAACAGAATCGACCTCCCATTGTGAATTTAGCCTCTCAGTCAGATTTTGAGCAAAAGTAAAGCAACAAAAACAAAAGTGCCAAGGAAGAATCCAGCCCTTTGTGCAGTTTCTCTTTCAGTAACCCCTTCCCAGCAGGCTTGGTTATCACAATGAGAAGTTAGAGACAACAAAATTAGCTATCTTTGAAGGCTACGTATGTTATGATATATGAGCCAACTGAAAACTAATTAACAGTTAAAAACGATTAGGCTGTGGCCAGGCACAGTGGCTCACGCCTGTAATCTCAACACTTTGGGAAGCTGAGACGAGGGGAAGGACTACTTGAGGCCAGGAGTTTGAGGCCGCAGTGAGCTAGGAGCACTCCATCCTGGGTCACAAAGCAAGACCCTGTCTCTAAAATAATAATAATAATTAAGTAAATTGTATGCATCAATATGTAAAAAATAACCAAAAAATAACCAAGACATTGAAACATTAAGTGAAAAAAAAAAGCCCATTTCCAATTACAGAGGATAAAAAGTCCATTTGTGTGCAAAAAAAAAAAAAAGTGGAAAAACTACACATACATATTTTAAAGTTTCTGGTCTTCCAGAAACCATCGTAGTCACTTTGGGCCAGGGGTCTGCAGTAGAGGCACTATGATCACTCTGGTCCGGATAATGCTTTGCTGTGGGAGATTGTCCTGTGCGTGGTGGGCTATTCTGCAGCAACCCTGGGCCATTCACTAGATGCAGTAGCGGCGGTTCCCCACAGATGACCAGATATCTCCAGACATTGCCAAACATCCCCTAGGAGGCAAAATCCTCCCCAGTTGAGAACTGCTGCTCTGGGGAATGAGGCTGGAAGAGGAATTTTACTTTTCATCTCTCTTCCTCTGTCTCATTCGATTTATTCTCGTTTCTTTGTTTGATTTTACCATGAACATGTACTACTTCTATAAGGAAAAAAATTCTTTTTCTGAAAAAAGTTGGAGGGGGGAGTTTACAGATCCACCTCCAAACTCATATATAACTTGGACAAAATGAACTGATCACCATAAAAATACTCCATAAAGCTGTGTTACCATTTTGATTTATTTAGTAGTTTCATGTGGTACATTTACTCCACAGACCCTAAGGCTCTGTAAAAAACACACATTTCATGCAAAAATCACAAGCATTCTTATACACCAATAACAGACAAACAGACAGCCAAATCATGAGTGAACTCCCATTCACAATTGCTTCAAAGAGAATAAAATACCTAGGAATCCAACTTACAAGGGACGTGAAGGACCTCTTCAAGTAGAACTACAAACCACTGCTCGATAAAATAAAAGAGGATACAAACAGATGGAAGAACATTCCATGCTCATGGGTAAGAAGAATCAATATCATGAAAATGGCCATACTGCCCAAGGTAATTTATAGATTCAATGCCATCCCCATCAAGCTACCAATGACTTTCTTCACAGAATTGGAAAATACTACTTTAAAGTTCATATGGAACCAAAAAAGAGCCCGCATTGCCAAGTCAATCCTAAGCCAAAAGAACAAAGCTGGAGGCATCATGCTACCTGACTTCAAACTATACTACAAGGCTACAGTAACCAAAACAGCATGGTACTGGTACCAAAACAGAGATATAGACCAATGGAACAGAACAGAGCCCTCAGAAATAATGCCACATATCTACAACCATCTGATCTTTGACAAACCTGACAAAAACAAGCAATGGGGAAAGAATTCCCTATTTAATAAATGGTGCTGGGAAAACTGGCTAGCCATATGTAGAAAGCTGAAACTGGATCCCTTCCTTAAACCTTATACAAAAATTAATTCAAGTTGGATTAAAGACTTACATGTTAGACTTAAAACCATAAAAACCCTAGAAAAAAACCTAGGCAATACCATTCAGGACATAGGCATGGGCAAGGACTTCATGTCTAAAACACCAAAAGCAATGGCAACAAAAGCCAAAATTGACAAATCGGATCTAATTAAACCAAAGAGCTTCTGCACAGCAAAAGAAACTACCATCAGAGTGAACAAGCAACCTACAGAATGGGAGAAAATTTTTGCAATCTACTCAGACAAAGGGCTAATATCCAGAATCTACAATGAACTCAAACAAATTTACAAGAAAAAAACAAACAACCCCATCAACAAGTAGGTGAAGGATATGAACAGACACTTCTCAAAAGAAGACATTTATGCAGCCAAAAAACACATGAAAAAATGCTCATCATCACTGGCCATCAGAGAAATGCAAATCAAAACCACAATGAGATACCATCTCACACCAGTTAGAATGGCGATCATTAAAAAGTCAGGAAACAACAGGTGCTGGAGAGGATGTGGAGAAATAGGAACACTTTTACACTGTTGGTGGGACTGTAAACTAGTTCAACCATTGTGGAAGTCAGTGTGGCGATTCCTCAGGGATCTAGAACTAGAAATACCATTTGACCCAGCCATCCCATTACTGGGTATATACCCAAAGGATTATAAATCATGCTGCTATAAAGACACATGCACACGTATTTTTATTGTGGCACTATTCACAATAGCAAAGACTTGGAACCAACCCAAATGTCCAACAATGATAGACTGGATTAAGAAAATTTGGCACATATACACCATGGAATACTATGCAGCTATAAAAAATGATGAGTTTATGTCCTTTGTAGGGACATGGATGAAGCTGGAAACCATCATCCTCAGCAAACTATCACAAGAACAAGGAACCAAACACTGCATGTTCTCACTCATAGGTGGGAATTGAACAATGAGAACACATGGACACAGGAAGGGGAACATCACACACCGGGGCCTGTTGTGGGGTGGGGGGAGGGGGGAGGGATAGCATTAGGAGATATACCTAATGTAAATGGCGAGTTAATGGGTGCAGCACACAACATGGCACATGTATACATATGTAACAAACCTGCACGTTGTGCACATGTACCCTAGAACTTAAAGTATATAAAAAAAAGAAAAATTTCAGAAAACACATTTCTAAAATTTTTATCGCCAAAGAATGACTGCAGCAAAACCGGTGGGGAAAGGGACAGCCAAATCAGGCTATTTAATGCATGCGACAAGCATTCACTTCCGGGGTGAAGAATTCCTTTCCGGCCTACAGACCCCGCCCTCACAAAACTGCGGGCAAGTGAAGCGTGCTTCAGCCTCTTCCTCCCCGCGCCTGTCAGTTCACTCTCACTCGCTCATTCACTGCAGCATGAGCATGCCGAGGACCGTGCCAGATCCTGGGTTCCTCGGGGCAGTGAGGGGCCGGATTAATCTATGCCTCCGTCCTTACCCGTGACCTGTGCACTTGAACATCCTATTCCAAGACAGAAAAGTACTCACGGGGTAGCTCCAGGGACCAGCAGCTCCGGCAGGGACCCCCAGGGAACAGGGCTGCCTGCCAACTGGGACCCCAAAGGCTGCTGGTGAGCCCAGGGCAAGGCCGCTGCACCTGCGCCAGGGATGCTTGAAATCCACCGAAAGGGGACAGCCACGTGCTTCCCCTCAGGGATGGAGAGCCTGAGTTGGGTGTGGACCTCAACACTTCCTGAAAGTGAAAACTGAAAGTGTTTGGACAAACTGAGGAGAAAGTGAGCAACACACCAAAAAGAGCGGTGATGGGGAGGGGAGAAAGAAGGGAGGAGAGAAGGAGTCGGGGGAGGAAGGGAGAAGAGGGAGGGAGGAGGAGGGGGAGAAGGAGAGGGAGGGAGAGGAGCGGGAGGGGGAAGAAGGGGGAAAGAAGAGGAGGGAGAGGGAGGAGAAGGAGGGGAAGGGGGGAGGGAGAAGGAGGAGAGAAGGAGAGGGAGTGGGGAGGAGAAGGAGGCGGGAGGAAGGCGAGGGGTGGGAGATGGAAAGTGGAGAGGACTGGGGAGGGGAGAAGGAGGCAGAGTGGGAGGGGAGAACTTTCAATAAAGTTGCACAAGCTCATTGAAGGAGGAGAAGGAGGGGGAGGGAGGAGGATGGGGAGGGAGATGGAGCGGGGTCGAGAGACAGCAGTAGGAGAGAAAGCAGTCCAGAAGGAAGGGTCCTGGGGAAATGGGCATCACAGTGTCTCCTGGCAGGAGGGTGGTGGGTAAGGAATTTCGACAGTGGACTTGGATAGATTGGGAAGGGCCTCAAGGTAAAGGGTGTTTTCCTACATCCCGGAACAAGTAGTGAGTTGTAAGGACAGGGTTGATAAACTCCCACTCAGGAAAGTTAGAGACATGAAGAAGTAGGTTCCACTGTTTAAAAAAAAAAAAAAAAAGTCGTATATGTCTTATTCAAGTCACCCTATTTTAATTTCATAGTCATCCATTATTCCGTCTCTGCTTTCCTCAGCCTTCAGCCAAGCGGTGACTCTCCCTCTCCCAGTTCCGTGGGTGGCTGGGGTCATGGGGGTGTTCTGTGGCTTCCCTCCCTCTCTCCCACCTCTCTGTTTTTCAGAGTGTGGCCCTCTTTACCCCACTCCGTAAAAGACACTGTCATACATGAACGCCGTCTGTGTGTGGCCCTGGAGCCCCTCCAGCCAGATACTAACAGCCACAGCCAGAAAAGGCAAAACATGGATTATAAACTTCAGTGTTAATGTTAGGACTAGCAGTGGCCATGGTGCTTACGCTATTTCTTCTGAAACAGGAACAGAAAGAATAAATGTTCTGGGTTTTTATGAAATGAGTCATCATTGGCAAAAAATTTCTGATCGTTGTATTGCAAGTCATTTGTATTAACTTCTGAAAATATCTGTTTTCTTAATACGTGAAAAAGCATAAAATCAAGAATTTGCCATTTAAAAAATAGACAATACTTTCCGCCCCCCCTTTAAATCCTATTTATGGCAACATTTAAATGACTTACCACAAATTGAAGTGTTAAGAATTATGAAAGAGCCAACTGGAGGCTCCCTTATATCACTGCTCCTATTCTGAAAGAAATGGAGCTCTTTCAGCCATTTTCAGTATTTCCAAGAGTTAAACAGAAATCATAAGTTCACTTTCAATAAAGTTGCACAAGCTAATTGAAATGTCAAGCATTGATTCTGCCTGGGATTGTATTAATGTAATGTGGCAACACCGCTTATCTCTTGCAGATCAAGATTTCTGTTAGAGAGAAAAGAGAAGAGAAGGGAAAAAGGAAGAAGAGAGGGAGAGAAAGAGAAAAGGAGCAAGATTTAGCTCTAGACTTGAGCCAATCTGTTACATTAAGCAATTTTAATCTCAGTAGGTCTGTTTTCTCATCTGTAATTTGGGCACAATCCTGACTTCATGGTGCTCCAGTGAGCTTTGGGAATAATCCATGTTAGCACTCATAGCGTGGAATCACCAACATTTTTTGAGTGCTTACTATGTCCTAGGCCCTGTTCTAGGTGCTTTTCATGGATTCATTAAAAAAATCATGAATTTGGCACACGTATTATCCTCCTCTTAGAATGAGGAAATTGAGATACAGAGCAGTTTGTAAGAACTTATGTGTAAGTCCACACAGCTAATGAACTGGGGTTCTAACCAAGGTAATCCGGTTAAGAGCCCATGCTCTTTGCTGCAAATCCATGTCCTTAACCACACTGTACTGTTACCTTAATAGGAGAAATATGAAGCTATTGTGTGATCAATTCTGTCAGTACTATTATTCCATGTCACTTTTATTAAAAATGAGAAAAAGAAATTGCTATCAAATAAATATATCATGTTTAGTAGACAAAACTTTTCAAATCTCAGGATCTGTGGTGGTAAAATGGTTGGTAATCATTGCACTGTAATGGGGAATTTGACATTTTATAGTCAGTCATTAATTTAGCTACTAGGATGACTCTGATATAAATGGACTTCCTATCATTCATTCATTTTTTCAATCATTCATTCATTCACCAACTACATGTCAAGCACTGCACTATATGCTGTTATGTGAACAGATCGCTATGTCATCAAGTCAAATACAGTGTTATTCTGAAACCACAATGTACTTGTAATTTATGTTTTAATACTCGTTAAATAACAAAACATAGATTCCTAAGTGTATGCTCTGAAATCACAAATCCTGCATTTGATGTACTTTTCCATTTGGTTTGTGTTACTAATTTTTAATTTACTTACGTGCCATTACACAAAAAAAATGTATTTTCGCAAACACACAAAAGGTCTCATGCTACCTCTGAGAAGATTTAATGAATTAATGTATTGCAAACGAATTAATGTAATACAAATAAATAAGAAAAAATTATCCCCAAATAATCCTTACATACAATGGATTTTAAAACAAAAAATACATAAGGCATAGGTCCTAATACACAGTTCTTATAAATCAACTTGGAAATTTTTTTTTTAAGTAAAAAATTTCTAACTACAACCAATTAGAATGCAATTAGCTGCAGTGGATAGCACATTTCCAATTGTCCAACAGTAAGTTATTCGGTTGACAGGTTAACCATGCTCCTTGTGCCGCCATTTTCTCATTTTCTGCTTCCCTGAATCTCTTCCTTTAGCCTAGTGCCTTTCATGAATGTGTAAAGATAAGAGCCTGCAAGAACAGAGTTTTGAGGTGGAACTCGTTGAGACACTTTGGCTCCTCGTTAGCAGTTCTTACAGGAAATAGCCCAGTGAGTTACTTGAGGTTTCACATGCCAGAGTGAAGCCTCCTTTCAGTAGTTAGGCTGCCTCTGTATGACATCTTTACAGCTTGAAAATGCACATATACACCATGGAATACTATGCAGCCATAAAAAATGATGAGTTCATGTCCTTTGTAGGGACATGGATGAAATTGGAAATCATCATTCTCAGTAAACTACCACAGGGACAAAAAACCAAACACCGCATGTTCTCACTCATAGGTGGGAATTGAACAATGAGAACACATGGACACAGGAAGGGGAACATCACACTCTGGGGACTGTTGTGGGGTTGGGGGAGCGGGGAGGTATAGCATTAGGAGATATACCTAATGCTAAATGACGAGTTAATGGGTGCAGCACACCAGCATGGCACATGTATACATATGTAACAAACCTGCACGTTGTGCACATGTACCCTAAAACTTAAAGTATAATAATAATAATAATAATAATAATAATAATAAAAGAAAATGAATTCCTACCTCCATACTTAACAGATCATGAACCTGGAGCCCAGGCAAGGTAGGTGAGTTGCTCAAGGTCATTCAGTGAGAGAACACCACGGTCAAGGTGAGAACCTAGGCTTTGCTCTAATGCCCCAACCTGTTCTTTCCCCCTCCTTTATAATATTTATGCAGACACATCTTCCCAGGACATTTTATTTCTTCAGTATTTCATTGTAGTGAGGAATTGAGTGACTTCACATCAATTAGCATTATTAGCAAACAAGAACGCTAATAATTACAATAAAATTCATTTATTTGAACAACAGTTTTGATTTTTTTTTCCATTGATGGGGTAAACCAGTGTTTATCAATTATTTGCATATAAAATCCTTCCAATTGCTTTAGCAAATAATGGCTGTCTAACACAATGGATAGCAAAAGTTCACTTTTTCCAAGAGCATTTAGTATAGAGCAAATGACTTGAATCTTTTTGGAAGGAGACATAAAATAGGAAAAGAAAGGTAGAAAAGAAAAAAGAGGGAGGAAGAGAAAAGAGAGGGAGGAAGAGAAAGAGGAGGTGCTAATTTTATCATAAGGATTCAGTTCTTCAAGGAAATAATATTTGAATTCACTGGAAATGATTTTTATCATAGATTCTTAGTGTTTGTCAGGAAACTTAATAATATGCAACCATAATCTCCATTTACATTTATCTAAAATGTGTTCTTTAATAGATTACAAAGGCAAACTCTCTAAACTGATACACTTATAAACTATTATTTATATGAGATCATCAGCCTCAGAACAAAATTAGTTTCCCAAAGTTTGACCATTAATTTATCTCTGCTTTAGGGAGCATAGTGTAAATAATTCGATATTTTTAAATTGCCTGCAAAATTCTAGGAAGATAAATGATTAAGATAATTTAATGTAATTTATGTTTAGAATTATACAATCAAATATATCCTACATTCATATATTATCTAGGGATCTGGTGGTAATACTTTTCTAACACATTTTGTTCCATTCATCCTTGGCCTACTTTTATTTGTTCATTTTAAAAGTTTGATCATTCACTTAACTTTGATCTATAATTTCTCTAAATTTTATACATACAAAATCTCTAAACGTCTTCAGTTGCCAGTGTAACAAACATTTATTCAAACATTGTACCTCTAAGAATTAAAAGCAGCTAATTCTTTTTATATATGTTAAAAGTATGAATAAAATTTGGAACAAAAGATACGCTTCATTTCTTATACATAATGGTAAATTAATTGTATTTTCAAAAATAAAATTTTTAATATCCAATAAAGAAGCCAAAGAACTTTTAGTGCATTTAAATAAACTTTTTTCTGATAAATATTTTTTGTACAGTTGCTTTTAAAGGTGCACAATTTGGTTTGTTATGCAAATTTTGTTTTTCCTGAGCTATTCAGATACTTTAAAATATGCATATAAGCTAGCTAGTCATTTTGAATAAAAAGAAAAATAAATGGAGAAATGATTATAACACTGTGAGTATTTATGCCTTTTAAAAATAGAATAAATGCCTAAATATTTGAATTTAGTCTCTGTTGACATAATTTCAAAGACTGGTATTTAAGTAGTTTATTAAGTTATATTTCTGGGGACATTCATAGTACAAATTCAGTGATCATTGTTTTTCTTGAGTTCAGCTGTGGCGTACATAAATGGGGCAATTTAAAAAAATAGTTAAAATAAGTTCCAGCTACTCTGCTGAGGGGTTTTCATGCATTACCTGTTTATTTTCACAATTCTGTGGGGTATAGCTATGTTTATTATCCTCATGTTACAGAAGAAGAAACAGGTTTACATAAACAGCTTGCTTCACAGCTCAGCTTATAGGTGTCCGAGCTGAGATTTGAAGCAAGTTCTGGCTCTCAGTTCTGTCCACGAGTTAACACTTGACTACACGGTATATAAGTTTACTTAAAGAGTCACTTTATAAAATCTATCTAAAAGTCAAAATTCTTCAAACTCTGCATACCCATGCAAGAAAATGGAAAAGATCATTCTCTGGATAATTGAAGAAAATGCTTCTTTCACCTAAGCCGACTAGGTTAGTTGGTAAGAAGTTTGCTATTACTACCTGGATTATCCTCTTTGCCACCTCATCTTTGAAACAGATAACTGAATTGGGTAATAAGACTTTGTGAGCATCACGCTAGGGAAAACTGGTTGATTAGATCAATTCAATGATGTAATTCTATTTTTTTTAATCAACCGAGTTGAATATTTGAAGTTAAATAGTCAAAAATAAAATTTTAATGAGTATTTTTCTTATTCTCATATGCAGCCTTCAACGTTTAAAAAAATTTCTGGATTTGTTTTTGATTTGGTTTCCATACTAATACTGGATGTCTTCTACTGTTTTTATCTTTGCCAATCATAATAATCTCTCTCTCTCTCTCTCTCTCTCCCCACCCCTCACACCTGCCCCCCATGCACACACACACCTTCCGTCTTTCTTTTGCATGTCTTATGTTTACTTTGTAATCTCTTTTTGTAAATTAGGTAAAATAGCCAATTTTTCATCAAATGCTTAACATATTAGACAATCAACATGCTTTGCCTTAAAATAAAGAATTGGAAGTCAGAGAGATGGAAGGGTGTGAGCAGGAGGAGAGGAAAGCCACACAGTATTACCACAGGAACACAAGCCATGTAACATTAGCCTGGGATAGAAAATCAAACAGGAGACTTCCAGAGGAATGCCTAGGATAGAACCTTTAGCTTTTTAATTGCTGTAGCGGTATACTCAGCCTTCAATAAGATCTTCTACACACACATATATTGAAAAGAGTTTGGGCGTAGATGAAAGAAAAGTGCTGAGCTCCATGTTTGGGTCAGCAGGAACCTCAAAAGCAAAGGGCACAACAGTGAAACGATCCTGAATGAAGTCATTTAGTGGAGACAGAATGAGGAGTGGAGGGAATATGAGAATATATAACCAAAGGAATTTTCAGAAATCTTAGAGATGGCCTTGCCCTTTCAGTGTTCTCTGGAAAGGAGGAATTATGTCAATTTTATCTATATTTTAAGGGGCAAAATGTCCCCAGCTAACTTTGGAATTATCATTTCTTTCAAGAATAATTCATCCTAAAATGAATTAATTGCTGAGTTTTTAGGCAAGAGGCAAAAGAAGACACTGAGATTTTTTTGCTTTGAGAAGCAAATATTGTCAGAGTAGTGCTCAAAAGGCCAAAAGAATAGTTCTAAATATATAAACTCCCTGACAAACAAATTTAACCCCTAATAAGACAAACAGAATACTCTATGGGTATACTATCTCTAGAAAAATGTTTTAGGCTATTTCTTCCTGCTAATATCTTAGAATTGGCAAAGAACAAAACCTGTTTTGACAAATATTTTTCTTTTTATTATTGGCTATTTCAAAGTTAAAATTGCTTATATGACCTGGTTTATTACCCTGAATTTTTTACGCACATCAGGAAACGTGATGATGACGAGTTTTCTCTCCACTTTCCCTCCAGTCACCTGCCACCTGGACTCCGATTGCACACACATAGACCTATTTATTTATTTGTCATCAGATGCTATCCAGGATATAGAGTGTGCCCAAGAGAAGGAGCTGTCAGTTTCTCCCTATCCAAAGTTGGTTGCTACACAAATGACTGGAATGAACCATGGGCCAAGAGAATGTGAGGGCACAAGAATGGCCAGACACAATCCTCTCCTTGCACTCCCCAGACCCACTCAGGCTTTCCATTAAAACTTGTCTGCCAAGAACCTTCAGGGTATGAGCTGACCACAGTCTCTTCCACAGACTTAATACAGGAAGAATATGGGAGGAAGAGTGGAAGAAACTTCTGACCCACTACTCCAACTGATCCGTCCTCCAGGACTCATTCTCAATATCCTCATTCTTGGCTACCAGTTCAGCAGGTCTAAGCTGATGACCTGGTGAAGTAACCCAGACCTTCATCTCTAAGAATCGGAGTATTTAGTTGCCTTACCATTGTTGGGCATTTATAGTTATTGAGGGCATGGAAGTATGGAGACATCTCATTGAATTTCCTGGCTTCCAGACATGTATCTTCCTGCCTTTGTTATGTAGCAGCAACTCTGACTCTCTATGGTAACAAACACAAAACTCCCGTCTTTATCTGATGATCCACTATCATGAACTATTCAAAATGACCTGGCAGTGGTCATGGTTTCAAGTTCAGTGGTATTCTTATCATATCATCCAGAAATGCATCTCCACCCTTACCCTAGGAACCAGGACCTCTAATCCAGTAGAGCAATAAGCTGACAAGAATAAGAAGTACTAATTCTGCAAATGAGTCACTGGGAGTGATGGAGCCAATCTTATTTCTATTCCTTGTTTCCTGAACCTGTGTATTCTGTTAGACAAAGTACCATATATTGATTGTTGCTTCAATAAATACAACTTCACCCTGAAGACAGCAACCCAATCCTGTAGAGTGTGTTCTCAAACTGGTACCTTACATAAGTCTTTAATAAGTCATTTTCTTCTCCTTCTATGAGGCCAGGTGCTCCTGGGTTGTGTTTGTACATGATCCAGGGGACCTCAAGGTTACATACCCACTGTTGCGTTTCTTTGCAAAAAAACAAAAGCAGATGGGGGTCCTTAGATCTGAAGCACTGTTGCAAAAACCAATACTGGTAAACCAGGCATTCTGAAATGCCACCCTAAGATGGTGGCTCTGGGAGAGACACTGCAGGCAAACAAGGAAAACCCAAACCCAGAGTTTCCATCATTTCTGGTAAAGAAGAATGTTTATCCCTGCCAGAGTAGAGGGTTCGATGATCACACTTCAACCAAGTGGCTGGCCTCTCCTCACAGGGTTCGCAGCATTAGCGTCTGTTGCTGGCAGGTTGGGCACTGAGTACTGGCAGCAGCTAGGTCAGCCTGGGGCCATGCATAGTCCCCCTTCCCACCACAATGGCCACACTACTCATAGTCCCATTGCACAAGAATGGGGTAGTCAAGGCCTGTGGCTGTCTTGCCTGCATGATCAGTCATGATGCCCAACAGGCTATTCAAGGCTCTTCTGTGTTGATGTTCTGTGATGGGAATTATCTTAGGACACAAAGACGGACACATTTTGTGCCCACTCCCATTTATGGATCGATATCCCTCTTCCTTGGATTTCCTTATTTCCAGTTTTCTAATTTTGCTCCTTCTAAGCCCTTGACCAACTGGCCAAGCTATTTAACACTGCCCTGAAGCCCATATTTACCCTAAAGCTCCGTATAATACTAGCATTCCGGTATGCTGCTTGCAGTTTTGTCCACTGGGAGGATCTTCCTTCATCGTGGTTCTGTAAGGCCATCCCTAAGTGAGCGGCAGTACGGCTGCAGTCTACTTATGGCTAGCACCAAGATACTGAGCTGATCCACCTGGGACCCAGGCCTAATTTTGTTCTTCCTCTGCCGATTGGTCATAGGGAGCCCCCATGAGACCATAGCTATAACAAAGGAGTTATAACATAGAGAACAAAGGATTCTGAGTCACATACTAAATGTGTCTCACCTGTGGCTCCTGAGCCTACTTGAGGCTCATCAGAAATGTACCATTTCCATCACAAGAGACATTGCTGCTGCATCCACCTGGACTGATAATATCCAGCTCACCATGGACATCACCCCAGTCATGATGTCCCATGATCAGGTGCTCAGTCTCTAGTAGGGCCCAGCAACACTGCAATAGCTACCCTCCCAACAGTTACCTTTTCTTTGCTGCAGAATACATGGTCTTGTTCCAGACCTCTAGTAGGCTATGCTGTAACCCTCCCTTGAGGGGTTCATCATGGATTTTTCTAGCACCACTGGATATAAAAGTCTCTATAAACACTGCCCTGGGGACTTTTGCTTTCCCAGCATTCCTTGATGTGACAGTTGGCCAGCCTGAGCCTGTGGCTTTCACTGAGAGTAACTGTGCTGCTCCGGCATGGAAGGGCTTCCCTGACTTGCCGACAGCAGTGGTGCTCTTATCACTCTCTGGCCTGTGAATGATCCAGCTCCTGATCCTCATCCTGAAGATCTGAATTCTAAGTCAATTCTGGTACCAAACAGAAAGCTGTATGCATGTGCTTTATTTGTGGAATCGATCCTAGGAAACAGGTAAGGAAGAGCACAGAAAGGAAAATAGGAACAAGGAAAGAGCTAACACAGGGATGCAGGTTTCAGCTGGTTACAGCTGATGCCAGTTGGGCCTTGACAGCTGACATCTTAGAGGAGCTGTGTGTCCTGCACTTGAGGCACAGAAAGCAGACCTTTTTAGCCACTGACTCCATCTCCCCAGTTAGACATACTTGAATGCAAATACCCCAGGCTCTGGTGACAGAAAGGCTCCAAGGAAGAAAGTGAGATATACGCAGTGCAGTGAGGCCAAATTGCTGCAGAGAACCTGTGTAAAGCTCATTGCAGCAACAGTGGTTAGAGCAAATGATGGGCTAAAAGGATAGGAAGTCAAATGCAAGAGATGTCCTATGCAGATGGCTCCAATGTCATTTTGTCCTGCATACAGATTGAATTATAATTCACTGAGGTAGAAAAAGACTGTGTGAGAAGCAGGTTTTGGGGAGAAAAATAAGAGTTGGATTTTGGACTTGTTACACTTGAGATGAATGTTAGGCAACCAAACGTAAAGGTAAGTGGGCATCGAGACAGACAAGTTCAGAGTAGAGGTCCAGGCTGGAGAAACAAATTTTGGAGTTGACTATATGGATGGTATTTAAAGACTAGCTGTGGACATCAAAGAAATGAGTGGTCTCAGGACCAAATGTTGTGACAATATAAAGAATCCAGGAAAATGAGGAAAAACCAAACAAAATAAATTGAGAAAGAGAGGTGGTGAATGAGGAAGAAAGTTGAATTGTGGAGCTCCGGAAGCTGAATGAAAAAGCGTTACAAGGAAAAGAGAAGAATCAGTTATGTCAAATGATGGATATAGGTCAAGTAAGATGAGGACTTAGAGTTGAACATTTGGATTTAGCAACATAGAGGTCACTGATGGCTCTTTCAAGAAGATTGTAAGGGTGCTGTGTGAGGTGCTAAATGCCCGATTGGAGTGGGAAGAGAAAACTGGAAAGGGAAGGGGAGATATTACTGGCAACTCCTTGAAGGAGTTTTAACTGTTCAAGGATGGTAGGGAAATAAAGCAGTAGCTGGAGGGGAACACAGTCTAGAGAGATTTGCTTGTACATTTTAAGATGCAAGAAATAATATTTCATGAGCTGATAAGGAATGAGTCAACAGAGAAGAAAAGCTGATGACGCATGAGAGAGGAGAGAATTACGGGGGTTCAATGTCCTTGAGTAAACAAACAGAAGCGAGATCTATTTTCGCTCTGTACAGCTACCATAACAAATGACCACAAGCTTGACAGCTTGAAACACAAATTGATGATCTCGAGGTTTCTGAAGCTCTGTAGGGATTGAGAGGACTTGGCTGATCCCTCTGCTCAGGATGCCACAAGGCCAAAATCGAGGTGTTGAGCAGTCTGAGCTCTTATGTGAAGCTCCAGGGAAGAATCCACTTGCAAACTCTCTCAGGTTGTTGGAAGATCAGTTCCTTGTGTTTGTAGGACTGAGGTCCCTGCTTCCTTGCTGGATGACAGCAAAGAGACTCCCTCAGCCTTTAAGATCTCCCACATTCCTTATCACATTGCTCCCTCTGTGATAACCAACAACAGCACATCAAGTCCTGCACGGGTATTGAATCTTGCTGACTTCTGCTGCATCTCTCTGTTTTCAGGCATAGAAAGTTTCTGCTCTAGAGGCTCATGTGATTAAATGGAGCCCACATGGATGGTCCAGGATAATCTCCCTATTTTCATGTGTAACCTTAATTACATCTGTAAGATCATTTTTTGCTATGTAACAATGTAGCCACGGGTGCCATGGATTAGGGCATGGGGGTTTTAAGGGAGACCTCTCTGCCTACCACAGGAACCACCGTATTGGTTTCAGACAGGAAGCAGAATAGAATAGGCAGTCGCCATACACGCTACAGATGATAATGGAGCAACACAGGTGGCAGCTGATGAAGTTGTCTTACGACTGCTCCTATTTTCGCAGTGATGTCATGTCTTAGTCCATTTGGGCTACTATAACAAAATATCATAGACTGGCTTATAAACAGTAGAAACTTACTTCTCACAGTTCTAAGGACTGGGAAATCCAAGATCAAGGCATCAAAAGAGCTCATTCTCTAATTCATAGATGGCATCTCCTCACTGCATCCTCACATGGTGGAAAGAGAAAGCAGCTCCCTTCGGCCTCTTTTATAAGGGCACTAATCCTAATTATCTCCTAATGGCCCCACCTCTTAACACTATGGCAGTGAAGATTAAGTTTGAACACGTGAATTTTCTGGGGGCACAAGTACTCAGACCATAGCATGTGGGTGGTAAGGACAGCAGATAAGTGGGGTTTGAGAAGAGAGATGGTGTGAAATGGGAGGAGGGAGAGGTGAATGGACTAAATGTAGCATTATATCCAGGCAGGATGAAGGGTTTCACTGATTTTCATGGCCAAGAATCTAAAGAGGGACCAGTTATGGCAGTGTTATTAAGCATCCTAGCTGCAGGAATAGAAAAGAGAGGATCAAGATAAGAAATACTGCAAACTTAGTGACTAAATGAATATGTAGGGGGAGGGAAAGGAAGAAATCCTATCTAGGGGATGGGTAACATTTTACACAAATAAGGCACACTTCATAGAAGTAAGAATGTCTGAGGCATAGGAAAACTAGTTTGGGGGGCATTGGGGTGGTGGTAATTCAATATCGGACATATTGTGTTTGACGGAATGGTGGAGCATTGTCAGCGAAGCCAAGATGTAGGCTTGGAGCTTGGGAAAGGGACAGGACCCAGAGATGCAAACAGGGAATTCTTCAAGGAGATGGGAGCTGGAGCTATGGGAACAGATGCATTTTCTAATCACCTACATCTTAGGGTTACAATAAGATTATAGATTATATAATAATACAATAAGATTATAGATAATATAGGTAATAGAATATAGATAATACAGATAATGACGGTAGATAATGCCCTATACATACTGCCTTGCATACAGTAAGCATTCAATAAATATTAACTCAATGTTATTTTCATTATCATTATAAAATGGTAGCACTGAAATTCAAACTTGGCTCTTTCTGACTCCAAATGCTATGTTTCTACCTATGCGACACTTAGGTTAAGGGTAAACAAGACATAAAACCCATTTCACATTTATATTATTCCTTCTCTGCTTATCTTTTTTAAAAGACAATCTTTGTTTGAAGGGCAATAGAAGTTCAAGATATTACTGATAAATATGAAAGGTGCTAACCAAAATTCTGTATATTCAATCAGTACTCCATATAATGACATACGAACAAGTTGAAATAAGCAACTATCATTTCCAGCCCAATGTGTTTTGTGCTTTGTTATATTAATATATAGTCTTTGACATGAAACTATTAGGAATGTCGATACGACATATTCAAGACTCCTAGATGTCCATTCTACAAGCCATTTGAGTTTTTTCTCAGTGACTAATACGAGGCATATTAGTAGGCAATGCACGGGCTGAATGAGACATAAAAGTGTGCTTTCGGTGGTCATCTTAAGAAGTGTCACAGGCAGCAAAACGTTGTTTATTTTGAATTTCTCTGGCTGGGTACTAACCACTGAGCCATTATTTATCAAAGACATGAAACTGGGAATCTGTGATGCCCACACCAGCTGTGACATCACAAGCTAAAACTCCCTGAGCCTGAGCAGCATTCTCTTGTCCTCACCCTGCGTGCAGCTGGCCTCCATCCCAACAGCAGCCCTTCTCCACGGCACCCGCTTCACAGGCCCTGCTCTCCTTCTGCAGAGACGCCCACCAGCCCCCGATTCCGTAAACACTCCCAACAGCTTCTGTACTCATGTGTCTTTTCCCCCAGCTCCATTAGGGGCAGGTGCAGCCTGCTTGCCTGATGTCCATCTTTTAGTTTAACACAGAGGTATTGTTTCAGACTTGCTAATGTATGGGGAACACATGCAGTTCAATACATTTGCCAAACAGATTACAGCTTGCTTCAGTTTGGTGTGTGTGTGTATATAATTTTTTTTTCAAATACTGACCCACTTGCACTCTCGAATTTCTATTTTTGGCTTCAGTTTTTTTATAATGGTATGAGAAAATCTTACTACTCATCCGTAAGCATTTCAGAGCCCATGTGTAAGCAGTGTTACCATAGACCATTGCCAGATGACAGGCAGAGGCTTCCTCGGGCACCAGGAGGACAGTGCGGCCTCTAGCAACTCCCTGCATAGGCGAGTTTTAGAAAACATTTTTATTCCATTGTGCGCATTTTAGAAACTTCCTTTATCCAGGAGTGGATTTATCTTTTTATCTGTGAATGAGAAGGCAGAGGAGGTGGTGACAATGAAGAGAGCAAATGTCTAAATGACCAGCCCAGTCATTTCTAAAATTGGGTGTAAAATCTCCCAGATTCTATTAATTTTTTTTCTAAGAGGTGACTTCTTCAATGTCCTAGATTGTGTGTATGTGTGTGTCATCCTAGCCCCTGCTTTGCCAATATTCTCACATGTCTTTATCTCCTGATCCAAACCTCATTTCCAGATGAAACTAATACCATAGGGATTAAAGTGAAAATGCAAGTGAGAATCCACAATACTTTACCAAATGCATAATGATTTTCAGGCAATATATATTTATAATGCCTTATGGTTTGAAGGCAATAAAATAGATGACCATGTTTATGCCTCAGACTCGTCCTCTGAGCAGTATCCTCACTTAGAGCAGACAAGACTGAAGCTCATGAAGAAACTTGCCCAGAGTTATGTAGACAGCATCAGGTAGAATTATATATCACTGACAATATTCAACCATTCTGAGCTGCAATTTCATATAGTTCCACCTGGTAAGGATCCAGAGCTCTCATATTTCCATGCTTGGATTCTTACTATATGTTATCTTTTAAATGCCATAATAAAGGTAATGATTAGATCATTGCTATAAAGCACTTAAAAATAATATTTCTGGCAACTTGTTACCTGCCTCAGCCTTAAAATGAACTTGATTACATGGCCATAAGTTAAAAAGCTTTACACACTAGCCAAGGTAAACAGTGAGGGACAAGAAGGTAAAACAAAACGTTATAGAAGTATGTAGGCTTCATTAAACAGCACAAAACTCTGAGTTTCAGTACGATGGAAGCAGAAATTTCATGAGTCACTCTCTCAAAGAAATAACAGCAAAATAATGGAACTGAAGCCCCCAGATCTGTGAGTGGAATGTTTGTTTTGTGCAGGAAAAAAAGGTAGTTACCGAGTTTCTAAAAATTGGGTTTATTAATTCTTTTTATATGAGTCTTTCACTATATGCCCTTTACAACTTTAGTAGTTTAAAAAAATTATTTTTACTTAAATTCCTGAGATATTTCATTGTTCTATGACTGTATTACTATAATCATTTGTTTATCATTCATGTATCAACTTGATAAATAGGAACACACACATACACACACTGGAAAAAGTGCTTACAATTTGTAAATGAGAAACATAAATCTGGTAATACAGCCTAGGCTACTGTGATGATGGTTACATTTCAACTCAAATTGTATCACCACCATTTCCCAAAGTAAAAAACAGTATCTTTTTATAGACACTGCAAAATAATGGTTTTAAGTACTATAAAATGCTAAATTATAATAATAGAAGATATTACTTCACATGAACAAATAAGAGAACATTTATGACTCAATTTATTAGTTTATAACTCTTAAACAATTTAATTATTAATTTATTAATTAATTATTAGATAAAGGAGATAAAATTCAATGGGATCCTAAGGCTATTGTTAAAATCACTTTGCTAATTTCGAACATGAAAGACAAAGTTAGGAAATAGCTAGTCTAGCCCCACTCCCATTTTGCAGATGAGATAACTGACCATTAGAACACAGATCAAAAGGATTTTACCAGTTCAAAAGTTTACCACATTCTTTGAACTCAATTCTTATCTTCCAGCTTCCTGTATTATCAGCCTCTACCATAATCGGAATTTGTACCAACTGAATCGATAGTAATGAGCAAAACTGAATGATTGTGACTCACTTTCTCACTTTTTCTTCCTTCTTCCCCTAAAAATATAGGGAGAAAGAACCTTGGGGGAAGACTTCTGTATCTCACAGTATTGCAGCAAGAGGTCTAAAACTTCCTGTCATAAAACACGTAAGAGCGGTAGATGAAATATTAGCACCACTCTTATGAATGAATGATTGAACTTGGAAAAAAATAAGGAAAATAAAAAAATTTTTAAATCTTTTAAGATCAGAAACAAAGTCAAAAGCCAGAGTCCTGGGAGGTAAACAGCATTTAAGCCAACAGTCGACCTGGGTGTGTCCACCAATTTCAGGTGACCTTGAATTTTGGTTTTATGTCTGTACAAGGTCTGAGATCCCTGCATAAAACCAGGACTCAAGAAAGCTATAGCATTAATGACAGGGTGAGACAGGTGATGGATAGAACGCCACTCGGTAAAGCTAGACGGCAGTAAACCTATACTATCCCACCTTGGTTCCAGGAGGAAAGAAAGAATATCCCCTCAAAGTACACAGCCAGAGAATTCAGATGGGTCTGAGAATTTATGTGGGCTTGGAGCCTGAAGTATTATTAATATTGAATCCCCAAAGACCACAAGTTAATTTAATTTCAATTTTGATTGAACAATACACACATACAGAAAGGGGCACAAAATAATAGCGAACAAGTTGATGAATTTTCACAAACTGAATACCCCAATATCAATAAACAAACATTAGCAACATACTGGAAGCCCTTTGGGTAGCCCCTTCTAACCACTCTACTCCTTAAAGGGGAACCAGTATCCTGATTTTGCACAACAAAGGTTTTATTTTTGCTAGTTTAAGAACTTGATCTCAATGAAGTCATGCAATATTTACTCTCTTGCATCTGGCTTCTTTCTCAACATTACATTCGTTTAATTCATCCAAATTCCTGTGTGTAGTAGATGCTCTTTCATTCTCATTGCTATACAGTCTTCTACTGAGTATTTGTACCATCATTTCTCTGACTACCCTCGTTGTTGCTGGGTCTTGGCCAGCTTCCAGTGCAGGGCTATTGTGATCTAGGCAGCCATGACTTGGGTAAGCATATGTGTGCCTATCTATCTCTTCCACTTTCAAGAGAGACTGCTGGGTCGTAGGAGATGCATATGCAGCTTTGCTAGTTGGTTCCCATCTGTCTCATTTTACCACTTCTGGTAATCAACCGATATTTTAAATTTAAACAGTAATCCTGCTTGACAGTGCATCCAGATATCTGGCAGAAGCAAATCAAATTCTTCCTAGAGAAACATGCTCTCAACTCAAGCAAATAATCAGAAGAAATCTTGTATAACTATTTTTATATCAAAGTATTTTATAAGGCAAAAAGCATTTTCAGAGAAAAGGAGGATCTCTTTATTATGCCAGAAGCACTGGTGTGCTGGTGAATTGGTGCTCTGAAGGGTGGAGGGAAAGAGCCTTGATTTGTGACACTTGCTGATTTCCATGGTGTACACACTACCACCGGGGGCAATTTCCAGCTTCGGACGTGAAATCTCTAGACACAGAGTTGGGAACAGACGTGCAATCAGCCCTTTCAAGCCAGTGTATGCTGGCCCCACATCACAGCTGCTGGAGACTTCAATCAACCAGCAGCCTATAGCTTCCCTCATCTACACAGCTAATAGTTTAGCTAAAAAAAAAAAAAAAAAAAAAACTACAAGAAGTGGCAAATTTGCCTTTATAGTGGGACATTTTTAATATACCACTCTCTGTGAAAGTAAAAACAAAATATCAGCAAATATATGGAAGATATCTAATGGACATAGATTCCTTCATCTAACTGAAGAATATGCATTCATTTCAGACACATTTACAAAAATTGGTCCATAAAACAAATTGCAAGGAACTATTGTAACACAAACTATGTTTTCTAACCACAATTCAATAAAGATAGAAACTAGTAACAACCACAAAAGGGACTAAAATTCACAAGCATTTGGAAATTGAGAACTGACAGAATATCTTCTGAATGACAGCTCCCATTTCTTGAGAACAAAGTTTACTAAATTCCTCCCCTAAAAAATTTGGTTGCACTGATTTGTTTGTATTATCAGCTATAAAGTTACCGTGTGGCAGAAGCTTAATACTGATCTGCCTGTAATTTCTATATGTTCTAATGGTTCTTACTGTAGAAATTCATGTATTTAAAATATAGGAATATTTTTCCAAACCAAATGCAAATTAGCATTTTGAGCTGGGAGTCTTGACATTGTTTTTAGAAAAGAGAGTAAGAAAAGGCAAGCAACCTTAAGTAAAAGAGGCTGCTCTATCTCAGCCAATCACATGCATTTCCTCCTTCACCAACCTCCCCATTATTGTAATTTTCCCCAAGTTGTTCAGATATAGCTCTATTTTCTTTAATGTTCTTTATTCATTGTCTTACCTCCATAGACCTTCTTAAAAAATTAAACTGCAGAGTTAAGCTCTAGTCAACAGAGGTGACTCCCATCCTTAAACACTGTAAAAATGAAATTACTATTTTCTGTAAATATATCCACCTTTTTTCAATAGTTATTCAGTCACTGCAGCCTGCAAGGTCAATTATTTCCATTCACTCATTTCCTTCACAAATATTTAATGATATAAACTATGTGTTGGATACATCTAGCTGTAAAAATACAATGGCCAGAAAGATATACACTGTCCCAGTTATCATAGAGCTTACTTCGTAGCAAAGACACCCACGATGTGTATTTACTCTTTGATCCCATTTTCTGACATGCAGCTCCTAAAATTCTTAGAATCTCCAAAGTGATGTGAGGGCTGGCAGCCCCCAGGTAGCTTCAGGATGGGGCTGGTCACCAGAAAGACCACAGCCTGATTAGAGGGGGGGACTTTCAGCCCCACCCCCCAATCTCCAGGGAGGGGAGAGGGGCCCAAGGTAGATCACCAATGGCCAATGATTTAATCTGTCATGCCTACTCAATGAAGTCTCCACAAAACCACCGAAAGGACAGGGTTCAGGGAGCTCCCAGATAGCTGAATAACATGGAGATTCCTGGAGAGTAACAGGCCAGTGTGGGTGGGGGGCACGAACGCTCCAGCCCCTTTCCCCATACCGCGTTCTATGCATCTTTTCATCTGTATTCTTTGTAATATCCTTTATAGTAACCAGTAAACGTATTTCCCTGCGTTCTGTGAGCAGCCCTAGCAAATTAATTGCACCACAGGATGGGGTCGTGGGAATTCTGATTTATAGCCAGGGTGGGGGGCTGGGGGGCTCAGAAGTACAAGGAAAACCACTTGCACTTACTGATTGGCGTCTGAAGTCAGGGGCGGTCTTGTGGCACGGATCCTTCACTTTATGGGGTCTGAGGCTGTCTCCAGGTGGACAGCATTGGAACTGAGTTGAATCAGGGGACACTTAGCAGATGTCTGCCACTTCATGTGTGGGGAGAAACCCTTTCGTGTGTGGGAGAAACCCTTTCGTGTGTGGGGAGACACCCTTTCGTGTGTGGGAGAAACACTTTCGTGTGTGGGGAGATACCCTTTCGTGTGTGGGAGAAACCCTTTCGTGTGTGGGGAGACACCCTTTCGTGTGTGGGAGAAACCCTTTCGTGTGTGGGAGACACCCTTTCGTGTGTGGGGAGACACCCTCTCGTGTGTGGGGAGACACCCTTTCGTGTGTGGGGAGACACCCTCTCGTGTGTGGGGAGACACCCTTTCGTGTGTGGGAGACACCCTTTCGTGTGTGGGGAGACACCCTTTCGTGTGTGGGAGAAACCCTTTCGTGTGTGGGAGACACCCTTTCGTGTGTGGGAGACACCCTTTCGTGTGTGGGCAGATACCCTTTCGTGTGTGGGGAGACACCCTTTCGTGTGTGGGAGAAACACTTTCGTGTGTGGGGAGACACCCTTTCGTGTGTGGGGAGATACCCTTTCGTGTGTGGGAGACACTCTCACACATTTAGTCTCATAAGTCTTCTGTGTTGATGATTGTTGTTGAATAACAGGATAGAAAAAGCGCTTTGAGTTTTAGTGTGTTTTTTTTTCCACATAACATTTTATACATGTGTTAAGTAAATTCAACTCAATGTGACAAATCTGTTCATAAATTTTACTTCTTTTCATGAAAAATTACAATATAGGAAAATGGCACATGCCCAAATCTGTATTTACCAAAAATGAACAAACTGCCTTTGTATAGGAATAACTGATAGCCTTTTGGTTTCATAATATATAATCACACTGAATAAAGCTGGAAATCTTTACTTGCTCAGCACAAATGGAGAAAAGGGTCTAACTTTAAAGAACATACAGCAGGCTTTTGAAATATGATCAACGCACTTTATAACTAAAAATGAAGCACCCAGAGAAACAGATGACTCATTCATACTCAAAAATGCATTTTTGTGCCCTTGTGACAGTTGTTATATGGTGATACAATCTTCCCTAGAGAGAACTAGGAGGGTTTTTCCCCCACCCAAAGAGAAAAATCAATTTGCACATACTGGTTATTCAACTGTGACCTATTTGTATAGCATAATTCCCAAGATACTCAATTCACAAATGGGCCCACTTGTTGGATTTGCTGGTTGGAGCCAGTCTTTTAAAAGTTGAAGAAGGAAATCCTCTTGGGGTGTGTATAAAAGGAAGAGAGACAGAATCTAATCCTTCATGGCACACTGGCTGCCTGCCAACCGCTGCAGAGGAATTCAGAAGCACAGAGCCTGGAAGGCAGCCCATCGGGAGGCTGCCTGATGACAGAGAGAGCATCCCATGAGCTGCTGCAGCCCCTCCATCCATGGCCCCCACAAAGCGGGGGCGGCAAGTACCAATTTCCATTTTGACTTCAAGACACCCTGCTTTAAACACTAGGAAAGAGGGAGAGAGATGAAAAATGGTTTGACTTTGCCACAGCAATATAAGCAAATGATTTATCTTAATTATTTTTAGATTGCAATATGTTGCTTCATATGTCAAATGTACATTAAAGAGCAATTAGCTTAAATGTCAGCATTAAACGATTCACTACTTAGCATTTCAAAAACAGGAGCAAAAATAATGAAAGCAAGTGTCAGTGTACGCCAATCTGAAAAGTTTCAATAACTATAGGCTCTTTTTTCTGCTTTGAATTTGGAATAAGGCTGTCTCACATCCCATTTAGGACATAGGAACTATTAATACAAAACATGTACACCCACCCAGCCACCCACAGACACAAATACACAGGCACAGTTATAGTCACAGTCATCAATGGACTAAGGCCCACAGGCCAAATCTTGCATACCACCTGTTTTACTGTATAAAGTTTTATTGGAACATAGCCATGTCCATTCATGTACATAGTGCAAGTGCTTTCAGGCTATAATGGCAGAGTTGAATAGTTCCAACAGAGACCATATGGCCTGCACAGCTTAAAATATCTGCCATCTGGCCCTTCACAGAAAAGGTGGTTTATAAAGTGTGTATCATCCACAAGGTGAATCCTTCACAGGATGCCCAAGTGCTGCCCAGAGAGAATTACTGAAATCCGTAAAGCCCATCGCTGGAGAATTCAGCAGAATAATACTCAATGATCAAACTACCCAAGACCAGAGGAATAAACATTAGAAGGCTAGAGGAAACAGTGCCAAGCCCTGTCACAGAAGCAGAAATACTTCCTGTTTCTATGAGCCATATCAGAAAACATTATAAACCCGAGGCATTGGGTAGCTTACTCTCAGAAGGGTGTTGCCCCAATAAGGGAAGGATTTTTTAAAAATTCACTAAATAGAATTTTAAAAAGACTAGGCATTGCAGAAGAAAATATTCATGAACTTGAAGACAGAGAAGCATAAATTCCTGAAAATAAAATCAAAATAATAATAATAAGTAAGTGAAAAAGCATTAAAGGACTGTGGCACCATATCAAAAGGCCTGATATATGTTTCCTTGAGTCCTTGAAGGAGAGGAGAGAGAAAGGGAAACAAAACAAAAAAAAAAAATGAAGAACTAATGGCCAAAATATTTCCAAATTTGATTGAGTTATAAGCAGATTTGAGAAGCTCAACAAAAACCAAGTTTAAGAAACATGGAGAAAACTATACCAAAGTCATCTGCTCTCACCATTTCTGTTTAACCTTGTCCTACAGGTTCTAGCCAGTGCAATAATGAAAAAACAAAAACAAAAACAAAAAACCAAAAAACTAAAATTTTTTTTTCAATTCCAGACAGGAAAGAAAGAAGTAAAACTGTCTTTATTCACAGATGACAAAACTGTCTACATGGAAATTCAATGGAATCTACAAAAAAGCTACTGGAACTAATAAATGATGATAGTAAGGTTGCATGATACAAGATTAATATATGATAATCAACTGTATTTCTATATACTCATGATGAATAATTAGAAACTGAAATTTAACAAACAATACTACTAACAATAACCTCAAAACTATGAACTACTTTGGGATAAATACCTGTGTACTGCAAACTACAAAATACTACTGAAAGAAATTAAAGAAATAAAAGGAGAGATGTGCTGTTTTATGGGTCAAAGAACTCAATACTATTATGATTTGAATTCTCCCCAAATAAAACTATAGATTCAACATCTGAGGAAAAATCCCAGTAGACTCTTTTGCAGAAATTTACAAGATGATGCAAAAGTTTATATAAAAATTCAAAGGACCTACAGTAATCAAAACGAGTTTGAAAATGAAAAACAAACTTGGAAGATTTACACTACCTATTTTCAAAACTTCTTAGAAGTTACAATACCAAGGCAGTGTGCTATTGGCATCAAGATAGACAAATAGATCAATGAAAAGAATAAGATGCAAAAATAGACCCCTATATAGACAACTAATTTTTGAGAAAGGTGCAAAGGCAATTGAGTGGAGAAAGACTGGTTTTTTCAAATAAATGAGGCTGGAACAACTGAGATATTTATATTCATCAAAATAAACTTAAATCAATACATTGCACCATATAAAAAAGTTAGCTCAAAATGGATTGTAGACCTAAGTGTAAAGCCTGAAACTATAAAACTTCTGTAAAAACCTAAGAGAAAATCTCTGTGACCTTAGACTAAGCAAAAATTGCTTACACAAAACACAATAAAAACCACAAGCTGATTAATGTGACCATGTCAAAATTTAAAACTCTTACTCTTTGAACGATACCAGTAAGAAAATAAAGACAAGCTATAAACTAGAAGAAAATACTTGTAAAGTATATAACTGATAAAGACTTGCATCCAGAATGTATAAAGAATTCTCAAAAAACAGTAAGAAAGCAAACAGTAACAAATTGGCCAAAAAGTTTCAACAGATATTTCACCAAAGAAGATGCACAAATGACAAATAAGCACAAGAATAAAAACTTAACATTTTTAGGCCGGGCGCGGTGGCTCATGCCTGTAGTCCCAGCACTTAGGGAGGCCAAGGCTGGTGGATCACGAGGTCAGGAGATTGAGAGCATCCTGGCTAATACGGTGAAACCCCGTCTCTACTAAAAATACAAAAAATTAGCCGGGTGTGGTGGCGGGCGCCTGTAGTCCCAGCTACTCGGGAGGCTGAGGCAGGAGAATGGCGTGAACCCAGGAGGTGGAGCTTGCAGTGAACCGAGATTGCTCCACTGCACTCCAGCCTGGGCGACAGAGCGAGATTCTGTCTCAAAAAAAAAAAAAAAAACAAAAAAAAAAAACACAAAACTTAACATTATTAGTAATTAGCAAAGTACAATTAAACACAGTGAGACACTGCTATACACTTACTTAAACTGATAAAATTTAAAACACTGACCATACTAAATGATGGTGAATATGCAGAAAAACTAAAACTCATACATGACTGCTGGAAATGCAAAACGGTACAACTCCTTTGGAAAACATTTTTACAGTTTCTTAAAAAGTTAAACATATGTATGCTATATGATCCAGCCACTCCTCTCCTAGATATTTACCCAAGAGAAAAAAAGCGTATGTTCTTACAGAGACTTGTACATGTTCATGGCACCTTTATTTTTATTTATTTTTATTTTTTTATTTTTTAAGAGTCAAGGTTTTGCTCTGTTGCCCAGGCTGGAGTGCAGTGGTGCAATCAAAGTTCACTACAGCTTGACCTCTTAGGCTTCAGCGATCCTTCGGCCTCAGCCCCCCAAATAGCTAGGACTACAGGCACACACCACCACGCTCAGCTAATGTTTAATACCCCAAAAAGTGGAATCAATGGATTAAGTGGATCAATGGATTAAAAGTCGTGGGGGGAGGAGAGTGACTAAAAAGAGAAAAAACTTTTTACATGGGTAATGGATATGGTCAAGAGTGTTTTGAGTCTATATATATATATAGATATATATACACATGTGCATATGTATATCATAATGTATCAAATAGTACATTTTAAATATGTACAATTTAGTATAATATGTGTACTTATAGAAGGTATACTTCAATAAAGCTGCTCTAAAAAATAATATATGAAAATCTACATCACAAAAATGAATTTTACTTGGAGCTGAGCCAATTGTAATATAAATTAATTTTTTTTTTTTGAGATAGAGTCTCACTCTGTCACCCAGGCTGGAGTGCAGTGGCCTGATCTCAGCTCACTGCAACCTCCACCTCCCGGGTTCAACTGATTCTCCTGCTTCAACCTCCCAAGTAGCTGGGATTACAGGTGTGCACCACTACACCCGGCTAATTTTTGTTTTTAGTAGAGACAGGGTTTAACCATGTTAGCCAGGTTGGTCTCAAACTCCTTACCTCAAGTGATCTGCCCACTTCGGCCTCCCAAAGTGCTGGGATTACAGGCGTGAGACACTGTGCCTGGCCAAATTAATATTTATTGAGCTTGTTGTTTTCCAGGCAGTTTTACATACCTTATCACAATTAATCATCATAACACATCACATGAGATAGATACTATTGTCTTCATCTGATAGAGAAGAAAACAAGGTTCAGAGTGTTTTAGTAACTTCCTTAGTGTCACACAGCTGTGTAGTAGCAGTTTGATTTTGAACACAAAAGTCAATGCATACTCTCTGAATACACTTTGCCTCACCAACAACCTCTCTTTAATAAAAACTTTTTTTTTTTTCTGTAGAGATGGGAGTCTCGCTGTGTTACCCAGGCTGATGTTGAACTCCTGGCCTCAAGCGATCCACCCACTTCAGCCTCCCAAAGTGCTGGTATTAGAGGCATGAGCCACTGTGCCTGGCCAAAAACTATTAATAAATATATTAACTTACTACACATCCTAAAATGTGTAAGACTCTCAACTGATAGAAGACAAGCTTAAATTCCAACACTTATAATTCAAACCTACCTCTTAGAAATATTTATTATGATATAAAGGTCTACATGTAGCAAAATGTTAGAAATTTGCTAATAATTACAGCTATTTAGAAAGAGCTTTCTTATGAGGCAATAAGTTTGTTTCCTTCCCCTATAAGATAGTAAGTATTAAAACACAACTGGATATCCATATGCAAAAGAATGAAGTTGGACTCTCACCTCATGTCATATATAAAAATTACCTCAAAATGTACAAAACTGAAATGTAAGAGCTAAAACTATAAAACACTTACCCTGAGGGTAAATCTTCATGACCTTAGGTTTAGTAATGGATTCTTAGATATGACACCAACTTAAGCCTACTTTATAGAAATATTTATCACAATTTAAAGTTCCTACTTGTAGGCTGGCACAGTGGCTCACACCTGTAATCGCCTATTTGGGAGGCCAAGGCAGGCGGATCACTTGAGGTCAGGAGTTCGAGACCAGCCTGGCCAGCACAGCG
The DNA here is from genome assembly GCF_000001405.40 of Homo sapiens. Taxonomy (NCBI): domain Eukaryota; kingdom Metazoa; phylum Chordata; class Mammalia; order Primates; family Hominidae; genus Homo; species Homo sapiens. The sequence goes on along the minus strand of NC_000004.12, from coordinate 186,815,426 downwards.
AAACCTCATCTCTACAAAAATACAAACATGGTGAGGGCGAGACCCCCAACTCTACAAAAAATAAATACAAAAATTAGCCAGGCATGGTGGCACACACCTATAGTCCCAGCTACTCAGGAGGCTGAGGCAGGAGAATCGCTGACCCCAGGAGACAGAAGTTGCAGTGAGCTGAGATCACGCCACTGCACTCCAGCCTGAAAATAATAATAATAATAATAATAATAATAAAGTTCCTACTTGTAGCAAGATATTAGAATGAAATTTGCCAATATTTACATCTATTTAGAAACAGAATGGCTGTCTCATGAGGCTATACATGAGTATAAGATATGTTTCCCATAGGAACTGGTAAACAAATCAGAATTTTACACTATATTCCATAATGTTTGGTTTGCTGGAGCTTCGATCTAGAGGATTGATACCACCTCTTTCCACTCCTCCTTTCTCCCTTCCAATCTGCCACATCAGTTGTAGGAAAACAAACTACTGAAATTTTCAGCCAAGTGAGTAGTTGCTTCCAAATTGTCATAAGTTTGCAAACCACCCTATGTGTTGGCACACTATTTTAAAGAAATGAAAGTTTCTAAGAATTTAATTAGCCTTGCCATATTGTCTAGCCTTACGGATCTCCAAACATGTCATTAGCTGAGGAGTCTACAAAGGAACAAAAAGTGTTTTGTTTCTCTGTTTCACAAAGAAAAAGAAAACAGAACATGAAAACAAAAGCTTTAGTTTCCACTCTCTACAGTTTCTTATTTAAGTATATACAAAATCAAAGACAGTTTCTTTTGAATTCAATTCTATTATTAGAATCTCTGTCCAGGTGTCAACAATATTTTACACACATTATCACAACCAACTGGAATCCAAGGGTTCTGAGGTCTGGCAGAACCTGGACAGAGGTCTGAACCCTAGATAACATGCTATAAGGATGTCTCGCCAACTCACAGGTTAAATAAATAAAAAATGTCTAACAGGATCATCAACTTCTTTAACTTTTGGTTTATTCTAAAGTGTTGTCTTTTAATCCTGACAATGTTACTGGACATAGCTATTAGTGGCTTAATCGTGTTGAGGTCTACTGCTACAACCTCAATGTCACTTAAAATACCACATTAATCATAATAAATACTAGACGCATTTATGTTCAACAAACATGTGAGTGCACAAACAAGTTAGTATGTTTCATGGTACACACAGAAACAGAGCTAGAGTTACATAGGTATAGTTCTGGAAATACAGATGGATTCCGATATAAATATGAACACAGCTACCAGTACAAATGCTAATTTTACAGACTCTACAGATAAAGGTCAGGATTTACATATGTTTCTGAACTTGGAAGAAAATGTAAAGATCTCAAAGTTAACTTTTCACCAAATGTAAGAATTCCCTTTCTTTTCAGTATTCCTAACTTTGGCTTGAACGCTTCCAATGTCAGAGCTTGTGGTTTTTTTTGTTTTGTTTTGTTGGTTTTGTTTTGTTTTTGTTTTTGAGACAGTATCTCACTCTGTTGCCCAGGCTGGAGTGCAGTGGGTGATCTCAGCTCACTGAAACCTCCACCTCCTGAGGTCAAGTGATCCTCCCACCTCAGCCTCTCTAGTAGCTCAAAGCACAGGTGTGCATCACCATGCCAGACTAATTTTTGTATTTTTTGTAGAGATGGGGTCTCACCATGTTGGCCAGGCTGGTCTTGAGCTCCTTGGCTCAAGCTATCCTCCTGAGTCAACCTCCTAAAGTGCTGGGACTGGAGGCGTAAGCCACTGCACCCAGTGAGAGTTTGTACTATTTCAAAACCACTTGTTCCTTTTTAGGACAATCAAAATTTATAGAAAGTTAATCATTATAGTTAGGTTGAAATGTGCTTCACATTTTTACCCATTGGCCTTAGATCAATCAACTGAAGCTAAAATGTCTGTTCTTTTATGGGTGAAGGAAGGAAGAGGCAGTCTAGTGGAAAGAAAAGCCTATAAAAAAAGAGCATGCCGTGCTGTAAACTAACCATGGGTAAATTAACTATTAATAGGTGGTGAACTAATTTGAGAAGGTGCTTCCAGAGAATAATGACAAGAAGGGCATGTTTCATTAAGCTGGACATGCCACCTGGGCTCAGGATCTCATGTATAAAATAAAATGACAAACCGGGCGTGGTGGCATGAACTGGGGTTCTAGCTCCTCAAGAGAAGACAGGTGGGAGGATAGCTTGAGGCCAGGAGGACAAGGTTACAGTGAGCTATGAGTGTACCATTACAATCCAGCCTGGGTGACAAAGTGAGACCCTCAATCTCAAAAACATAAAAAATAAAATAATTTAACTTGTCAAGGGCCATAAGCTCAAATGCTTTCAAGAGGCAGAGAGGAAAATCAATGAACAAAAGATAAGAGGAAGTACTGGGGACTGTCAAACTGAGGAGCTCCTGCACCCCTAAAGACATTCCCAGTCAGCTTAAAAGTCATCCCACTGAGAACCCAAACACACACAGCCACACCATCTGGCTCTCAGGTTGCCAGTTTTCTCCCTTGGATTAGACAAGTTTTCAACCTGTCAGGCTTCTTCTACCTGTGACATCTACAAGTTTATGGCTAACTGACCCCTTACCATGTTGGTCTTCTCTGAGCATCCTGCTGTTTGCAGTTTACCTGCACTTTGGCTTCCATTCTGAAATGTGATGAAATGTGTATGTTATCCCTCATTTTGCCTTTATGCACTTCACCCTCCTAGCTCTCTTCTTATGGTGTGTTGTTCCCATCCTGTAGCAATTTCATTCTCATGATATAAAAAACAGAACCTGTTTTTTACAGGAATATCTGCTTGTTCTGACAAGGATTCTCAAGAGGACTCCACTTAATTCAAAGGTACAGGCTAAAATGATGATATTCCAGGCATGCTTCATGACAGTAAAGCAGGGTGAATATTTGGGGGCAGAGGTATGGCTTTCAGTGTCCTGTAGGCCCCATCATGCATGTGGCATTCCAGGTTTTTTTGTTGTTGTTTTACTGGTATCACTGATATGGATAGAGACAGGGAAATACTGGGTAGAAGAGGGCAGTTCTCTGACAAAGGCCCCACCCTCAAGCCTGGAGACCCACAGCCCTAAATGGAGATAGGCATTCCTGTTTTTGTGCCCAAAAAGTTGTCTGTTGGCCCACCACGCCCCGCTATCCTGTACCCATATAAACCCCAAACCCCAGGCTTCAGAAGCAAAGGAGGAGAAGAGGAGGCAAGCAGATGAACAGTGCAGCAGAGAAAAAGAGAAGAGAAGGAATGTCTGAACGACAAGAGGAATTCAGCTGGGGGGCAGTCAGAGAGGAATTCAGCTGCTGGACAGCCAAACTCCAGGGGAAGATCACCTTCCCACTCCATCCACCTTTCAGCTCCCCATCCATCCCACTGAGAGCCACCTCCACCACTCAATAAAACCCCTACATTCATCCTTCAAGTTCATGTGTGGTCTGATTCTTCTGGGATGCTGGACAAGAGCTCGGGATATAGAAAGCCATCACACAGGTCCTCTGCCTTTGCAGAAGGGCAGTGGGGGCACTGAGCTGGTTAACACTTAAGCCATCTGCGGAAGACAGAGCTAAAAGGGCATTGTAACACTGGGGTCTGGGGTCACAAGCACACAGCCCTAGAGACTACCACGGGGCTGCAGCCCAAAGTGCTCACCCTGGCTCCTGCACCTGGCGGTCTGTGTGCTCCCTCTCCCACAAGGGGTTTGAGCTCATGGTGGTCGAATAGAGAGCCGCACCCCTGTCATCCACCCTGTGCAGGTGGGGGGAGGGCAGGGAACTCTCCTGTTTCATCACACTCAAAAACAAGATGTATAAAATTATCATTGGTCTCAAGTCTGTGATTGATATGTATATATCTGCCCATGTGTTTTTTACTATGTCTATATTTATTTGTTAAAAGTAGATGTGGTACACAACAAATGTATAGAATCTTTATTTGTTAATTAAGAAGCTGAAAAAAATTGCAGTGTGGTATGCAGCAAATAACCAACTGGACGTTAGAAAATTGGATGACACAAGGCCTTCCTCTACCTCTTGGCAGATTGACCTTTCATACAAGATTTAATTACTTGGACCCTAGTTTCCTAATTTATAAACAAGAAGGATTGATTCACATCTTGCTTAGTTCATAGAATTGCTGTGAGAATACAAATTGAGATGTCATATTTACTTTCTAAAATATAAAGGATTATATAATGCAACATATCATTAACACTTAATTTACTTGGTCTTCACTTCTGAGAGGATGTGGTAGGTTATGAGAGGCCAATGCTTCTGCTGCAAAAGCAGAAAACAAATTTTTTAAATAATATTTTTATAAAGATGTCAGAGAGCTATGGAAACAACAAAGAGTAAAGCAACTAAAATTCCAGAGATGAAGAACTGTTGTGAGGAGATCTGCTGATAGTCATTTTTGTTCCCTAAGGGTATTTGCTGATTCTAGCCTCAGGCTTAGTATAGGGTATGGCCCAATCAGAGATCATTATCTTGGAAAAGAAAAGCCACCAAAGCATTTAGCAGTTGTATAGAGCCAGAGGACAAATTGGAAAACTGGAAGGGAGGAGCCAGAAACACACTACTGTTTTACCTCCTGGGACGTTCGTTGAATGTTGAGGTTGCGCAGGAGGCTGTAAAGCTAAGCCTATTGTCCTCAGAAGCAGAATGGATCTCCTGCAGTTTCATAGTGTTTAAGAAACACTCATGCCAGGGGAGAGAACTGCCTCAAGGGCATGATTAGTCTCTCTTGAGATTTTTGCCATTTCTTGAAGTTTCATGGAAAAGGTGGCCTGAGAGCTGGGCTGGGAACTTTCAAAGTACAGATCTGGATCTCTTGCAGTCTTTTTGGACTAAAAAGAAGAACAACTAACAAATTCCACTCAAAATACCATGAGGACCATATTTGAAGAAGAGCAGCAAGTAAGATATAGACTGAATTTTACTAACACTGCAACCCAGTCCCAACCCAATTCAATCTGTGATTGAATTGAATTTATAATCCTCTTACTCTATTTCTATCTGCCTGCACAACGGCAGAAGATAAAGTCATCTGGAACTTCTGTAATTATTTTCTTCACAATATGCAGCATAAAATCAAAAATTACTAGGCATATGAGAACCAAGAAAATATGATCGATAATCAAGAAGAAAAAATAAGACAATTGATGCAGCCCCACAGATTATTTCAATATTGGAGTTGGCAAATACTTTTATAATAACTATGATATATATATTTTTAAAGGTAGAGATGTACACAACAGAAGTGCATAGATATATTCACCAAAAAACATGTACACTAATATCTGTAGTAGCACTACTCATAATCATTAAAACTAAAAACTACCCAAGAAATAGAAGAATGAATAGAAAAATTGTGATATATTCACACAATAAAATACATACAGCAATGAAACTTAACAATAGAAAGCTACTCATAGTAACACAGATGGATCTAATAAACGTAATGTCAAGAGAAAGAATCCAGATACCAAATAATACATTTTCTGTAAATCAATTCATATAAGGTAACAAAGTCAAAATTAATCTATAATTTAGAAATAAAGATAGTGGCTACTACAGGGATGAGGAGAAAAGAAATACAAGCAGAGATCCTCAGATGCTGGTAATATATTATGTTTCTTGATGTAGGGACTGGATACTACAGTGAAAATTGTAAAATTCATCAAGCTGTATACATTTAGAATATGTGCACTTTTAAAATGAAATTCAATAGTTTTTAAAAATAAATAAATAAATATATCTGTTAAATCCTACAAAAATTCCCAAACTAAATATAGTCGTATGCCACATAAGGACTTTCAGTCAAGATGGACCACATATATGATGATGGTCTCATAAGATTATAATAGAGCTGAAAACTTCCTATTGCCTAGTGACGTGAGGCAAAGCATTATTCATGTATTTGTGGTGATGTTGGTGTCAACAAACCTACTGTGTTCCCAGTTGTATAAAATTCTAGCCCATACAATTATTATATAGTACATAACACTAGATAATAATAATAAATGACTATGTCACTGGCTTATGGATTTACCAAAAAAACTTAACTGTGAAACAACCTCAGGCAGGCCCTTCAGGAGGTATCCAAGAAGGCACTGTTGTCATGGGAGCTGACAGCTCCATGCGTGTTATCGCCCCTGAAGCCCTCCCAGTGGGACAAGATCTGGAGGTGGAAGGCAGTGATATTCATGATCCTGACCCCATGCAGGCCTAGGCTAATGTGTGTGTTTGTGTCTTAGTTTTTAAACAAATAATTTAAAAAGTAAAAATAAAAATAGAAAATTTTAAACAGTCAAAAGCTTATCAAATAAGGATATAAAGAAAAAATACTTTTGTACAGCTGTACAGTATATTTGTGTTTTAAGCTAAGTGTTCTTAAAAGCGTTTTAAGTGTTATCAAAAGGTTTTTTAAAAATAAAAGTATATCAAGTTTAACAAGCTGCAGTAAACTAAGGTTAATTTATTATTGAAGAAAGAAACTGTTTTATAATTTAGTGCAGCCTAAGTGTACAGCATTCATAAAGTCCACAGTGGTGCGTAGTCATGTCTGAGGCCTTCACCTCCACACACCACCCACGCACTGACTCACCCAGAGCCACTTCCAGTCCTGCAAGCTCCACTCGTGGTAAGCTCCCCATACAGATGTACAACTTTTTCTTTTATACTGTATTTTTACGGTATCTTTTCTACGTTTAGATATACAAATACAAACCGTTGTATTACAATTGCCTAGAGTGTAGAGTCACCTGCTGTGCAGGTGTATAGTCTAGGAGCAACAGGCTGTACCATATGGCCCAGGTGTGGAGGAGGCTGTGCCGTCTAGGTCTGTATAAGTGCACTCTATGCTGTCCACACAACGGCAAAATTGCTTGGTGCTGCATTTCTCAGAACGTATCTCTGCTGTTAGGTGATGCCTGACTGTATATGTAAGTATGTAGACACAGCCTAATTACCCAGAGAATTGACTTATTACCTAAGTATTCTGTGGAAAAATTTCATCTGGAACAACTTTCCAAAGGCAACATCAGAGGTTTTAATCTACCAAAGCCAGCCATTTTTTCAAACCACAATGTCCCGCCTCCCTTCTAGTTCTTCATTATTTGATAAAAATCTCCCATGATTCTTCCTTTTCCAAAAATGTTTTCTCATGCCAAGGCATTCCTTGTTGTGCAGTAAGACACTCCTTTAAAACTGTTAAAATTTTACAGGAAATTCTAGCTCATGGCCAAATTTGTTTCAGAATGTCTAGAAGGTAAATGGCAACACAGAGATGAATTTTTCTCCAAAGTACTTGAACTTCATCATTTTGCCTGGCACTGTAATCCTCAACTAATAGCCTCTAACTGAAAATCATCCATTCGTAACACCGTGAAAGGATTCTGTTACCCCAGTTGCAGCTGGCTTGATCTGGATCTGCAAGAACTTGTTGACACTATGTCAGAAATTCCTCCTATCAGGGATATCTAACTCTTTACGGGGTCAGCACTTACATGTATTCACTTATTTCAGGTGAACAATATAGTTAAACCTGAAATGCTCACACACTTCAGCAATTTTCAAAGATTATTTATATATACATATGTGTGTGTATGTATACACATATATTTAGACAGTCATATACATATTCTACTAAAACATTCATTCCGAAAAAACATGAGTGGTAGCTTTCCCATAAATACTACCACGTGCTTGTTTTTTCATAAAACACTTAATGCATTTGAAAAAGCTGCACTGTATCTTTAATTAAAAATATTAATAGACATGCTTCCACAAAAAAAGATGCATGAGAATATTCTCAGACTTAATGTGTATATGAGCTGTTTTTCATTACACTGCTTTAAAAGTCATATTTCTTAGGTCGGTAATATTTTAAGGTAAAACAACATGTAAGTAAATGTAAGGGTGACTAGCTGCAGCACGTATTGTAGAATCTGTATTCTATTAGCAGGGTCATTGCCAGGTTCCTTTGTGATTAAAACTACTGGCCCATCTCTTTTTGTTCCAAAGCTGAGGAAGATAATTTACTAGGTCATAAATGTAAAGGTCATCAGATCTAAGACCGTACAAATGAGCAAAGGCAGCCAGAAATTCCCTCAAAACAAGCATGGCTGTGATGAGATCACAAGCACACAAGCAAGAGAAAGTGCTGGGGCCATGTTACGTATTTACAGTTTCATCATTAAATGAAAATGCTGTTTTACATCCAAATGCAGTTTTGTGCTGAAGTAGTGTAAAGAACATCTCTGTGAATACGTAAACACAATTAACAAACACACCGTTGTCCATCACTCAGTAACCTGTGTCGCTTGTTTTTTCCATTACAAAAACTGTAGCTTAGGAACTGAAAGCCCAAATCATAGTTCTTTGCTGTAGCTGCTATAGGGATAAGTCTGTGGCAAAATACATTCCTTAATCTGTCTCCCATTAGCAGGCTTATTAGCAGATTTTACAAACTGCAGTTATAAGCTTGTTCTCCAATTCCTTTTCTTCCTTCTGTATATGAAAGTATCATTTATCAATGTCGTCCATCTTCAAGTTTTCAAACGTCAAGCTTAAAAGTCAAGCCTCATTTGAAAGAAAAGATACACATTGTAAAATCTTTCCTTATGTTTCAAAAGTATAATTTTCTTTGGAGCCAGAACAAAATGCCTATGGACTGTAGAGGAATTTTCAACACTTGATACTTCATAGAAATGGGGAAAATGCAAACTGCAAGAGTTAGGTAATTTGTTGAATGTTTGCAAACTGTCTTTGCAACATTAGAAAAACAATGTGGACAACTTTCCAGAAAATGTCCTTTGGAAACAAGTGTAAGCTTAAAAAACATATTTTTGCTACCTGGCAAAGAAAACAATAGCTTTGCCCTAATAAGTGCAGTTCCATATAAATCTCTCAGTTTCAATTAGTCACAACTGATCACAACTTACAATGTATTATCCTAGTACATCCACTACTGAGTTTGGATTATATTTCCCTACAAACTTAAAAATGCAATAAAAAGTGGCCTTGATTTAGATTCTGCCTGATTCATGGAATGACAAAAACTAACCTTGAAAAATTTAATACAAATTTTAGATACATAATTTTTTAAATACGAGGCTGAAACAAATAGTATTTTTCCCTTTTGGAACACATTCATTTGGGTTTACATTTTTTTTTTGTTTTTTTTAAGACAGAGTTTTACTCTTTCACCCAGGCTGGAGTGCAGTGGTGGGATCTTGGCTCACTGCAATCTCTGCCTCCCAGGTTCAAGCGATTCTCCTGTCTCAGCCTCCTGAGTAGCTGGATTTACAGGCACACGCCACCACACCTGGCTAATTTTTATATTTTTAGTAGGGACAGGGTTTCACCATGTTGGCTAGGCTGGTCTCAAACTCCTGACCTCAGGTGATCCATCCGCCTCGGCCTCCCAAAGTGCTGGGATCAGGCCAGCCTAAATGTTATATCTTAAAATGTATTTTTAAATCCTTGAGATTGTGGAATTATCTTTGTAAGACATAATTATTTTATACAACTGAATAACCAGTGTTATAAGAAAAGTTCATTGTAAACAAGTGTAAGATATATTGACATTTATTTTTAATTTCAGACAATGGAAAAATTTATACAACTTCTTCAGAGTGAGTTGTCAACTTCAAATGCATTGTGAGATTTTGCTGTTGTTGTTGTTTGAAGCGACAAGAATACAAAGTTCATGTTTAATGTCACAGTTAATGATTGATTTCTAGCCTTGACAAATTCTTTTCTTCTTACTCTCTTTTCTCTGGTGTCTCCAACTTTGAAGTGGCTCCTTTATAAAACCAAGTGAAAATGTACGAGGCTCCCTGCAAGTACTAAGCCTCTTCTGGAAGATTTCTTCTGTTTTACATAGGACAATACATTCTTATCCCTCATTAATTCTAATAAACTAAGGCAGGTGGTTGGCCTTCTCAAAGGTCTTGCTTTAAAAATATAACAAAACCTGTGTCTACACATACCAAATCAAGTGGAGAATTAAGCTACCTTCAGTTGAACTTAACTAATAGGGGCTGCCAACCTCAATTATTTAGAGAAAAAAAAATACTTTCTCCAACAGACGATAAGATTTGTCTTAAATTAACCGGATTGGGGGTCGGCAAACTGTGACTCACAGGCTGCAACTGGCCCACTGTCTGTTTTAATAAAGTTTTATTGGAACACATCCTTGCTCATTCATTTGCATATTGTCTAAGGCTGCCGTCCTGATACAATAGCACAGTTGAGTAGCTTTGACAGACCAAATTGCCTCTTCAAATGTTTACTTTCTAGACTTTTACAGAAAGTTTGCCAATTCCTGATTCTGATAAATGTCTCATTTCTTCACTTCATATTTTGCATCCACAAAAGTAGCCAAAAGCATGGAAAAAAACCCATTGGGCAGCTTAAACTAAACATGTGTTTTGTTGAATTTCTGTGAGTCTTTATTTTAAAGAAGATGTGGATTATATTTTAATATAAGTCCTGATCAAAATGTTTTACCTCCACATCTTCTTTATATCAAAACAAGTCCTGATCAAAATGATTAATGAAGGTATATCTACCTATTTGACTCTGGTTTTGCTAGAGCCTCAAAGGGCACATGAAAACACTCTCCCTGAAAACGGTATCTTGCTCCGTTAGAAGTATTTGTTGCTTTGATATGTGTGTTTTTTCTTTAATTGCTGCAGGGATTTGAACTGCAGGTGAATCAAAATTTAAAATTCTGAGCATTTTGCAAACTTGTCATTATGCATGCTACAGGCAAGTTAGTGGATTTAGTTATGCCAATGATTGCGAAGATACATTATTGCTGCATTATAATGCATAAACAGGTTTTATGTTCTTCTGCATAATATTAGAAACTCAAATTTATGGAGTCACAGAGCTGTTATCATCATCCAGTTTTTAAATAAGGTAGCAATTCGTGATTTATATTACACATAAAGAAGTTTCCTTGTCAAGGTGCTTGCAGATTCTTGGCATATTATCTGGATAAATGATATGAGCCTTTGATGTGGTCATTAGGAATTATTTGCGTTCACGGTTTTTTAAAAAGTGTTTTTGTTGTTTTTAATCTCAGGTAACACCTATTCCTTCTGAACAAATTTTGGTTGTTGAGATTATCCACTTGAATAGTTTTTACATCAAAACCTTTAAAATCATAATATGTACAAGAAGATCTAAGCATTGTGCAGCAACCGCATTAACTCTATAGCAAGACAGCACACCAGAGGTTGTGTTTAATTAGGTTTCCTAATTAAAGAACACACGTTCACCTAGGAAGAAATCTTGCCAAAAAAAAATGAACTTGGATTTGATCTTATCCCTATATACAATTTTCAGAAAATACAGACGGCAAAGGAACAAGGTAAATGGCTTGATGGGACTGCAACTCCCTGTCTCCAGATTGGTGGAAACTTTACAGGGTAACCATCCAGTTTCCTAACCAAGTAAATTTCAAGGGGAAAAAGGGAAGTAAAGTAGAATCTATAGATTAATAAAGACGAAGAAAGCAGGCACTTACAGTGTGTATACCTTATTTGGGTCTAGACTCAAACAAACAAAAATATATTCATGACGTTTAAGAGAATTAGAAATGTGAGGCTTGGCTAGGTATACAATGAAAAAATTATTGTTAATCTTTAAATGCCATAAAAGTATTGTTGTTAGCATAAAGATATTGTTGTGGTTGTGTTGAGTTTTTTTTTTTTTTTAAGAATTTTCATCTTTAGGGACACAGCTAAAATTTTGAGGATGAAATGATAATGGATGCTTAGGATTTACTTCAAAATAATAATAATTTAAATACTAAAATAAAAAATAATAAGGGAAGGAGTAAGGGGGGGTAAAATGAAACTAGATTGTAATGAAATAATAAATGTTGACACTGGAGGATGGGCACTTTAAGGTTTATTATGCTGTATCCACTTTTGTATATATCTTAAATTTCCATAATAAAGAGTTAATATATATATGGGATATGTTTCTTTATTATTATTTTTGCCAATTATTGGTAATAAAAGTAATAGCTATAAGTAATTTATTTAAATATAGAATTCCAGTATTAGCTTAAAGAAAAAAATTCAGTCTGATTAGCAGTAATCAATAGATTTTTTTTTTAGAAAACTAAGCAGTTTCATTTAATAAAGTTTGAGAAGTGTAGGATCGATGGTTATTTGTTCACTTCCAGTATGACTTTGTATTTTGTCTTTAAAACTTAAAATCCTTTACACAATCCTACATAAATTTTATTCAAATAACACTTTCTCTGGGTCTTCTGTGTGAAGGGCAGGTTCGCTTGAGTTCCAGTGGACCAAGCTCCACGTCTTTCTTCTCCATTTCTTCCCCGGGAAGGGAAGAGTGTCTCTGCCCGGGGTTTATGCCGAAACCACCACAGAGAACACACACAACTCTGTGCTCCACTTCATACACTTGCATTCTATTTTCAAATCTAATAAACTATTATCCCCACTCCTCTTGTAGGCTGCTTGTTAAAACTTACCTACTATGCAAGCTCACCCTGCCTCCCCTGAGAAAGTTTTCTGCGAATGTTCTTTCTTATAGTCACAAGGTGAAATGAATCTGTCATGAACAAACACACACACCAAGAACAAAAATGTTGACATTGATAATTCAGCTCGTGTCCAATAAAGTCAACTAAAGAGAAAGATATTTTCATTATTTCAGAAAAAATGTATTATGACAGATTTGACATATGCAAAACAGTAAGGAAGGCTTTTTACCATGCTCCAAAACTTAATTAACAAGGATATAGTTATCATGCCTTCTTTTTCCCATTTTTTTCCCTCTTGTGAACATAACTTTTGGACTTCTCTATTAATCCTCTTGGCCATAATTTTCATGGTTTAAGGTCTAAATGTTTTTCTAGAAAGAATCCATCCAAGTTAATACAAATGTAAAGCTACAGTCTTCTGTGTCAGGACAACAAGCAGGTGAGTGACCATCTGCTTCCTTTGGTCACCTCCAACATCCACGGGGGCCCAGATCTCCCTTAGCTCTAGCCTGAACTTTTGAAGCGTCTGCCCAAGTAGGTCTTCCCACCTCTGGAATCTCTCAACCCTAAACCATCATCCATGGCGCTGCTGGAGGGGTGATACTCTTCCTGTTTAAAACCTGTCATTGGCTTCCATCACTCTGTTGGGACAACAGAGTTCCTCTTCAAAGACTCAACTTCCTGGTCCTAAGTTGTAAACAATCCTACCCCCTCTCCTGTTAAGCCTAACCGTTTCTTCTTTGTCTTCCCCCCACCCCCCTTTAAAACCCAAGTTTACCCTATTGGGAAAATTTAAACTTAAGTCAATTGGGATCAGCTTAGATTGTGCTGTCCAACCCCAGCCAATAGGGGAAGGACACAGAAACAGGAACTGTGTTAGGGTTAAAAATCCCTTCCTTCCTTTGTTCGGTGTGCTCTTGCAATTGTAACAGGTGCAGGCAACACCCTTCTGCAGAAGTAAAGGTGCCTTGCTGAGGAGGAATTTTCTGTCAAAGTGAGGATTTCTTTTGGCTACACCGAGCACTTGTTTCCAACAAATTACAATTGTACCTCTGCCCGTAGTCATTCAGTCTCTGCCCTCACCAACTTCCCTCTGGACCCTCCTGGCTGCTTCTAGCCTCTCTCCCACCACCCCCACTCCCAGCATGCCTTGCTGGTTCTTACCTCTGCAGAGAGGCTTTGCCTTATAAACACATGCTAATGCCTTAATACCTAGCTCAGAAACTACATCCTCTTGTCTAGAAAATCTTTACTGTGATCCACACACTATCATATCCTATGCTGCTGATGTATCACGTTATATGGAAAATCATTGGTTAGATGTCAGCCTACTATTTCAGGAGTTCCTTAATTCCACAACGGTATTTACCTTGATACCTCTAGCCCCAGTCTAGTGTGGGGTACACAGCAAACCTTCAACAAGTGTTTATTGAATGAATAACTGAATAATTCAATGTTATAGTTTAGTAAATCCCTGGCAAATACCTTCTGTAATGGTCTGATCAATTATTTAATAAAACTATTTGGCATTCTGTGTAAGATACTATGTCAGGCACTGTCGTAGGATACAAAACTGAACAAGGTGTGGCAAAGTACTTGTGCTTTGGGAGAGAAGATAACTAATATGCACAGGCCACTGCACTCAAAGTATAAAGGATAAAGCCCTATAGGTCCCATAAAAAATGGAAGCAGGCCAGGCTCACCCCTGTAATCCCAGCACTTTGGGAGGCCGAGGCGGGAGGATCACAAGGTCAGGAGATCGAGACCATCCTGGCTAACACAGTGAAACCCCATCTCTACTAAAAATAGAAAAAAAAATAGCTGGGTGTGGTGGTGGGCGCCTGTAGTCCCAGCTACTCAGGAGGCAGAGGCAGGAGAATCGCTTGAATCCTGGAGGTGGAGGTTGCAGTGAGCCAAGATCACGCCACTGCACTCAAGCCTGGGTGACAGAGTGAGACTCCGTCTCAAAAAAAAAAAAGTAAGCAAATTTTTCTGCAAATTAGCAGAGGAATAGAGAAGGTTTCAGGAAGGAGGTGTGAAACTTTTTAGTGAGATGCAAAATACTTCATCCAACAAGTTGTCCAAAAGCTGTTAAATGATGTTCATATTTTTGAATGAACATTTCACTCCTTTTTACTATCCTTTTATCTAATGTTCAAAAACGCCTTTCTTATAGCTGAGAACATGAAACTGAAGAAATGCTAAAGATATGATAGTCCAACAACCTTATTTATTTATTTTTCGAAACAGGGTCTCGCTCTGTCGCTCAGGCTGGGGTGCAGTGGTGCGATCTTGGCTCACTGCAACCTCCGCCTCCTGGGTTCAAGTGATTCTACTGCCTCAGCCACCTGAGTAGCTGGAATTATAGATGCCTGCCACCAAGCCTGGCTAATTTTTGTATTTTTAATAGAGATGGGGTTTTGTCATGTTGTCCAGGCTGGTCTCAAACTCCTGACCTCAGGTAATCCGCCCACCTCGGCCTCCCAAAGTGCTGGGATTACAGGCGTGAGCCACTGCACCCAGTCTCGACTGCCTTATTTTATGAAGAAAGAGCAGAATTAGAGCTCAGATCTTCTTTAATTCTATAACTCCAGAATGATATTCTACCTCTGATTTTAAGAATTAACTCAATATGTTGCTTTTTGATTTGTGGTAACTCCAGACACTGACCCTAAGGACATTTCTGTCCTAAACTGTGGATAGAAAAGAAAATTGAA